>NC_000002.12:152641133-152944163 GCF_000001405.40 Homo sapiens
CTCCTTCATTTAAAGGATTTCCATTGTTATTGATATGTCATCATGCTCCATTTTTTTTTTCCTCGTGGCCACACCTAGCCACCTGCCTGATTAATAAACACTGTGGACAAGACCCATTCAGCAATGTACTAATCACAGTCCATGGATGCTCTTTAAGAGCCTCTTTACTCATTCAAAGTAACTGAAGTCAGTAGGTACTTTAATTTGGGTGAGCCAACAGGCTTCCAGCCCAGGGTTGGGAACTGGTTTTATCAGCCAAGAATTGTGTTAACCCAGCCTGGTTCCTGTCTGATTGAATTAGCATAATGCTATCTCCTCGAACCAATTCTCCCAAATTTCTGTACTTCCTTTTACAGATCAGAGTAATAACTTGGGCACTAGTAGGAGAGGCAGCAAGTGACTTTTCCTTCATGTCTGTTGCACATGAATGTTGCTTATAAGCTTCCAGATGCTTATAGCTTTTTATAATGGGACAGTCCAATAATATGCAGATGTACTGAAAATAGTATGATGAGGTCCCATGTATCCCTCATCCATTTCAACAATTACGAACTCATGGCCAATCTTGTTACATGTACACTCTACCTACCCCCATATCCAACCCTTGACAACCAAGACGTAGAATTTCACTTGGAAATATTTCAGTATGTATCTTCAAAAGATAAGGACTCTTAAAAAATAAAAACAAAAACATACTTTACACCATTATCACATCTAAGAATCCCTTAATATCAAATATCTAGTCATTAGTTCACATTTCCCCAACTGTCCTGATTTTTAAAAATAGAATTCCTAGACTCTTGATGTCTCATTTCTTTTTTTTTTTTGATGGAGTCTCATTCTGTTGCCCAGGCTGGAGTGCAGTGGTGCTATCTCAGCTCACTGCAAGCTTTGCCTCCTGGGTTCACACCATTCTTCTGCCTCAGCCTCCCAAGTAGCTGGGACTACAGGCGCCCACCACCACGCCTGGATAATTTTTTGTATTTGTAGTAGAGATGGGGTTTCACCGTGTTAGCCAGGATGGTCTCGATCTCCTGACCTCGTGATCTGCCCGCCTCGGCCACCCAAAGTGCTGGGATTACAGGCGTGAGCCACCATGCCCAGCCTGTCTCATTTCTTGTTATAGCTTAGTGAACATTGTACATTGGGATCCTAAATGGTCAAAACCACAAATTTTTTTCTCAACAGCTCAAACCCAGGGAAATTAAATACATAGGTTAGGTGATTAGGTAGATTAGATAGATTAAAAAGGAAGTCAATAATGAATTCCCTTCCAGATTAAAGCAGTGTAGGTCTTAGATAGTAAGTGGCTGATGAAAATGCCATTCTCTACACATGGCACACACACTCTGCACAAATGTGCCTATTGGTATCTCAGTGTACATAGTGCAGTGGCTTATAGATGCCCCCCAGATAAAACCTTCATTGTAGCACTCTCCTTGCCTCCTCCATGCTGGGGGAGAAACTCCACCCTGAGCAAGACCAGGAGCAGAGCTCCTTCCTAGGTAAGCACTTTTTGGTCTCAGTGCCATAAAATGAAGTTGTAGTTAGGGAAGCATCCAGCCTTGCTCATTAAGAACTTGGAGTTCCTGGCTGGGCGAGGTGGCCCATGCCTGTAATCCTAAGCACTTTGGGAGGGTGAGGCAGGTGGATCACTTGAGATCAGGACTTCGAAACCAGCCTGGCCACATGGTGAAACCCCATCTCTACTAAAAATACAAAAATCTTAGCCAGGCATGGTGGCTGGTGTCTGTAATCCCAGCTACTTGGGAGGCCGAGACAGGAGAATTGCTTGAACCTGGGAGGTGGAAGTTGCAGTGAGCTGAGATCATGCCACTGCACTCCAGCCTGGGCAATAGAGGGAGACTCTGTCTCAAAAAAAAACAAAACAAAACAAACAAAAACCAAAGAACGTGGAGTTCCTTTTTCATTAGTATGTCCTCCATCCCAATTACACCTGGCGTTATAAAATGAATGTACATTTTCTATTTGCTTGATCTAAGTCATTAATCTACTAGAAGAGGGGAATGAGTATCTGTTTATAGGGCAGTTTTTATCCTCCTTGGAGTATTTTTCATTTTCTGATCCACCCCAAAGCCCCAGATAAATTCCTTTGTACCTTTATGAACTAACTTGAGTATATATTGCCTTCCCCCTTTCCTGCCCATCTTCCCCACCCCCATCCCCAGGTATGATTAACAATGCACTAACCATGTACTAATGCAATAGATCTTGGCTTTTTATTCTCTTCTGTTTGTGTTGTTTGGCTGTCATTTTCAATGCAGTGCTGAAGACTGTGCCCTTTACTGCTCGCACCGCCAAGCGTGGCTCTCGGTTTTTCTGCGAACCTGTTCTCACTGAGGAATACCATTACTAAACTATTACTCTTTCTCACCTGATGCTCTTAAAAGGTTGCTACAGGTTTTTTGATGTCTTATGTCCCCCTCTGTGTGTCTGTCAGGGCCCACCAACATGCTAGCATGGAATTGCCATCTCCATCATGTTATATTTTGTGTTGTTCTCATGCTGCATGGTTTTGCATTTCAATTATTATTGCTCACTCACTGGCCACTTTCAATACATGTATGTATTCACATTGCTGTAACAGTCTGGGTGTGTTTGACAGCTGAATTCATAGAATTGTTCACAGAAATTTTCAGAAAAATAGAGCAAAAATATTAAGAGCACTTCTTTGAGAATCAGTATTGGTACCAAGTAGATTGCTTATAAGATTTTTGAGCTAATGTCCTTCAACATATCCATTAATAACAATAACTGCTATACCTAACATGTATTAAGAACTTACTGTGTTCAGGTTGGATGCAGTGGCACACGCCTGTAATTCCAGTACTTTGAGAGGCTGAGGCAAAAGGATCACTTGAGCCCAGGAGTTTGAGACCAGCCTGGGTAACATAGGGAAGCCCCATCTTTACAAAAATCAGCTGGGCATGGTGGTGCACACTTGTAGTCCCAGCTACCCGGGAGGCTGAGGTGGGAGCATTGCTTGAGCCCAGGAGGTGGAGGTTGCAGTGAGTGGAGATCCCACCAATGCACTCCAGCCTCGGCAACAGAGTGAGACCCTGTCTCAAAAAAACAAAAACAAAAAACAAAACATACTGTTCTAAGTAGGTTTACAGATATTAACCTAGCCCTTTTATCCTATACCCAGTTAATATGCTTTGATAGCATAATCACCTGCCATATGAAAGTGCTCAGGAATGCGAAGTGCTCTAAAGTGCAAAATGACTTGCAGAAGGAACTGTGAACTATGCACAGCTGCAAATCAGGCCTTTCTTAACTCTCTTATACGTCCATAGCATGATGGAACTCGTAATATGAGCTTAACACAGGGAGCCCTTTTAACCTAGCTTGTATATGTAGATATAGGCAATCCATAGCTTTATGTCACCCTACTTTAGTAGGCCACCTCTATTCCTTCTGAATGTCATGCCCATGTTCAACTATCAGTAATTCCATGTTGGAGCAAAGCTGTGAGGCAGGACATGAATACAAAGGCTTAGGTCCTCCCACTGTCTTATCTCATTCACGCATCTTCACCGGTAGCTCTGTTCCATGTCAAACCCAGGCTATTTCTTCTGTGATCAGATCATATCTTGACCTGCTTCTTTGGTCAGGATGATGGCACCAGAAATACTAACAGCAAATATCATTGGAAAATGCCACTGTTTTTAAATTGGGGGGGAAAAAAGGGTCAAACTTTTCAAAGTAACCTCCTGGGCACAGTTTTTGATGCCTAATAAGAAACGAACTTCTCTCCAGTGTCTAGTTGATTAGAAAAGAGACAAGGGAAACACATACTCTAATTGGACGTAGCCATTGACTCCTGTGCTGAGATTGACATGGAATTGGGTATGTGTTTATTTTGTGGCATAACTATTCTATGAATTGCACTTATGTATGTTCTTCTATCTCTGATATCAAAGGACATAGAGTGTCATTGCCTGCTCTGCAGTGTACTTACCCACCAGTGCTTATTAACAGGCTAGAAAACTGTCATCTGCTTGGCTGATGTTTGCTGTCAGTTTTGCTGTTGGACTATATCTATCTTTCTGGAGCCAATCTTCAAAGCAGCTTGGAACTGGGTGGTCAGAGAGCTGGGTGGGAAGATGCACTCATCCTTCCCTTATTTGATCTAACATTTCTTGTAGTAATGGCTTCTCATTCTCTTCCTCTGTTGGCTAACATGCCTGGGAATGTTGAGCACTAAGTTGAGTTGCTTTCCATTTTCATCCCATTTTTTCTTAACCATCATTTTGTGTTTTTGTTTTTTTCTGTTTAGCCTTAAAGAAGAATAATATCACTAAATTTCCAAATGTTCACTCGAGGGTAAGGATTTCTTCTAGCACACCGGTGGTGGAGGATACACAGAGCTGGCAAGCATCACTTTTTACTTAGCTTCCTCCTCTCTCTGTATGCAGATCAATGGTTTTCAATCTATGGCTGAGGGTAATACTGGTGAGAATCTGACCAGGGAGTTTTTGTACCTCACATTCCAATGATGCAGGGATTGAGCCTCTCTGTTGGACTCTTTCTCGGCCTGCTTTTAAGTTCTAAGTGTGATGGCTTGGGCAAGGGTATTTGCTGATGATTGTATTTGCTTTGAGTGTTGGGCTGTCCTTCCCTTACCCCTGTCTTGGCCTTTGAGTTACTCAGTTAAACCCATTTTGATCTGAAGCGACTGAAAGCAGGTCCTGGCCAGGTAACATTACAGCCTTTGAAGGATTAAGATCTTTAGAACTAATTGCTCAGAGGATGAAGAACCACAAAGCTGCATATGAGGCAAAAGTGTAATTCTGGCCTTTCATTACCAGTGTGGGCTAGGAAGCAGAGGCTTGAGAGGATTGGGGTATGCAAAACTATTTTTTCCTTAAATTTAAGAGTAGAGGCTGGGCATAGTGGCTCACACCTGTAATCTGTAATCCCAGCACTCTGGGAGGCCGAGGTGGGCAAATCTGTTGAGTTCAAGATCACC
The DNA here is from genome assembly GCF_000001405.40 of Homo sapiens. Classification (NCBI taxonomy): domain Eukaryota; kingdom Metazoa; phylum Chordata; class Mammalia; order Primates; family Hominidae; genus Homo; species Homo sapiens. Next base: position 152,646,127 of record NC_000002.12, read on the forward strand.
CTGGGCAATGAAGCAAAATCCCCATCTCTACAAAAAAAAAAAAACAAACAAACAAAGTTAGCCAGGCATGGTGGCAAATGCCTGTAGCCCAGCTACCTGGGACGCTGAGATGTGTGGATCCCTTGAGCCCAGGAGGTGGATGCTGCAGTGAGCAGAGATCACCACTACACTCGAGCCTCAGTGACAGAGACTGTCCTCCCCTCACAACCCCCGCCCACCCCCCCAGAAAAGAGTAGGGCAGGGTCACACAAATTCCAATGAGTCAAGGAGCCAGGAAGGTAACAGGCCTGGTAGGAACTGTGCTGAACCTAGAGCACAGATCTTAGCTCCAACTTCTTTTTGCTGTGTAGGAACTGGGGCCCGGTTTTGCCAGATCTTCCAGTTTTTCAAAAGAAGCCAGAAACCCTGGTCTTTATGTTAATTACCAATTTAAACACCAGGAAACTGTACATGTGCGGGGGGTGGGGGGGCACAGTGGAGCAAACATTCTGTGGGTCAAATGTGGTCCATCAGCTGCATTTTCAACTTGTTGAGTAGATAAAGGGATACAAAAGATTCAATTTGGTTTAATTCTGTTATTTGTTTGTATTTCCCTTTCTAAAGATAGCATGTATTCTAGCAGAAGTCAACAATACTAAGTTAATGAAAGGGAAGTAAATACTAATTAAACAGGAAAAGTATAAAGCCTGCTTTACTTTTTTCACTATGCCCTGACTTCATCAAAGGGAGGCTGCATAGCCTAGCCTGCTGGCTAGCTACCTGACTTACTCAAGAAAGCATGCCTTCATACTGAGTTCTTGTATAAAATTCCTCTGCTCCTCCCACTTCATCCTGACAGAGCAATGCCTATTTGGACTGGTATGCAGTGATTGACTCATTCATTTAACAAGGATTTTCTTATGCAGGAGGGCCCACACAACTACTTCTTGCTGACGTAACATAAAAAATATTGGGTGGTAGAGCTCGGTAGTCCCCACTTCTCAGGAGGCTGAGGTGGGAGAATCGCTTGAGACTGGTTCAAGTCTGGCCTGGACAACATAACAAGACCCCATTTCTTAAAAAAAATAGGTGGCAGAAAAGGATGCCAGGGAATAGATTATTATTTTGGTTTAGATTTAATGGTTAATTGAACATCATTTTGTTTAAAATTTACAAAATAATAAACTCAGCTAGCTTAATGGAATGAAAATAATAGAGCCCTTATCTGCAAACTGAAGGTCTTTAGGTTCTTGTTAAAACTGCGAGGAAAAGATGGGACAGGACAGTCTGCTTTATTAATTTTGCAGTTTAAAATTTATTGCAGTTACTATTTATTCATTCAGGCTTCCAGAATAAAAACAAAACAAAAAAATTAAGCTACAGCTGCTTCTAATTTAAGAAACATTTCAAAATAAGACTTCAGCTAGACTCTGGCCAGTGACAGAAATAATCTATGTATTTTTCTCTCAAAGTCCTAGAATCCTACCAGTATTACATCCTGTTTTGTTTGATTGTAAATATTGAAGGCAAATGTTTTATGTCTTTGATTCAATGCTCAGTGAGTTTGAAGGGCCCATTAGCTGACTTTTCTACACAAGCTGCTTTGATTGGCTGCCAGCTGGCCTTTGTCCTGCTTAGACACATGCTATTAAAGGTTGCTATTCTCTCACTGGCACTCTCCCCTTTACAGATCTTAGAAACCAACCATACAGACGAGCCGATGCGGTGAGGAGAAGCGTCAGGCGGCGCTTTGATGATCAGAACTTGCGTTCTGTTAATGGTGCCGAAATAACAATGTGAACCTGAGACTGGCCTGCATGAATACAGGGTGTGCGTGAATGAAACTGCCCACATGAACTTTATGTGCTACGATTTAACTGCAGCCTTGAACACACACAAAAATATTCTTAAGGGCTCAGATTTAGCAAACACGGAAGAATTTTAAAATGAGCTCTCCTTTCAACCCTTGTTAACAAGTGCCTAAAAATGGAAGTACCTGTTCAGATTAATCAAAGCAATAGGATTTGATTTGATTAGGTATCTTTTTACACCAGTATGTTATTTTTAACCAAAATGTAAAGTTCTTATTAAACTCATTACCTGCCATTGTGATTGTCCCATCATGGCCCACCTGGTTTCCTGATGTTGTAAATAACATCAATGCATCTGCTGTGGGTCCTTTGCTGAGATGTCTTCGAAGGAATTTTGTTTTAGCCATATCCATCAACTTTGTATTTTACTTGCAATTTGGAAGAAGGAAAGTCACATGATGAAACTCCTTTTGTCTATAACCAGGCCCTGGCAAAGTGCAAACAGGATGCAACTGCAGTGGCACAAAGGTCACTCAATCCTTTGTTTCCAGTTTCACATTCTACTACTTCTGCGCTAGAGAACGATGCTCTGTGAGAGGCATTCACTAGTATGAATGTGGGGATATAGTGTATAAGACTTATTTGCAGTACTGTGTTCTTCAGCTAGAGGCAGCTTTTTAAATAATGCAAGTGTATTTATTAGCATTAAAATTAACATCTCAGTAATCAGCATTAGCATTTCTGAGGACCATTATTAATTCTGAGAACAGAAATTGGTGCCTTGCAAGGAAGTTTACTAGCTCTATCAACAAGCATTCAAGGTTACATCTGCTAGCAGAGTAGTGTTAGGAACCTGGCCTTACTCTCCTCTGACAATCGCAATTTTTTCTTATTTTTTATAAATTCAAGAAGATACACTTGGCATCGTGTATCGAGGCTAAGTTTTTCATGCATTTCCCAGACTACTTATGGAGAATTGCAGTTTAAGTTGCTGAAAAGTATTAACATGGTATTAAGCTTAAATAATACGTAATGGGACTAGATGGCCCACTAAGCCACTGTTATTTTCCTTCCTCTCTGGCAGGGCACTTGATCCATTCCAAAGTCAAAAACTGGACTGAAGCTAAATTTGTACTTTTCATAATATACATTCTGCTTCTGGCTTATCTTCTTGGTACATCAATATATTAATTGTAAAGTTTATTGTATAGTATTTAACCGCTGAAGTTCCTATTTTATGTTGTGCTTATGTGAACCCCTTGGTGAAGGTCCCTTTTCCTTGGATGTGTAGTTATATGATCTTTTTAAATGTACAGATATTTTGCTATAAAATCGGTGCAGTTTTTTATGGTTTTTACACTTCTCTTTAATTCCCACCTAAGCCTCTGGGTAATATTGTAAATATTGTTTTAAAATGCATCAGCCTATGCTATACAATCTGAATGTTATTTTAACTTATAGTTTTTTTTAATATATATATTTAACTATAAGGACAGTTTAGGGAACAAGTTACCTACCACATTTCACTTTAGTGTACCTATTTACAGAAAGATTAAACTGCCACCTGCGGGCACATTCCCATAAATGTGTACTTTACTTTAAAAAGAACATGCCACGATTTTGTCTTTCTGTGGACTCAACATTCACTTCGATTAAAAATAGCAATTTGACCAAGTTGGACTTCCACTACAAAGCAGCTGTTTTCCAAAGTTCAATGCTGACATATATGTATATTAAAATAATTGCCTATTTATTAATCTACAAATAGACAACGTTGGCATGTTCTTTTCTGTTTGTCTATTAATGGGCCTGCTTCTTAGCAATATTAGAATGTTTTATAAAAGCAATTCATGTTACTTTTCTGGTCTTTTCATGGCATATGAGCAAATAATAAACTATTTACACTACTATTCTGTAATATGTTGTAATCTTTCAATGGTACAATTTAGGGGGTTTTAGCAATATTATGTAGACTTACCTTCTAGAAACAAATATATCTTGCTATTTGAACTCAGAATCCAAATATACTTGGTAAACGTCAGGAAGGATTCCTCCCTATGTGAACTCTTGACCGCTTGCTATATAAAACATAGACAATGGATCTTGGAAGTGAGACTACATCTCCAAAATTGCATTTATAAACATACACCTTCTAGGTAAACAGCACCTTTGTTTGGTGAAATGCCACAACGCCCCCAGCAGCCCCACCAAATGTTACAATTAGGATGTTGTACAAATAAAGATAATAGGCTATATATTAACTGCATAGTTAACCCTGCACCCAATAACCATACCAGTTGGCAAGGCAAACAAGCAGTTTGGCCCCCATTGCACAAACAGTTGTAATAAAACTCCCAGTCATCAAAAGTTTATGTGTAACATTTCATATGTTCTTTTTATGGAAACAAGAAAAATTTTAAATTTTAGAATACCTTTCAAGTGGCTTAAATTTAGAGGCATATATATTATAGTCATTTAAGGAATTATAATTTATATAATTATTGTCACAACTACCACAGCGTACTTTGCATTTGTCACACACAACTGCTTACAGATTAAAGGCAATAATCTTTATTCCTCACAAGAAGCCTGTGAGGTATTTAACACTGTTGTGCACATTGGGAAACTGACTCAGCAAACTGACTTGCCCAGGGTGCAATCTAATAAATGCCTATAATAAAGCCTTAGGTCTTTTGTTCGCAATTCAGTGCACTTTCCACTAAACCAGTTATACAATGTGTTAGAAGCTTTATTTTATGAGAGAAAAAGTCTTGCGATCAGTAAGGATCTCTACTTTTGTTTTACCATCAGACTGGTGCCTAATGGTAAAAGAAAAATCTTTTAATATTCCACAAATTCAGAATGTTTTCAAACTCAACTACAGCAGTTAAGTTCAAATGAGGCAGATAGAGTAACATTCATCTTTCTTTTAAAAGGTATTTACCAATGACTTTGAATTAAATACTCACGTTCCCCACTCCCCATCATCTAACACTGAAATTCACTGCAGTGCCCAGTGGCCATCCTGACTCAACTCTGCTCTCAATAGAATAGGGCTTGATACCCATCACTGACTCTGCTTTGGTTCAACATACTGGAATCTTCTCTGTAGAATAAGGTGATTTTACACTGGAAAATAAATAGATGATACATTTCTTATACTCGCTCCATAATCCACATTTTGTTTGTTAGACAAGGTCTGGCTCTATCACCTAGGATGGAATGCAGTGGTACAATCTCGGCTCAGGGCAACCTCTGCCTCTTGGGCTCAAGCCATCCTCCCACTTCAGCCTCCCGAGTAGCTGGGACTGTAGATACGCACAACCACACCTGGCTAATTTTTCTAGAAATAGGGTTTTGCCGTGTTGCCCAGGCTGGTCTCAAACTCCTGAGCTCAAGTGATCTGCCTGCCTCATCCTCCCCAAGTGTTGGGATTACAGGCACAAACCATTGTGCCCAGCCACACATACCTATTTAATGTTTGATAACTCTTCTTAACCCTAATATATTTCCTAATTTTTATCAGAAATGTCTCCAAAGATGAATTTATCAGATTTCATCAAAAGGATTTGTTTTCCATTTCTTTTTAAACTAACAGCCCATCTATGCCCAAGAAAAATCTGAAGAAACAAACATGTACGTGAAATCAGTGATGGGTTTTTTTTTTTTTTTTAAGTCTTTTTATCAAGAAAAAGAGGAATTACACTGAGAAAACATAACGTGGGCCTCCAGCAACTCTCACAGCATAGAGCTTGCTGCCTGAGTGGTGCTTAAAGGAAAAAACTGACACAAATCCAATTTAGTAAAAGATACCATTTTTTCTAATAAATTATATTTATTTACAAAAGGTCTAATTTTATATAACTATGAGGTTCTTTTACATCAGAATAATATATAAACAGAGGTGAAAATCTGGTAATTACAAACACAGAAAATAGAAACCTTGTTCCCTTATTTATTACTCACCTTTCAGAACAAGTCCTTGGCTCAGTTGTAGAGGTGGGGAAGACCAACACCTACCGAAGTTTGCAGGCAGGAGCCCCCAAAAATGTTTATAAATAACACATTTAGATACCCTAAGGAACAGCAGTGAAGAATAGCATCAAGGAATGGCTTAGTTTGAATCTGATCTAATTCACCAGCCACTCACTGTTTCATTGTCCACGACTAGGGGCAGGGAGGATTAGCCAGTATGAATGTCAACTTTACAAGTAGGGTAATTACCATCAAATTAACAATTACCAATCACTAGCACTGAGATGGCTTTGAACTAGATCCTACTGAGAATCACAAAAGCAGTTTTGATAGTCTTAAGCTATTATAGCTAAGTGTCTTAAAATGGAGGGTTAGGGAGAATGTGTGGGTAATTAGAGCAAAATCATCTCTCACTTTCCACCTCACCTTTAAGACAGCTCCAAAAAACTGAGTGCCTGACATGTCACCATATTTCAGCCCTATTCAAAAATAGCCCAAAATGATGAGTTTTCAACTTTAAATTGTATGTTCTCACAAGTTTTGGACATGTCTGAAGTAAAAGCTAAGGTACAGTCACTGGACCTTATTTTGGGTGCACTTCAATTATGACTGTGACTTTAGTGGTGGGTTAGTATGGTTTATTGCAATGATGCTTTTTTAAGCCCTTTAATACAGATGATGGGTACCATGGATGCCAGATGAATACATATTTCAACTAGTATTTTACATTCATTCCAAAAGTGCCTATTATATGCCAGGCACTGTCCTATTCCACAAGGATATATAACAGTAAATGAACCAGATAAATCCCTGCCACCGAGGAACTTACATGACCACCAGTTAAAATCAAAACAATTGGAAGAGTAATGTAAGAATAAGGATGGTAAGAATCATCAGACTGGTATACGCCATTACCAGAAGCACAGAATGAGATTATAAGCCTGTTAGAACACAGTTCCATGAAAGTAACGACATTATTTTGCTTTCATGTAAAATGAGTGTAATTTTATATAGAGAATGTAGGATGGTTGAATTAACATCTACCTAACACTGAGAGAAATATATACCCAAGGGAAAATAAAAAGTCTCAGATTTAAGATAGAAGGAATTAATGTACTTTGCTTCATTTTGTTTAGAAAGTTTTAAAAGCTGAAGTTTTTTAGTTTGATAATTTATATTTAAATTACATAATATACTTAAATATCCTTTTTTAAAAAAGCATTCATCACTCCTCCCTGGGTACTATGTGATTACAAATAGTTTTCTCTTACATAGCATCTAAGCTTAAAAAAAAAAATCTTCATATAAAGGGAGTTACTCCTTTCTGGATGCAAAAATACGAGTGGCTGCATAGCCAGCACTCAGCTGACTCTAAGACCAGAAGAAAACCGGGAACATTTAGACAAATGTTTTTTAAAGCATATAACCAAATTATATAATTGAATGAAAACTGAATTACACAGTTTGAAAACTTTCCAGAAAAATGCACACAGGTTTTTTTCTAGGAGTTTTTACAGTTTCTTCATCCTACCATTAACTGATTCCCTTACTTTAGGACAATCCTTTTTCATGTTATAGTTGTACGAAGTGAGGCCCATAAGCAAAAGTCAAAAGATGACAAAGCTGTGACAAATCATTATCAAATTTACTGGGAGGCATAAAATGCACTTTTGAAGTTGGAAAACATCAATAACTTATATGCTGAAGCTACTCTGGCTAATGATAACAAAATGCCAGCTACTATGCTGAAAAAAATGTGGTGGGACCACTGCTTTTATTTAAAAGCATTACATTATTTAAATTCACTTAGGAAGAGTGTATACTTCATACTTGATTAGCTTAATTATCTAACTTTTCATACAAATTCAATTTTCGCACAAAGAAATATGAACTGGGAGAAAAAAATATTTAAAGTCCTGATTTTGAATAACTATGATATTAAATGTATAAGTGAATTTGATCTAATAGTTCATTAGTATTAATGACACTGGGGGAAGACAAACCCTCAACATTTTCCTAAGACTCCAAGACTTTAATGAAAAGTATAAATTCCCCTTATCTGAAAATAAACACGCTTTCCTGTTTTACCATATTTAACTCTAATAGAACCAATATTCCAAGACGTTTCAGTTTTTTACCAAATTGAAGATTTAAAAACATAACCTATTAGTTTAAAAATATTCACAGAGAACAAAATCTTATCACCTGTGCCTTCAGACTGTCAAGTATCTTTCTAGCAACTAAATCCCATTTGATGGGATCCTGAAAGGTAGACAAAGGATCACAGTCACTTAAGTTACATCTTTTATGGCAAGGATGTTGCATTTTGAATTGCAATTGGCTTACTACTATGGTTGTTTTTAAGTCAAATAATTTTCATGGGTGAACTACAGGGAAACTTTATACTGTGTTGTAGGGATTTGCGGTTATAGTAAGATTATCTCTGTAAGAAATACAGGAATCTATTTTGAGGACATGCTAAAACACATCAATAGCTTTTTATTTAAATAGAAAAATCAAAACTTTAAAGTTATACTTTAGAAATAATTCATGGAAGTAATTAATGTTTTCTACAGATTCTAAGATTCTTTTGTGAAACATCAGTAGTATATATTTGCCAGTATCAAATGCATACTTTAAAGATTTGCCACTGACTTCCATGTCAAGTGATTGACATGATTAGCAATATTAACTCACTACAATGGGACCTCTGAAAATTGAGTCTAGACAACTCCCTGTTGCCAAAGTTATTATGTGTTTTGGCTCTAATATACAATAGGAGACTAATCTCAAGCAATTTGATTACTTCACATTTTCTCCAAGATGAGTCTTCCTACAAGCCTGGTCATATTTCACAGCAGAAAAATGACTTGGGAGACAAAATGAGAAACAATCCCCTCACCCACCCCTTCAGCCTTTAAAGAGTAGACATTATATTTAATTCAAACGGGGCAAAATGGGAAAGAGACATTCTGGTCAGGCCCACTTTCAAAACTCACTAGGATGGGTAAGAAAAAAACTTTTTGTTCTTCAAAATCCCAACTTTGAAATAGGATCTCTTCAAGTGTACACATTAAAAGAATAACACAGATAATACCGAAGAATAGGTGCTAAAATTTACTTATTTACTTAAAAAATCTCCTGCACTGAAGGAAAATAGTATAAATTACATTACCAACCTTCAAAAGTTAGCATGTAAAGAGTATTCTGTCTTCAAACCACAGCCTCTCTAAAATAGTCTGTAAAAAATTCATAGGTGAAAAACAAATCTAGGGACCTCAAATGCACTGATTTATAATATTCTTAAATATTAAAAAAGGAAAGTAAACTAGCGGTGTGGGTAAGATGAAGCAAAATTTCAGGGATTTAGTACCTTTAAAGTGATCATACAATTTCTTTAGAGCTGAGCAGTTTAAGTAGAAATAAATACTAGTACACACTAGAAGAGAAGGTTTAATAATTGATAAAAATGTACAAAAATATTCAAATCAGAAATGCTTTAGAATGTGTACCACGAAGTCAATACTTCTCAGTGAGTAGGGAAGGCAAAATACTTCCTCAATAGCAGGGAAAAAAAAGCAAGAGAAAGACTGAATTTAGAAAAAAAAGACAACTGTTAAAGAAAATGTTTAAGTCAACTTTTTTTTTTTTTTTAGACAAGGATATTGCAACTATCACTTAAAGTCTGGTGGCACATTCTTTAGTAGGTCCTTAAGGCAATATATTTAAATTAATTTACAATTTGATTTGATGTTAAAGTTTTTTTAAACATCACCTCAAAATAGATGCTCAAAATAATGCCCTCACAATAGCCTTTGTAAAATGTATTCAGATGTTTGATAAAAAATAATGGTGGCTTTATATTACAGTAGTGCTCATTAGCACCACTATAATTAAGGGTCTACCAAGTTTCCAGCAAAACCACCTGTTTCTTAGGAGTTTCACCATAAAAGATCACATTGGCTTTAACCAGTTGGGTAGCGCACAAAAAAGCAATTTTTATCAGTTGCTGGTGCTTTTTTTGTACTACTATATTATCAAAAAATTTTTCATTAGATCTTCAAAATCCAGCTTCTATAAAGTAAATCAAATCACCTCATGACTTAGATTTTAGAACAAAGTAGAGACATCTGCAGTTATCAGTAAATTGCCACCTTTAATCCATCCTACAGTGCCCTGTGAAAGGGTCACAGAAAGACAGTTATGACTGTATGAAAATATGATTCTTGATACAGAATCAAAAGTTACTTTCAATTTCCTTTGCTTTTATAAAGTCCACGATAACAATACTTAAATGCACTTTTTTTTTCCTGTGATATAATTAAAACCCAGTGTTATTTCAGTTGAACTTAAAATAGAGTCCCTGGTCTGAATCAGACTTTAAATCATACTGTAAACATATATTTGGTATAATTTATTGATCATCATCCAGTTGCTCCAAAAGGGTTCTTCTGCGCTTTTCCAATTCCCCTTCACTCAGTTCGCTGCCAGAAGTATCCCAATTACCCTGAAAAGACATTGATTACAATTATAGTTGACATCAGTACTCAGAGGTTTACGGGCTGAGCCTTTGAAAAAAGAATCCAATATCTATATAAACTCTCTTCCAAAGAAACACATTTCACAGGGTTTAAAGACTGTGTGAATATGAAGCAATATTTCCATTTAATGGAAGCCAGGTATTCATTTCCTAGATAATACATTCCTTGCTAATTTTTTTGTTGAGACAGAGTCTTGTTCTTGTCACCCAGGCTGGAGTGCAGTGGCACGATCTCGGCTCTCTGCAACCTCTGCCTCCTGGGTTCAAGCAATTCTCCTGCCTCAGCCTCCTGAGTAGCTGGGATTACAGGTGCCTGCCACCAAGCCCGGCTCATTTTTGTATTTTTAGTAGAGATGGGGTTTTGCCATGTTGGCCAGGCTGGTCTCGACTCCTGACCTCGTGATCTGCCCACCTCGGCCTCCCAAAGGGCTAGGATCACAGGTGTGAGCCACTGCACCTGGCCTATTCCTTGCTAATTTTGTAGCTTCCCCCTGGTTCCACAAGTATTATCACAGAAACAGAAGTAGTATGCTTTAAGCATATGGATTCCTGTGCCAAATAAATACACAAGACTAATGAGCAGGACAAGATTTAGGCTGAACAAACAAAAATAATACTGCACCGTAAGACACAACCTTTGAAAAGTGGATAGTTCCCATATCGTCCTCTTTCATTCACTCCAGGGATTTCATTTAACCCACCATAAGCTGCTAGAAAGTACAAAGGAAACATTCACTCTTCACTTACGATGTGACTCAGACTCACCTGTTTCAGCTCTAAAAAAAAACCCACCCTATACCAACGAATCAGAATATCCAGAGATCCCTAATAGGGTTTTACCTACATAGTTTATGCTCTCCAGTGATGATTCATAGGCATTTACCCTTGCTAAACCCACAGCATTTGCATTATTAGGCTCTGTCATTCATATATACATATATTTGAAAAGGACTAATTATGTAATCTGTTATTGAAATACTAACTTTGGCTTATATTCTCCTCTCCTATTTATTTGCCCTTCCTCCACCCCAAATCAGTATTTCTAAAAGTTACTGGAATTGCTACCTTTTGAAACAAAGGATTTAATAACAGTGACAACTGTAGACATCTGTAGAATCCCAGATTTAGTCTCTCACTTAAAAAAAAAATTTGAAAATTAGGTAAAAAATGTCCAGTGGCACTTCTTAGTGACCATATCCTTTCTTAGTGAGTTAATAAGGCTATAGTTATGAAATGCTATATTTAAAAAATATCAAATTTAGGAGAATAAAATCTAGGATCATGCATGACCAAAAACTATGATATTGTGTGAAATGTACTTAACTGAATTTTCACTGTTTTCTTCAATGGTAGCACACCTGGAAAAAAGCCTATTCTTTCAACACCATCATGGTTTAACCACAGAATACATTTTTGCATTTTGAAAATACAGGCATGAAACAATTCTAAATACTTACAGAATCCTTTCCAGTCTTTTTCTTAGGCGATTTGTGTTTTGATTCTGATCTTTGTCTAGTTCTGTCTTTTTCACTTTCCCGATCTTTTTCTTTTTTATCCTTCTCTCGCTCAGCATCGGATTCTGGAGAGTCCTGTATGAATAGAAAATAACAGGTTAGCATTTTGATGAAGATACCATTGTTATATAGGTAATATTTAAGAACATCTATGTGTAACAGGTTATGTGCTCTTAGAGAGATGAAATAAAATGTGAATTGTTAACCTCAAGGATTTAGTAAAATTTACCCAAGATTCATGGGGACAGCTTTCCCTTGGGAAGGATAATATTCTGAAGGATAAAATACCACTCATGAGACTTACTACCACATAATAGATGTGTAGTATCTATTATGTAAATACAGACAGATACTACATTTCTCACCAACTCAATATAATATTGGTTTATATATGTACATAGTATACTGCTGTTAGCTTTAACACATAAGGCAGACAGCTGTATTAATAAAATTATTTTCTTGAAATTGCTGAGTAGGAATTATTTAAAATTTAACGTTAGTGCTTAAATGGTTATTCATTAGATATGCACAAATTCAAATAAAAAGAATGTAATTCAACAGGTCTGTGGTGATACCCAGGCCTTCAGATTTTCAAAAAGTTCCTTAGGTGGATCTTAATGTACACCTAAGAATAAGAACTGCAAGAGTAGAGTGGTTGTTTTAACATTTAAACTTGTGGTTCTCAACAACAGCTGCAATCTACACATACACACAAACATACATACATACACAGAGACACATGCACACACACGAGTCTCTTTCTAGAATATTAATTTTAAAGACCAGGATGGGGATCCTAACACTGGTGTGTGTATTTTTTCAAAGCTCAACAATTGATTTTAATGGAAGATTAAGGTGAAGAGCAACAACAAAACTCTAAGTTTATGTGCCCACCTGAACTGTCCTGGGCTGCAGAGAACTAGATAGAAAAAGGTTCTATGATCTCTGAGGAAGTTAAGGGCAAAAGCCTAGGTGAAACGTAAAAATTAGAAGCTTGCTTACAGATTTATGTCTCCTCTTCTTACTTTTCTTCTTATGCTTTTTTGACTTTTTATAACTTCTCTCTGAGTAGCACAAAAGGATAAAAAGTGTCAGACTTTGAGTATATCAGTGTCAATGATTTAATCAAATAAATAGAAATGCTCACCAGACTCTGCACTAGAAGAATGTTCTGAAGCAGAACGAGACTCTGATCGCTGTCTTTTTTTCTTTGAATGGCTATCATCATCATCTGAATCTGACCCCTAAAAAACACAAATAATTTCATTCATAATAATGCTAACACTTTAATACACTCATGACACCATATAATAAATTCCCTTACCGATCGAGAGCGGGAACGTTTCCTATGATGTTTTTTAGATTTCTTAGAATGTTTCTTGTTCTTTGAATGATGATGCTGACATTCATGCTACGGGGACAAAAAAAAAATTTCAAGAATTTACACTTACTGTAGACAGACTGTAAAGAATCTTTAAAAAGCTACGGAAGTAAGTTCTTAGAGTAAAACTCTACAATATATAGAAATGTAATCCCTTGAAACTGTGAAGAATTGTCAATTTTTTTTTCTTTTCCTTCTTGCCCATCCTATACCCACTCATTTAGACATCTAAACAAAACAATGTTAAAAACTGTTAGTAGAAAAAGTAGGGCTTTTTTTGTTTTTGTTTTTTTTTGAGACGAAGTCTCGCTCTGTCACCCTGGTTGGAGTGCAGTGGTGCGATTTTGGCTCAATGCAACCTCCGCTTCCCAGGTTCAAGCAATTCTCCTGCCTCAGCCTCCCAAGTAGCTGGGATTACAGGTGCACACCACCACGCCCAGCTAATTTTTGCATTTTTGGTAGAGGCAGGGTTTCACCGTGTTGGCCAGCCTGGTCTCAAACTCCTGACCTCAGGTGATCCACCCGCCTTGGCCTCTCAAAGTGCTGGGATTACAGCCATGAGCCACTGCACCCAGCTGAAAAAGTTTTTGTTTGTTTGTTTTTTTGAGATGGAGTCTCACTCTGTCACCCAGGCTGGAGTGCAGTGGCGTGATCTAAGCTCACTGCAAGCTCCGCCTCCCGGGTTCACGCCATTCTCCTGCCTCAGCCTCCCGAGTAGCTGGGACTACAGGCGCCTGCCACCATGCCCGGCTAATTTTTTGTATTTTTAGTAGAGATGGGGTTTCACCATGTTAGCCAGGATGGTCTCGATCTCCTGACCTTGTGATCCGCCCACCTCGGCCTCCCAAATGCTGGGATTACAGGCGTGAGCCACTGTGCCCAGCCTGAAAAAGTATTTTTTAAGGAAGAGAATGGTGTGATTTAGAAGAAAAGTGTAATATGCAGTGACATCTGCTTTTAATGACAGTCAAATACAATGACACTCAGACATGGTTTTTGTAATCAATCTGGCTTTGGTCAGCAAGTTAGGCCAAGCACTAAGATAAAGAACAACCTGAGAGCCATCCTTGAATTGAGATATATAAGGCTGATGTCAGAATAAATGCAAAATCTGCTACCCCTCTTTCATTTCCCCCAAGGAGCCATTTCCTTCCTCCTCAAACAAGACATTGTTAGACATCCATATGCTGTCTTTGTGGATTTCTACTTATTAAAACAATTACTAGGTTAGCAGTGATGGGGGGTGCTACAGTACAAGCTCCTTGCCCCTAAACATTTCTATGGCTTTGAGAATAAATTCTACCTCAGTTACAGAAGTGGAAATGGAAAATCTGGATCTCAGAATGGACTATTCTCCTTTTGATCTCACTGAATGCTAACCTACCTTTCTTTAATACCTCAAGCCTCAGATTATTAAGGCCCCAAAATCTGAATGTGTTCAGCCCTTCCCTATGGTACCATTTTTACTCCATTTACCACCTAACTACTTTACCCCCAGTATAGATCATGAAAGAATCTGTAGACTCTTGAACTGGGGGAAAATAGGTTAGTCACTATCTAGAGCAGAGCTTCTCAAAATTAAATGTATATTTTAATGCTTGGGAATCTGGTTAAAATGAAGTCAGACGCAGGATTTCTGCCCCATGGGGCCTAAGGTTCTGCATTCCTAAGAAGCTCCTAGGTAATGCAGATGCTTCTGGTATGCACTACATTTGGCACAGAAAAGATCTAGAGGCCCAGCATGGTTGCTCACACCTATAATCACAGTACTTCAGGAGGCCAAGGCAGGAGACTTGCTTGAGGTCAGCTTGCCCAACACAGCAAGATCCCATCTTTATAAAAACAAAAACCAAAAAAGCCCCACAAAAAGCCAAGTGTGATGGCACGTGCCTGCAGTTCCAGCTACTTAGGAGGATTGTTTGAATCCAACAGTTCAAGGTTGCAGTGACCCATAACTGCACCGCTGCACTCTGGCCTAGGAGTGGATGGATGACAGAGACCCCGCTTTAAAAAAAAAAAAAAAAAGGCCAACAGGACCACATCTAGAGGCAGCTGTGAAACAATACAGGGCCTTCGTGAGTACATGGTACAGAAAAAACTGTGGTTAACATTATATTAATCAAGAACAATAAATCAAGAAATAGGAAATAGTCAATTTAGTGACCTATGCCCATTTACAATGCAACACTGTAATATTAAGCACCTACTAGTTTTTAGCTTATAAAGTATTAGCTACTCTAAAACTGACAGCATGGCATACTTGTTAAAAGCACTGACCAAGGTCAACATGCCCGGCTTCCAACCCTGTAAGTCACTTTACTTCTCTCTGCCTTAGTTTGTTCACCTATTAACTTCACAGGCTTATTGAAAGGATTCAGTTCATAAATATAATATACATAAAGCAATTAGAACACTGGCCCACATAGGCATCGAATACTATTATTCAATAATTATTGGTCAATTCAGCATACTTACAAGGGCCTAACTGAAACTGTCATCAAAATACTTTTTTTTTTTTTTTTTTTTTGGGGAAGGAGTCCCGCTCTGTTGCCCAGGCTGGAGTGCAGTGGCATGATCTTGGCTCACTGCAACCTCCGCCTCCTGGGTTCAAGCAATTCTCTTGCCTCAGCCTCCTGAGTGGCTGGGATTACAGGTGCCCGCCACCACTCCCTGATAATTTTTTTGTATTTTTAGTAGAGACAGGATTTCGCCATGTTGGCCAGGCTGGTTTCAAACTCCTGACCTCAGGTGATCAGCACACACCTTGGCCTCCCAAAGTGCTTGTTTTACAGGCGTGAGCCACCGTGCCCAGTGAACCTTACCTATTAAAGTGACCTGAGATGTTATTGTTTCATTGCTTATTTTAACAAAAACTTACCATTTATTCCATTACTTTCCAGAAACTTTCTTTTCTACACAGCTAATGTGGTATAATACCTCAAATGTGCCTAAAAGCTGTCTTCTATCTGCTTTACAAGAAAAATTTCAAGTTTTCTTTATTAGTCAATCAATCCATGTGGCTGCCAAACTGCTCAATTTCTAAAACTTTCTAAAAATACAAAACAGTCTTCACATACAAATCTTTATATTCCCATGGAAACTTAATAGTTTCTTTTACTTAAAAGCAGTTTTTATAGGAAAAAAACCATTCTCTAACCATCCAGGTAAGTACATTTGTATAAAAGCAGTGAATATTAAGCAACATACTTTCATCATTCTAAGTTCTTCAATTTGTTTATATTTTATATATTTTGTATATGAGAATTCTAAAATTACCTCAAGCACATGCATAAAATCTTTAAATATTCGTTTTCTTTCAGATTCTAGAGTTATGTCCTCAAATGCTGGCTCTTTTACAAATCTCTCACGGATCTGAAAAATTCAGATACAAAATAAATATATGAATACCAAGAAAAGTACAACGATACATCTAAAATAAATCATAACAGCAAGTGAAAACTGTGATGAATCAGTCCCCTTAAAGTCCATTATTTCCTCCCTTCAAAAGTCCAAACCATTCTTTACAAATATTCCTAAACAGAGTCAACAGCTGATTTAATGCTTTTATTATATTCTAAATATATTTAATATATTCTACAAATAAATTTAGCTTATTTTTGTGGCTATAAAATGAAAAATAAAAATATTTTAAATTTCTCAACTGTAAAGAAAAGAATTCCATTAGAAAAAAATAACAAGTATACATACATCTTCCCAGACAGCATCCAATTCTATCGGAGGAGCAGCTTGTTTTAACATACTCTTAAATGCAGATTCTTTTCGTTTCATCTTCCGAGCCTCTTCTTTTTCTCTTTCACGTTCACGGGCTTCTGCCTTTTCTAGTAACTATTAAGAAAATCATATTTAATCAGTTATAATAGTATCATAACTATTAGCTGAAATAATTTATTGTTAATTTAGGAATCACGCATTGTTTAAAACGAGCTTGTCCAACCTGTGGCCCAGGACCGCTTTGAATGTGGCCCAACACAAATTTGTAAACTTTCTTAAAACACTATAAGGATTTTTTGCAATTTTTTTTTTAAGCTCATCAGCTATCGTTAGTGTACTTTATGTGTGGCCCAAGGCCTGATTTATAATGGCCATTTTATGTATAATACCAGTTAATTTGAGCAAAGGAAGTTTAATATCAATCCATCATCTAAATAAAGTTTTTTGTTTTACCTTACCTGAAAGACTGGCTACCACTCTGTAAAATTCTATTCATATTCCCTTATTCCAACACTCTGCAACTTAGCTGCTTTTATCTGAATAAATTAAAAACTATACTACTAAACTAGTTACTTACAACAGAAAACATAACTTACACTATTGAAAGCCAATTTGATATTTCCAGCATCTAATGTAGTTGATCTTTTAGTTGAACTGATTATCGCCACAAAATCTTCAAAAGTAGTGTTTACTTCAACTACAAATCCTTTATCCTAAAAAAAAGAAATCTTAACATTAATAATGCATAAATCAAAGGAATACAGTACTAACTTTTAAGATATACTATTGGTTAAAAGGTAAGAATAAATATATTTACCTTTAGAATGTCTTTTATTATCTTCTTCTCGTCATGATAACGTGCTTTAAGATCCTCAACATAAAACTTGAAAAGATCAAGTGCAGTTGATCCTAATGAAAAAACTAAAGAAGTCAAAAGCTAGCTCTAACCAAAGAGCTGCAATTACTTTGTTGTTTAAAAAACAAAAATAAAGCACCCTTTCCCCCAACACAATCACCTTTGCATTTGGCCCATTTCAACTACTACCATAACGGTAAATTAGGAAAGAAAATAATCTTACCAGGCTGACCAAGCATATTAGTGAATCTAATATCAGAACTAATAGTTGGATACAATTCCATCCAAGATGACATAGAATGCAGTTGTCCATGTTCATGTAATTCATCTAAAAATATCTAGGGAGAAAAATTATATTTGGAAAGTCATCTCGAGTACATGAGAAATAAGCGTCTAACATGAAAACACACAAAAACTTTGACATAGTTAAAACTCTTCTACCAATGTTATCCCAAACCTGTTTGGGCACAAAGAATATTTGCTATTTGGGCAAAGTAACAACTGCCTCTAGGCAAAAAAATATTTTGTCCTTTAGAGAAAATAACTTTTGAAACTGCACATTATCTTCCTAAGGTTCTATTTCCTACCCTTTAAGATAGAACCTAATTTTTAGCTTTAAAAAAAAAAAGGTAAAAGTTAACTTAAATTACTGGATATCTACCTCAAATGATGAGGCTAAAGAATGTATATGCATGTTTCCTTAAATATATACTTTCTGTCTTTAAAAATAGTGCCTAATGTGTTCTAGGTATTTTTATTTACTTTTAAAAAACAAGGGGCCTTAAGAGGAGGATGTATAATTTTCCCAAAGTAGTTTGGAGACCTAGGATTCAAACCCATATCTAGTTTCAATTTCCACACTTCCTGCTTCCAACCCAATCCTCAGGGAGTTTAATCCTATACACCAGGGGATCCCAACCCCCAGCCACGGAACCGGAACCAAGCCACACAGCAAGAAGTGAGTGGTGGAACAAGCATTACCGCCCCAGCTCCACCTCCTGTCAGATCAGTGGCGGCATCAGATTCTCATAGGACTGCAAACCGTATTGTGAACTGAGCATGCCAGGAATCTAGGTTGTGTGGTCCTTATGAGAATCTAATGCCTGATGATACCAACTCCCCACCCCACCCCACCAAGAAAAACTGTCTTCCACTAAACCGGTCCCTGGTGCCAAAAAGGTTGGGGACCGCTGCTATACACAAATGTGCCTAAAAGAAACTGTAACCCTATATTCTGTTCCCACAATTCCTATACCTGCACTGTTCAATAAGGTAGCCACTGACCAAACGTAGCTTCTCGGTACATGAAATGTAGCTAGTCTGAGTTGTGATGTGCTGTTAAGTACAAAATACACAATGATCTTGAAGATTTAATACCACAAATATTAGCAATTTTTAAAAATATTGATGTGTTAAAATAATATCTGGTTATATTGGGTTAAATTACTAAAATAAATAGGAAATTAAAATCGCATTTGTGGCATTCACATTTTTATTGGATAGAGCTGTCCCAAAGTAACATCAGGCACTTACAACTGCACTCACTCCTCTTCAAACAAGACTAAATATGTCCATACTCCCTTACAACTCGGAAATTCTTTTCTCAAACCCTGCCTGTATCTACCCTTCTGTCAACTACCCTTACCCTTCAACATAAATGGAATTTTGTCTTAACCACTCTTGTTGTGCTCACCAGCTTCCTCACTTGCTCCCTGAGTATCTAAAATAGTTTGGAAACCATCTTTAGTGATGCTCTAGTACCTTAGAACTTACCTCACTCTATCATACCTGTTTTGCTAGTGTTTCTTACACTTCCAGACTGGTGAGATCTGTCTGATAAAGTCAAAGAACTGTGAGACTGAAATTATTTCAATAGTGGATCCCTAACCTGAAAGAATCACCTGAGGAATATTTTTTTAAAGCAATATGAATTAATATCCAGATATTTGGAATATTAGATGACTGATGTGAATTCAGGTTTGAAAACCACTCTGACAAAACTGTATGGTTCTTATTCTATTTTACTTGCCCCATTTTAGGGGTGAAAAAGCCTTGCCTTTTACATTATGGAAAGCAAGTTGCTTCAAAGATGGCTGAGCTTGATGTTTCTTCTTCCCGTGGCACTAATGACATCTTGGATGACGTAATTTTTTTTTCTTTCTTTCTCTTGGTTGAGGGCGGGGTATGTTTGAGCCCTGTACATTGCAGGATGTTTATCAGCATCTCTCGCCTCTACACACTAGATGCCAGTAGCATGTTCCCCACAAATAGTGACAATCACAAAATCTTTCTTGGTTGAGCACCACTGTCTTAGATCCAAATCGGTATTAATTTTTCTCCATCTTCATCCTTCTTTTTGTTCTCTTATATACTGTTCTCAATGTAACTGTATTCATATATATGCTTGAATTCCCAACTTTCCGAGATGTTGTTTAATGAGACTCACCCTTATTTTTCAATTCTTCCTTCATTCTCTCCCTCTTAACTGGTTTCCTCTTACCCAAGAAAAGCCTTTCTCTTAACTGCAAGCTTATTTGAATTTTACCTTATTGAATATCTTTCAACTATTTGGCAGACCTTTAACTTTCCCTACCATGCCAATGGTCACTAAACACCTTAAATGCCACTCTTAACACCTTAAATGCCACCCTTAACAGTATTCTTTCAGTCCTCATTCCATAAAAATTTCTTAACATGTTACTTTAGGTGGATTCCTTTACCTCAGGGGTTTCTCAAAGACTCATTTGAAGGACTGTTTAAAAAAATCATATTGTTAGGTCCCATTTCCAGAATCTGATTCTGTAAGTCTGACGTGGAGTTTGAGAATATGCATTTTCATAATTTCCCAGGTGATACTGATTCTGTGCATTTGGGGATCATGCTCTATCTTAAAATTCCAAACTCTTGGCTTCTGAGACACTATACATTCCTCTGGTTCTCCTTGAAAGCCTCAGATCAATCCTTTCCAGACAAAACTGACTTCAAATACCAGTTTTAAGACATAAGAAAAACAAGATCATAGTTTCCTTGTCACAGACATGATGAATTTTCTGATTAGCAAATGAACACTAAATAAAAAGCTAGTCATCATCATAATCATAACTACTGAGAAGCTCTCCATTAATGATCTTTTATTGTCTAATGCCAATCTTCTCTTTTAATTCATTTCACTAAAGTCCTAAATAAATCTTTTGAAATAGCACAACAGGAAAATTACCAGGCTGAATATCTGAAAGAATATTAATACAACATACTTAACACCAATTATATTAGTAGTAATCAGAAACTATGCCAGACACATAGCAATCTGATTCAAAGCCACATTTAAGCTTATTTAAGGAACCGTAACAGCCTTCACATCAAAATTTTGCCTCACAGTCTCCATCTTCAATATTGTTTACATTATAGTCTCGTATTTTCTATGACCCAGACCTTATTTTCACTGTATTATTATTTTTTCATATATGTCTCCTTATTTTAAACCACTGCAAAACCTTCATCAGAGACATTAAAGCTTAAGTTGTGGAAGAGTGTATAATAGCCCTCCTAAGAATCTGTCCTCCCCTTCTTTCTGGGCACATGGCTGCTTAGCTAAAAGCTAAGTTTTCTAGCCTCCTTTGTGTAGCTAGTTGTGGCCCTGTGACTAAATTCTCAGCAACTGAACCCAAATGAAGGAGGTGAGCAGAACTTCTACATCATTAGCTTTAAGAAGAACTGTTCTTTCTACTTTTTCCAAGTTAAAATGTGAAATGGGGGCAGCATACCCCTAACTCTGCAGAGAAGGTTAACATGCTAGCGCACTGGTTCTCAAACTATGGTCCAACAGTATCAATATCACCTGGAAATTTAGAAATGAAATTTTCAGACTCCACCCCAGACTTACTAATTCAAATTCTTCAGGTAAGGCTAAACAATTTGTGTTTTTAACCGTTGTAGAACATGATCAAGTCTAGAAAGTCACTAAGATAAAGGAACCTATCAAGAGTAGTAAATGTTAAGTTTTCATTGAATAAGGACTGAAATCTTTCTACTGGCTGTGACGTTTAACACAGTAACCTTTGGCATAGCGCGAATAATTTTTTTTTTTGGAGACAGGATCTCGCTCTTTTGCACAGTCTAGAGTGCAGTGGCACCATCGCAGCTCACTGCAGCCTTGACCTCCTGGGCTCAGGTTCTCCCACCTCAGCCTCCTGAGTAGCTGGGACTACAGGCATGCACCACCACACCCGGCTAATTATTATTATTATTATTTTGTATTTTTAGTAGGGACCGGGTTTCATCGTGTTACCCAGGCTGGTCTTGAACTTCTGGACTCAAGCAGTTGCCAGCCTCAGCCTCTCAAAGTGCTGGGATTATGGGCATGAGCCACCGTGCCCGGCCAGAAGAAATTTTTTAAAAATCCTCCACTTCATTCTGATACACTGAATTTTGAGAACCACTGCCTTAAGGGATGGCAATATGCCCTGCCCTAGACCAAAAAGACTGTTACTTCAAGAAAAAAACTTATTTAAGCCATTGTAACCTAGCATTTATCCTAATACAATGGTTAATGGAAGAGACCCTGTAATCAAAACTGCATGGATTCAAATTCTGGCTTCACTATTCAGCAGCTGTTGAACTTGGGCAAGTCACTTCACCTCTCCATTTCCTTAGTTATATAAACTTATATAACAAAAACAGTAAGTACCCTTATAAGGTAAGACTGTCATAAAAATTGAGATTACAAATGTAAATTGTATTGACAGTAAGCAATCAAAGAATATTAGCTATTATAATTATTGAAATAGGTGAGATATGAAATGCAAAAAATTCATTGCTCCATGATATTTTCTATCACTGAAAATAAAAATGATACTTGAAGATGAAAACGAACTACTACCTAAAAAACATGCAATCCCAGGTCCTTTTCTTAGTGTTTAAGAAATTATGGCCCATCCCCAAACTATACCTTAGCAGTCCCTTTGTCCTCCAGAGACTAAATATCATCTACTACTGACTCACCACACATATCTTGTTTCCAGTCATCTCTCCTGTTGTTTTTCCCAACCGAAACCTCATTTACCAATGTTCATCTGAAGAACTTAAAGAGTTAAATGTGTATGAGTCCTCACAAAGCCTAAGTCTATGATCTGGGAACAGTTGTCTCAAAACTCTTTGTATCACTGTCAAAGTTCAGTAAATATAATATAAAACTAAGTTAAAAAGAGAGCTTTTTCTTTTACCTGGAAAGATTCCCTATTTTTTCGCTGTCGTCTCCTTTCTCTCAGCAAACTCTTCTGTTTTTCTTCTTCTTCCTCCTTTTCTAAAGCCCGAATGTGTTCTTCAAAGCAAATTAATGCATCTTCTTTGTCCATATCTAAAGTATTTGCCAGTTAAAATTTAGAGTGTCAAATGTCAACAAGTAAAGTAGTTTACTTGCATTAGCTCCCCCAAAATTTCAAAATCACCTGTCAAAAATACTTGTAGTTAGGCTAGGGTGTGGTGGCTCATGCCTGTAATCTCAACACTTTGGAAGGCTGAGGTGGGAGGATTGCTTGAGCCCAGGAGTTCAAGACTAGCCTGGGCAACACAGCAAGACCCCGTCTCTAAACAAACAAACAAACAAACAAACTTGTATTTAAACTCAAATATGATTTGTGATCATCTGCATAGGAAAGTTTTAAGGAAAATTTCACAAAGAACTCAATAAAAGACATTCTGAAACATGTCATAGGATAAAACAAAGGACGTGCATATGGCAAAACTAATGAAAAGTGTTATGATAAAATCTGTTTGCAATATCATAATTATTCCAGGAGCTTTTCAAAGTATAGAACTGTACACCCTATAAAAAAATCTACTGAAGCATGATTTTTAGAGGGGTAGCTGATAAAGCTATAATTTAAAAAGCAATTGGTTAACTCAGAAAGAGTACTTAGGGAAGCCTAATGTTAAGATAATTCTAATACATTTTTTTCTTTTTACAAAATCTATAATGTTATTACCTCAAGAAAACAACCTGAGTAAAATGCGGTAATTCATTTAGTTCTTACCAAGTTACATACAAACGGCTAAGCAGAATTTCAAATGTGACCTATAATTTAAATATTTCAAGGATTACCTGATAAAGCTACTTTAAATTTGAAAAAATATTTTGTCATGAATCACAAACTCAATCAGAAAGAAATATCCTATTTGGAAATAAATAAAACTCTTTTTCAGAAATAAACAACTGCATAAAATTCAATTAGTTATCTCATATAAAAAGTGAAAATAATTCTTTGCTGCTGGAGGACGCTGTTTAAAACTATTTCTCTTACTTAGCCATTATTCTTACTTTGTAACTCCTCATCTTCTGCAAAAGTTGGATTATCCATCAGATACTGCTGGGCTTCAGACCAAGTGGTAGAGTATGTTACATTAGCCATGTTGTCAAGTATGTTTTTTAAGGCTTCCCAATTTCTCTTTCGCAACTGCTTTGCTTGTTCCTATAGCAAAAGTATGAATATGTATGTTTCAAAGTTCCAAGAAATTAAGATATTTAAATTGCAATTAGTGACGGCTTCTTTATATTCTAACGGATGACCAAATTGCAAAGGTTAAGTCAAACTTCAAGTAAATTTCATTTACTTTAAATGGCCACACTGCTGACTTTGCTAATGCTCTTTCCTAAGCGCTTGGCTTTGGTACTTAGCTTCAAATTTTCCACCTCCTTCTAAAAGCCAGAATCTGGAAACCATGTTTTTGGCTTTTCCCCCATACGACATAAACCTTTCTACCACTATGTATTACAGACAGTCTGAAACTAAGGTTACTATGGACAAGTCGCATTGCAGGTAAATGCTAAAATCTTCAATGACCTTCAGCTATGTTTAAATTTGATAATACTTGCATCTGTATGTGTTCCTTGGAAACCAGATAACATAAAATATAATAGTGCACAATGAAAAAGAGACATGAGTAAAATAGGTATTTTAAAATGTTGTAAGTTTAGTAGAAACAACTGCATGTTGCTGTCATTCTTGTAACAATCATGCTGGTTATAAGCAAAAAAACCCAGCATTTTTAAACCTAATGAGCAAAAAAGGTATCTTTTCAAAGTGAGCATAAGATAGCCAACTAATGACAATACAAATAATTGAATGAGTACCCACTGAGTCTACATCAGTACTTAATATGCTACATGAACGATAAAGAAGATTATTACAGAAGCTATACATTCCATCATTAAATTTTACTTCCAATAAATAAATCTGCTATACCACATAAACTGGATAAACTAAGCCAGAAAAATGTACATATTATAAAACCAATCCTCATCCGAATGAGGAAACATCTTGTGTTATCTATAAATACCAATAACTAAGAATAAAGAATACCTTTTCTTTTTTTGAAAGAAAGAACAAAACATCTTCATAGATTTCAAGACGATCACGTTCTGATATTGCATTCCAAACTTCCATCTCTCCAAACATTTGCTCTGCTTTTCTGTTAAAAAAAAATTATACAATAAAAATTAATTTTAACCAATTTTTAAACTAAATTTAAAACTACAAAATGAATACTTCCTATTCAAAGTTCATAAATATATTAAAGACAAACTCCTGGATAATTATGAAAAAACAAAACAAAACAAAACAAACAAACAAAAAACACATGCCTCCCTCTCTCCTTAGAGATAGAGGGGATAATTCACATTAGGCACTGCTTATAGTCTAGACTATCTCTATATCTAAAGGCAGCTACACAGACTACCAAACTGCCTACAGAACTAAATTACAGACTTCTCTGGAATACTGAGGAGATCAAAGAAATACATACAGAAAATAGGCTTCATAACATATCAAAAATATTTTAATATTACCCACAATTTTACATAATAAAGCAATCTAAAATGAAGAATGCTACATAAAACAATTATTCAAAATGCTATGCCTACTTAATGAAAATAGCCTCTTTTTACTCCACAAATATCAATAATTTCAATGTTTTTAAGTAAAAGGCAATCAAATTTTCTTTTTCTTTTTTTTTTTTTTTTTGAGACAGGGTCTCGCTGTCACCCTGGAGTGCAGTGGTGCAATTATGGCTCACTGCAGCCTTGACATTCCCAGGCTCAAGTGATCTTTCCACCTCAGCCTCCCAAGGAGGTGGGACTACAGGCACGTGCCACCATGCTCGGCTAATTTTTGTATTTTTTTTTTTTCCCCTAGAGACAGGGTTTTGCCATGTTGCCAAGGCTGGTCTTGAACTCCTGGGCTCAAGCCATCTGCTTGCCTTGGCCTCCCAAACGGTAGGGATTATAGGTGTGAGCCACCACGTCTGGCCTCCAACTTGATTATTGAATACAGTCTTTCTCCCCTTCTTCCAGTCTCTCAAAAACTTATTAAGTCAACAAGTTAAATTCTACATTTAACTACAGATTTATTTTGTACCTCATCAAGTTTCCACATTCATAATCATCTAGTTTTATTTAATGAGCTCTGGATCAGCTACTGCACATGGCAGAAAAGTATGACACAAACAACAATGTAGTAAACATAGGCCATGTAACACTAAACATCTTACTTGTATCTGGTTGTAGAAGTCATTTTCTCATGATTTTCAAGAAAACGCTGAAAGGATTCCTTAGCCTCTTTGTACTTTGATCTTGCTTCTTCTTTTTCTTCTTTTTCTGTCTGGACTTTATAGGCATTAAAGGCTTGCTTTTTTTCACTTAACTTTGCCAAAGCACTAATATAAAAATACCATGTAAGAGTAAACACAGGCAAAAGAATCAAATATTAGTGGTTTGAAAAAAAAAATAAAACTGTTTACACATATAATTTAAAAATTTTCAAAAATTTATTACAAATGATTGTAGAAAGTAATTTCTACTTTTAAAATAATTATTATTTTATATGTAGCGGAGTACTCAAATTGTTTGATAAGCCTTTGACTTTTTGGTTATTAGACATAAAACAACTCTATACTTGGTATCCTAAACAGAAGTCAACAGTTAAATGTTTTATCTTTCTACACAACTTTAAATGTGCTAGGCCTGCTATATGCTCAAAGTGAAAAGTAAATAAAAAGTTGAAGTACTACCTGTATCGTGGATCATTAATAATCATTTTCATAGCCTGCTCCCATGAAGCATTCGATGGTACCCGCTGAAAATAATTTAAATGAAAAATTAAAATTTCACACAAGAATAGTTTAAGTCACATAATAGGAAACTGAGTATAATACTAACTGCAAACATCAAGCATTTCCCTTTGCAGGAGTTTGAAACAAGTTATAAAAAATAGTTTTTTACTGAAGGCAAATCTGTGTAATACACCTATGAACTAAAATGAAAACTTTAACTGAAATTTAAATAGAACATAAATGCTTTTTTCTTAGACTATGGATAAAAGATAACTATTATGAATTAAAAAAAAACCCTTACATTAAATATTGGGTAGAAATGTGCTTGTGTAGTACCTTGTACACAATAGTTTTTGTGTTGAAAGTTTCACAAAAGTGTACTTCAAAAAAAAAAAAAAAGACATATTTAGTTGCTTTTCAGTTACAACAGTTCATGAGATTGGTATTATCAATACCATCAAGGTTTAATTAAAGAGTAACGTCATTTGTTGGGTAATTATTACACATCACATAAAAATCCATAATACATGCTTGATGTCAAAAAGCTAAGAAACAATAAAAATCTGCAATATTAATACCTTTTCTTTCAATAATTCTTTAAAAGCTTGCTTTGCCTCTTCCTTTGTATTCCAAGTGTATGTTTTCTTTGCTGGTTGGCTCTCCTCCTCTTCTTTTTTGGGAGTAAAACTAGAGAGAAATTCAAATGTGGTATTTATCAATTAAATAAATTTTTGCTTCATTTAGAAAAATAATGTCTAAATTGTTTAAATGTTTGATGTTGAAATAAAATTTGACATTTAGAATAAAAGCTATATGAACTCTAAAAACACACTTATCTGAAGACAAAGAAATAAAGATAATCGTTTCCTAAAAGTTCAGTTATTAAATCAGTTTTTAAGACCCTGGACAAATGACAAAATAAACATTTAACTGACTTAAAACACTAGCTCCTCTGGCCCATAGGTTAATAGTTTTAAATGGCTTATTAAACTCATTCAGTGGTTTCACATTAGTGCTATAATAACTCTAAGGATTTGGGCAAGTGTGAAGATAAATAAGATGTAAGGATCAATCTAAATCAGGATTGACAAACTACAACCCACTAGACAAATTCAGCCTATTAATTTTTGTAATTATAGTTTTACTTGAAAATGCCCGCGTTCATTTGTTTACACATTATCGCTGACTGTGCTACCACAGCTGAATTGAGTCACCATATAAAGACTGTATGACACAAATAATCCAAAAATATTTCCAATCTAATATTTCATGAAAGTTTGCTGAACACTGATGTCAAACAAAAATTACAACTACCCAGAATTACTAACTTGTTTAATAATTGGGGGTTTTCCTGATGAGAAAAAAATGGTAGAAGCCTTACATTTCTTTCTACATAATAAGGGAATGCATGGGTGGGGGCCAGGGAATGAAAAAAAAATAAGTAGAACGCTTAGGCGAAGAGACACTGTAGTAGATACTGACAAAAAATGATCTCTGTTATAGTAATTAAAATCAAAAGCGTATTATGACTCAGACACTATACCAAGGAAATGCTGGAATGAAAAAAAGCAGGAAACAACTGTTTAATGTTAAACTTATGGAAAACATTGAAGAAAACTTTCAGTATGACAAGACGCAAAATAAAGTTATTCCAAAAAGCCTAAATATCTATTGATAGAGGAGCACTTCCATTTATGCACAATCAAATGATAATAACCCATCATTTGACATGATGGGTACACATTTCTATCAATGTGGAAGATGTCTCTGATATATTAGATATATGTTCGTGTATCTTAAATGTAGAGAAAAGGGGGAGAAAGTATAAAACAAAATGTTAATTTCATTTTCATGCCTTCAAATACACCATACAGATTTCTTTTAAAACTTTTGAAACATCAGAAAAAGTTAAAAATCTATTTTGACTCTGGGAAACTAACATACGAAAAACAAAAGAACACTTAAAATAGGGGATGGATGGATGAAGGCAACATGCTTAAATATTAAGATGGATAATCATGTTTCAATAATGAGATTATGGTGAACTATTCAGGCCACCCTTAAAGTCAAGAAATTTAGCTTGACCTCACTTTCTAAAGCTCTATAAAGCATAGCCATATAAAATGTACTAGACTACAGGGTATGCAAGTACACACAAACCGTGAACTCTGACAGATAACAGCTTTGCTTTATTAAAAAGTTGTATTACTATAGTCTCACTAAGAGTGAAAAGAGAGTTTTCTTGTATCTGGTGTTATCTTTTAAATGTTTCTCTACTTGACTTTCACTTAGAAAAATAATCACAGTATTATTTTAACTTGTATTTCTTTATTATTATGGCTGAATGGCTTTTCATATACTTCCTAGACAACTTTCTTTCTCTGTAAATTGCCTTTTTTCCTTGGCCAGGTGGAGTGGCTCGCACCTATAATCCCAGCATTTTGGCACGCTGAGGCAGGCCAATGAGCTAGGCATGGTGTGTGTGCCTGTAGTCCCAGCTACTCAGGAGGAGGCTGAGATGGGAGAATCGCTTGAGGCCAGGAGGTCGAGGATGCAGTGAGCCCTGATCACGTCACTGCACTCCAGCCTGGGTGACAGAGGGAGACCCTGTGCCAAAAAAAAAAAAAGAAAAAAAAAAGAGAGACAGGGTGGCCTTGCTGTCTCACCCAGGATGGAGTGCAGCGGTGCAATCATAGCTCACTGCAGCCTTGAAATCCTAGGCTCAAGTGATCCTCCTGCCTCAGCCTCCTCAGTAGCTGAGGTTACAAGTGCTGGCTAATTTTTAAATTTTTTGTAGAGACAGAGTCTTGTTATGTTGCCCACGTTGATATTAAACTCTTGGCCTCAAGTGATCCTCCTGCCTCATCCTCCCAAAGTGCTGGGATTACAGGTGTGAGCCACCATGCCCAGCCATAAACTGCTTTTTTTTCCCCCATAATTCATTTTTCTACAAAGCTGTATTTTTTTAACTGATTTATAGGAGGTTGAAACCCAAAACACCAATAACCAAAGAAGAAACAATACACCTGTCTTAACTGAAAATACTGATAGTTTGTTAATCATGAATTTTTGCACTGATCTGATGTAAAATATTGCATCAAAATATGATGTATCTTGCTTACTAAGGTTTTTGGCAATCTTTTAGATTTGTGCCCCAACTCCCTAGCCTTGGCTCTACTTGTTAAAATTTCACTGAACTATTTTTCAAGTTTGCTGGCATAACCCTCCAAAATTCGGCCTGAAAACTGATCAACTGTCTTAACGGTGATATTACGATTCTCAAAAAAATTTATTTAAACTATTAATGGCCACTAACTAAACTGGCAATTACTTTTATTTAATGCAATCTGGTACTGATTTTCAGAAGACAAGTTACTAAACTTACTCAGCTACAGTTTCTTGCTTAGATGTTTCTTCTCCAGTATTACTGGATACTTCCACACTTTGATCCTGAATAGCAGGGGTACTAGTAAGTTGTGCTTGTTCCTCAGTTGAAATAGTTACTGTATTCTCATTATCTACAACAGTAGCAACAATGGAAGTAACTTCAGGCTCAGGAACAACTGGAACAGTTCCACTGACAGTATTAGAAGCAGAAGTGGAAGCATTAGCATTGGCTGCAGCTGCTGCTGCTGCTGCCGCTGCTGCTGCTGCAACAACAGCAGCTGCTGCTTCGGCAGCAGCCATGGTGCTCATTGTGGTCGGAATTTCTGTTGTAGGGACTGGGGCTGTTGATGTTGTGGTGCACTCTTCTTGCTTACTATACATTAAAAAAAGAGAACACTGGTCATTTCATTATTGTAATCAGAAAGCTAAATAAAGGTAGCTTTAAAATGGTCATAAAATCAAATAATAAGAAAAATAATTGAAGGAAAAAACGGCAAGAAATGCCAAGCCCATTAAAAAAGATTTTAAAACCACAGAATGTAACTGTACTACTTTAATTCCGTTAACATTCATGGTAATGTATTACAGGCACTCAAAAGTTCAGTAAGCGTTCACATTTATAAAATACCCAATCTATCAGACTGTATTTACACCACGAAAAATGACCTGTATTAGAAAGTTCTCTAAGAACTTTAAATTTTCTCCAGTTTGCCCATTTAGAGGAAACCCTATATAAAGGAAGAGATACACAGATATATTTCGTCCATTCCCTAATCAACTCAAACGGAATTTGGGACTCTTCTGTAACACAGTCTTCTTAATTTGTTAAGGGATACAGTCCAAATTCTAATAATTACTGTATAGCAAAACATCAAATTGAGTAAATATCCCCCTCCCTAATTTTTCCTCAACAAAATGCTACAAGGACATCAAAATATCAAGCCTAACATGTTAATTATTTGTATTATGAAAATTGAGAAAACACAAGGATATCATAGGAGAGACCAAATTTGTAAATAAAAATTGATGTCCAAAATTGCTTACCTGCTTTCTTCAGCTTTGATCATTGCTATTAAAGAGAGAAAAAAAGTCATCTACTAGTTTTAAAATATAATCACTGAAAACAAACTTTAAAAGAAGATAAAGTATCATACAATAGGATTTCATTTACCATCCTAAAAAATAAAAAATCACTTTTACAGAACAAATTCTTGCTCCGAAAGTCTAGTATAGCAAATAAAGAATACAACAAACTTAAATAACAGTAATTACTAGGAAAGCTTATTCCATGCTGCTGCTTTCCCAAAGGCTGCTGCAACAACTCTATGAAAGTATCTGCATAATTCTGGATGAAAACTGTATTTTCTTCAGGGATGAGACTAGTTTGATATATTTTTAAGATACTAAATTCAAAATGGGATCAAATTTATTATAAAATTCCAGCACATATATACTAGCATTGACAAGTAGATAGATAGTTACGCACACCAACTATTTGTAGTAGGGTTATATCAGAAATGAGCTTGATAATTCATAAATGATCAACTGGGAATCTACCTATCTACAATATTATTATTAGCCAATGCTAGTATAGGTAACTTAAACTGAGCTTTAAAGATCTGCACAATTTCATTTTTCATTCCAGTACATTTTCCTTTGGATGTAACAAAAATACCTTTTATTTAACATTACTAGGGAATGAGGTTCTCCACATTAAGTAATAATACAAGCCTAACTCTTTATAAAAAAAATTTTTAAAACTTATCACCCTTTAAAGAAAAACATTTCTGAAAATCTGTTTAGGATGGCTGAAAAAACATACTTACAAAGTTATCATTAATAATATAAATTAACATTTTTCTGATACAATGATGATCTATCTATCTAATGAGGTGGCACAAGGAAAAGGTAAAGGGGCTTAATATGACAGTCTTTTAGGAAATTTTTATTCTCTTTTCCTGCCAGATGTCATTCCACATCACTATCTACTTTATTAGCCCCATTCTCCTACAATCTGCTGCTTCTAGTTTTGTATAATTTATGACACTAGATTCTATTAGAAGTGAGTATAAAAACTAGATTTTCAATCCTTACTTATTATCTCTATTTTAAGTCTTAGGTTTTATATTTAGTATTAAGTATTTCTAGATTTTTAAGGGTTATTCTGATTAGTTCCAATGTTGAAAAATTTTCCCTTTATAAGTAAGGCATGATACTTGGTTTACCTTAATTCTTCCATAAAGAACATATCAAGGCTATTTTGCAACACTGTGCTAAACAAAACTAGCATTAAATATATAGTCTGACAATATACTAACAAAATATAAATGGATACAGATTCAAGGTTCTCCACTATCTATTACCATGAAATGAGTTAAAACACATGTTCTATGTATGCACCACTCATAGTAGGACTTGGAAATTTTGTATATGAACTCCTTGTTCAATTGAATGATAAACGATCTTTTTTCTAAAAACCAAAGTACGACTTTAAAAGCTACAAGCTCATTTATAATATAACCCTTTAATGAAAAGAATTCTTAGAGATTTTTCACTGCAGATTTATCCAATTATGGTTAGTGAATATTAGTGACATACTCTAATAAAAATGTTAAGTATGACAGAAAATGAATTATCAAAGCAGCTCACCATGCAGGTTTGATTTTGTAATAAGACTTCCAGCAACAATGGTATTCTGGTATCCTAGTTTCAGTGGAATCAAATCAAATAAAAATCTATTTAAAATCTACAGAACTGAGATCTAAAGCAACAAGAAAATAAGAGCCCAAAAAACTGTTATACGCCATTTTAAATGTTCTAATCATTTAATTAAAAAAAAAAATAAGGCCTTTGTTTGAACAATCCTATTCTGGAGGAATTGTTTCAAAGTGAATGGCATATATATGTAAAACATATACATTGAAAACTACTTTTCCCCATTTTACCTTCAAGATCCTCAAGTTCTTTAGGTTTGGCCCAGCGAGATTCTTTTGTTTGAGAATTATAATAGTAAGGCTTTCCAGAATCTGATTTGTATTCCTTCCAGGGGCATTTAGATAAGAGTTGCTGAAAAGGAAAAAACTGTTTGTTAATAATAATATATTTAACATCACTGATCATTTACATGGCTGTTTTCACTAGAAATTACCAATTGATACAATTCTAAAACTCGTGAGATGATGGTAATAATATAAACTATCAATTATTGAATATTCACTGAGTGATGCCATTTGAATACATTATTTAATCTTTATAACACTGCAAAATGTGTAACATAATTCTGTATCTAGGGACTGTTACTTGAAGTCAGAAAGTAACTTGTTTAAGGTAATATACTCATTAAAAAGCAGAGACAAGATTCAAAACCAGTTCTATATGAATTTCAAATCCTATTTACTGTAACCATTCACACCCCATTATAGGTCAAGATTATCATCCACATTTTTTTTTTTTTTTTTTTTTGAGACGGAGTCTCGCTTTGTCACCCAGGCTGGAGTACAGTAGCTCGACCTCGGCTCACTGCAAGCTCCGCCTCTCGGGTTCACGCCATTCTCCTGCCTCAGCCTCTCTGAGTAGCTGGGACTACAGGCGCCCGCCACCACGCCCAGCTAATTTTTTGTATTTTTTTTTAGTAGAGACGGGGTTTCACCGTGGTCTCGAACTCCTGACCTCGTGATCCGCCCGCCTCGGCCTCCCAAAGTGCTGGGATTACAAGTGTGAGCCACCGCGCCCGGCCTATCATCCACATTTAACAGACTTCTCTGATACTAATATTAGTTGGAAAACCATAAAAGTTCAAAAAAAACAAAATCTAATTTAGTCATGCTTAGATTTCAGTTTCGTAGTTTATGAACGAATTAACTTATTATGTAAGAAAACATGTAGGTATAATATACTTAAAATCGAATAAACAAAACCTGTTAGGGTAGTATGAGAAATCTATTCAAAGTGTGAATCCAAACAGAGTGTCTTGGACAAAGTATGTAATTAATATCATTGGCTATAAATCAGTACTGGAATACATGTTTTTAAAAATCGTCCGACCTCCCCTCCCAAGCACTGCTGTTCATGTTAGTACAGCAACCTGGAAAATACTTTTACCTTCTCAAATTCCTTAATTAGGAAGAGAAGAAAACAAAAAGGTATACCACCAGCTAGGATGAAACTTAAGCATAGCCTGGAGTGCCAGATCAACTCTTACTTACTTAGCACCCCAGAGTTTCTAATTAAACAACATGTGACATTGCTTAATTCAGTTTATTCCTTCAACCTTAACTTTTTCTTCAATATCTGTATATTTTGAATGGTAAAACTTGTAACAAAAAACAAAATAAAAACACACTTTTTAAAAGGGCATTTCCTGCAAAGAGAAAACTTCCCACTCTAAGAGAAGGAAGTATTTGTAGGTAACTTAATTTCATCTCCACTACCCTTAACCCTACTGGAAATTTAAGAACTCAGTAGAAGTCATTTAAAATCACCCAGTTTTGCTATCAGAAAAAAAAGCCAGCGGCAGGCAAAGAAACAGTCTTCCCCACTTCCAATTTATTCTTTAAATCA
Organism: Homo sapiens; assembly: GCF_000001405.40. Classification (NCBI taxonomy): domain Eukaryota; kingdom Metazoa; phylum Chordata; class Mammalia; order Primates; family Hominidae; genus Homo; species Homo sapiens. The sequence goes on from NC_000002.12 coordinate 152,680,967, forward strand.
CCTTTTTAAAATTGATCCCACTCTACTAGGTTTTCTAAGCAGGGGTAAAATCAGTAAATAAAATTATTCTGTTGAGTTTTATTGCTCTTCTTCCCGATTGGTGTGACTATACTAACCCTCTTTTTTTCTGAATGTCTTTACAGATCCTCTTCTGACATTTAAGCAGTACTGCTCTTTGATAATCGACTACTTATAGAATCCTAAAAAATACGCCCCAGTCTACTTGACAGTCCCTGAATTCCAGCTCTCAAACTTTTACCTCAGCAGGTGTTTTAAGATCATCTGGTTTCTCCCAGGTAGACTGTTTGGTTTCAGTGTTGTAGTAGTAAGTCCTTCCATCAGGTGATTTATGTTCAGTCCACATTGATTTCTAAAGAATAAAGATTAAAAAAGATGTAAATTATGTAACAATGCCATTGACAATATCAGTATCATTAGTTCCAAGGCAATAAATATATTAAGAAATCAATCAAAAGTAAAAACTGGGCATATTTTGACAGTTTAAGTAATCTAGAATAATTCATCAATACAAGTAGGAAGGGAACTGAAAAACAAGGTTTTTAGAGTACTTCAAAAGCAGCAAGGGTAAATTCAAGTTTCAGGATCTCTCTGAATTACAAAGATAAGACTACTCTCCTAAGAACAGTAACTTTATAGCTTACATACAAAAGACAATCTTTCAGAATACAAATCTGTGCCTAGTGGATAAAGAAAATATAGGAACTAGATGCTAATATATTTGAACTGACTATGTGATCATCTATTCATCTACTGTAGTCCAAGGAATACTTGTATCAACTTAGACAAAGTTCTAATTGATATTCCATAAAGAAAGACACAGCTGTCAAAACACAGCTTCTGGACAACAATCAGAATTTAACTATCAACAAGATGAAATTTAACAGGGATAAAATGTGTATGTGAATGCCTCAAAACAAGATAGGTGAGATAAAATTTTACATGAATGAAACTACAGAATATAAATCCACTATTAAGGTCAACAGAACACACTAAGAACCTACTAGAAGTTGCTAATGATACTCCAGGCAACACTAGACATCCCTCAGATAAAAGTTGGTTAAAAGTTTTAAAAGGCATCATGAATGAATGATTTACTAAATGATATCAAAGGTAGTAAACCTAGTTTCAAGCACCAGATTTTCCAGATGGTGACAAATTTAACTATGCTTGAAGGGTTACAAAAATGATTTATATAATATTCCCTCAAATCTAAGACATATTATTGTACAAACCTCTTAAGAAAAAATAAAATCGCTGTCAAATGACCCTATGCTTTTTTACCAGATTTTACTTCAAACTTATTGAAAGTTAGTCTTACTTCCACATTAATTTTACCATATACCACTTTTATGCATACATAATGAGAAAAATAGGCAAATAAAGTACTTAAGAGATCCCTTAAATTTCCTCACACTGAGACTTTCTGTGTCAGAGTTGCTGATATCCATTATATTCCAAATATAAGCCCTTTAGCATCAAATACGTTGGTAATATAGTATATCTTTAAAAAAAATCATAAAACAAGTGAAAAATCACTGGTACTGGTTCTTAATGTCTTTTGTACCTATTTAAAACGCTGATTTTTTATTTTTTTCTTATCAACTTTAAAGAGTAAGAGCTGACCTAGTTTTGACTTCTGTTTTGGGAATGTGACTGAACATATGTGATTCATTTCTTTACCAATTTTTTCACCATAATCATTTTATTCCTAGCTCCTAAGGGAGTGCCATTACTTTTATAATTTTCTTTGAAACCAGTGACATCCATTCTTTTGATGTGGGCACTTTTGCTGTTTACTCATGCACAACTGCTACCCTGACAACGGAGGTCACAGACACTATGGATTACAGCAGGGGTCTCCAACCCCGAGGCCATGGACTATGGAGCAGTTCCAGTCCGTGGCCTGTTGGGAACCGGGCCGCACAGCAGGAGGTGAGCAGTGGGTGAGCGAGCAAAGCTTCATCTGTATTTGCAGGCGCTCTCCATCACTCGCATTACCTCATGAGCTCTGCCTCCTGTCCTATCAGTGGTGGCATTAGTTTCTCATAGGAGTGCAAACCCTATCGTGAACTGTGCATGTGAGGCTGCATGCTCCTTATGAGAATCTAATGCCTGATGATCTGTCACTGTCTCCCAACTAGATGGTCCCATCTGCAATAAATTTCTGCATGCTGTAGCAGGATAATTAGATAATTCCAAAGCTGTGTTAAATTCTAGCACTTTAAAATGGATAAAATCACCATAATATCTCCAAAGCAAATATAAAACAGGTGCTGGAAAAATCTCCAAAGCAAATATAAAAACAGGTGGTGGAAAAATAATCTGGCTTTCTGCTATTAGCCTGCTTTAACTTCTTTTCATCAAAAGGTGGTGCAATTAGAAACACAAATGTGGAAACTTCGACTATATGGTAATGCTTTATTTCACAAATTAAATGGTGTTAAGACAGATAAAGGGGTTTATATTTTCCTTTTAAAAACAACTAATGATGTCAGTAGCATCTCAAAACTGCACCATCACCACTTAAACAGAGTTCTACCATAAGCTGCAAAACTGTGTAGACTATGTTCAACTTTTCAAGTCACATCTGCTAAGGAGCATCAAGGAAAGAGCAAAATCAGCAAAACCACAAGGAGATAAAAGAATAAAAAAGAAAAGGACACTGTATAGTTGACCAAATGATGAGGAGGGAGAGGAGACACAAGCTAATAAAACAAATAGAAATCAACTTAATATTCTCTAACTATTTATTTGAGCCTTATAACTAATTACACTACAAAGCAGGTATAATCACTATCTTTCTACAGATAAGAAAACCAAGGTTTAGCAAGGCTGGTAACTTGCTCATAGGGACTTGGGAAATGACACTAGAACATCGAGCTGCTTTTCAAGACCACAATTATTTTATTACCAACAGTTATTATGCTAATAAAAAAATTAGATATGAAACAGCAGTTCTGGGAACTGAATTAAAACAACTTTTTTGGGGGAGTAGGTAGATAAACTGGGAGTGTATCAGCAAAATAAGGGATAAAATTATCCTTACTATATCTACAATCAATATGAAAACACAGTCTAATGGAAAAATAAACATGGCCATAGACAGAATACAGTTATTATATTAGATGTTCAACTTCACTAGCCAATCAAAAAACCACACATTAATAAAAACTTTTTGCTCATCAGATAAATGACAAAGACCATTAATATACAATGCGAAAGGTGTGTGAGAAAAAGGGTACTTTTTCTCACTCTCATGTGTTACTGTTGGGAATGAAATTAGCATAAAGGCAATTCAGCAGTTCTTACAAATATTAAAAATGCAAACATCACCGCTTGAACCTGAAATTTCACTCTGAAAACTTCCATTCATATTGTTGCAAACATGTACAAGGACGTTATTTATAATATTACGTGTAATGGTGAAAAATTACAGTTAACTCAATGTACACCCATAGGAAAACAGGTCAATTATGGTCCATTCGTATTACTGATTATCCTATTTGTAATAAGATAGAAAATGTCTAAAATGCAGTGCCAAATGATACAGTGGCAAAAATTTATACAGAAAAATCATTTGAAATGCAAAGAAAACTGGGCATAAGGAAAAAAGCATACACATGTAACTATCACAAGTAATAAGCTCTTCAGAGTCAGAAAAAGCTAGTCAACAAGACACAACAGTTTTAAAGAAATTCAATATACTCAAACTCAACCTTCTGTGTGTCATGGAGACAAACACATATACACACACATTTGTACAATGTATAAACTGAATTTATGAAAACTTAGAAAAAATGGCTAAATCCAAACACTGAATAGAAAAATCCCCTCACTACTCTAAATAAGGAAAATATTAAAAAGCCGTTCAGGTATGGTGGCTCACACCTGTAATCCCAGCACTTTGGGAGGCTGAGATGGGCAAATCACCTGAGGTCAGGAGTTCAAGACCAGCCTGGCTAACATGGTGAAACCCCGTTTTCTACTGAAAATACAAAAAATTAGCTAGGCGTGGTGGCACACGCCTGTAATTCCAGCTACTCAGGAGGCTGAGGCAGGAGAATCACCTGAACCCGGGAGGCAGAGGTTGCAGTGAGCCAAGATCGCACCATTGCACTCCAGCTTGGGTAACGAGCAAAACTCTGTCTCAAAAAAAAAAAAAAAGAAAAAGCCAAATAATAAACAGAATTGAGGAAAAATACAATCACAGATACAGATTTACAACCAATCAAAACCTAGAGAAAATGATTTCCAAGCAAATCACTTAACCAAAATTGACCCCAGAAAAAGCACATCACACTTGAACATCCCAACAACACAGACACAACAGAAAGATACAAAACCAGATGGTTTCACAGCAGAATGTTATACAACCTTTAAAGAACACAGAATTGCAATGTTACATCATGATTTCAGATTATGGGGAAAAAAAGATGAAATGCTCTCCATTAATTAACAAGAAGCAGAAAAGATACCAGAAGAGCATCATGAATTTAAATTTAACAACATACACACTCTGACCAAGCAGAATTTACTGTAGAAGTGCAAGAGTAGTTCAATATTAGAAAATCTACAGAAGAAATTATTTCCACTATCTAATCAAATGAAAAAAAAAAAAAACACGTGATCCCACTATTAAACTTTGTATGATCAAATCACACCCAGAAAACTAAGTTCACAAGTATTCAAAAAATAAAAAAATAAAAGCAAAATGCTCAAATGAAATAATTTAAGAAATAAAAAACCTAAATGATTAAAAGGCAATCAGTTATCACCCTAAAGCCACTTCCATTAAAATCACAAAAACATGCCTGGAATCACTAAAATTCTAGCAAATATACCACAGCAATAAAATGAAATTACTGGTGTAAATTTTGGAGAAGTAAAGTTCTCTTGCCTTTACTGCTATTTTTACACATATAAAATTCCAGTGAAATCTAGTTACAGTTTTAAAATACTATTTGAATTGATAAGGAAATCTGGTAATGTCATTGGTTACAAGACAAATACACAAAATAATCTGAATAGACGATAACCAGGTTAAAATAAAAATAGGAAAAATACTGTACTCACAATGTAACAACTTTTTCTTTTTTTTTTTTTTGAGAAAGGGTCTCACTCTGTTGCCCAGGCAGGAGTGCAGTGGCAAGATCACAGCTCACTGCAGCCTCAAGCTTCTGGGCTCAAAAGATCCTCCCTCCTGAGCCTCCTGAGTAGCTGGGACTACAGATACACACCACTATGCTGGGCTAATTTTTTATTTTTTGTAGAGACAGGGTCTCACTTTGTTTTCCAGGCTTGTAATACATTTTTACAATGCAAACAGAAACTTTAAAAATAGGGTACCTATTTACCTTACCTAAACAGAATTTAAAACAAAAATCATAATGGAAAAGTGGGAGACTATATACTGGTAAAAAGTAACAGATCAAAAATTATCCTAAACACATATGCATATGGCAATTTAACCTTGAAATTCAGACAGGCAACAGAAAAATACAGGGAGAAACAGATGACTCATCTTTTCTAGTTAAAGATTTTAATTCACTATCTTCTTATGTAGATCCAAGCAGATGAAAGACATGCCAAGATGCAGGAATAACAAAGTAACTTTATATAGCACACAGAATATTCTTAAAAACTAGCCCTGAACAAGAACATACATGAAGCTTTAATAAACTGTAAAGAACTTTACATCTTACAGACTGTACTTTCTGATCATAATGCAATAAGGATAGCTCATAAAAAAAAAAGTTCCCCAAAGATACAATCCATGAAATAATTGATAGGCTGAAAGAACAGATTTAGTTTTCATTAAAGTTAGAAACTTCTGCTCTGTTAAAGATAGTCTGAAGAATGAGAAGATAAGCCACAAACTTGGAGAAAATAGTTGCAAAAGACTTAATATGATAAAAACCTGTTATCTCAAAACTCTACAATAATAAAACAATCTGATTAAAAAATAGGCAAAAGATCCAAAGAAACACTTTCCCAAAGATGTAAGGATGGCAAATAAAAAGATGCTCCACATCACATATAATTAGCCACAAATTAAAGCAAGATACATTACACACCTACTAAAATGGCAAAAGTCCAAAACACTGATATTATCAAATGTTGGTGAAGGTGTGGTATACCAGAAATTCTCATTCATTGCTGTTAGGAATTCAGAGTGGTGCAGCCACTTTGGAAGACAATTTCAAGGTTTCTTAACAAAACTAAACATACTCTTACAACACAATCCAGCAATAGTGCTCCTCGTTATTAATATCTACCCAAATTAGCTGAAAACTTACGTTCACACAGAAAACCTGCACATGGATGCTTTACTCATAATGACCAAATCTTGGGAACAACCAAAACGTTCTTCAGTACATAATGGATCTGGATGTGGTACATCCAGATAATGAGTATTATTCAGTGAGAAAAAGAAATGAAGTATCAAGCCATAAAAAGACAATGGAGGAAACTTAAATGCATATTACTAAGTAAAACAAGCCAATCTGAAAAGGCTACATACTGTATGATTCCAACTATATGAAATTCTTAGAAAAGCAAAACTACGGAGGCAGAAAAACAAACAAACAAACAAACAAAAACAATGGTTGCTGGAGTAGAAGAGGAAGAAATGAATAGGCAGAGCACCAATTTTTAGAGCAATGAAACTATTCTGTGTGATACTGCAAGGGCTGATACATACATATTCATTATACATTTGTCAAAATATATAGAATGTACAATATTAACAGTAAACCCTGATATAAACTGTACTTTGGATGGTAACAATTTGTCAATGTATATTCACCAATTGTAACGTATGCACCAATCTGGTGTGATATGCTGACAGTGTGGGAGAGCAGTAAGTTATGTGTTGGGGTGGGGGGGCCTATAATCTGGGAACTCAACTGTCCACTTTATTTTGCTATAAACCTAAAACTGCTCTAAAAAAACAGTTATCTATTTTTTAAACAAAAGTCCCATGTCTGGAAACCAAGAAAAACATACCCCTTAATAAAGAAAAAAAAGATTTTTTTTGAGATGGGGTCTCCCTACTAATGTGCGGTGGTGGCGTGATCTCGGCTCACTGCAGCCTGGATCTTCCTGGGCTCAAGCAATTCTCCCACCTCAGCCTCCCAAGTTGCTGGGACTACAGGTGTGTGCCACCATGCCTGGCTAATTTTTGTATTTTTGTAGAGATGGGGTTTCACCATGTTACCCTGGCTGATCTCAAACTCCTGGGCTCAAGAAATCCTCCCACTTCTGGCTCCTAAAGTGCTAGGGTTACAGGTGTAAGCCACTGCACCTGGCCAGGAAAAGTATTAATATTGGTTTAGAAAAACACAAACAGAAATAAACAGTGGAAAAGGAAACACAGATATAAATCCCAGAATATATGAGAATTTAAGATATGACAATAAAGAGCTTTCAATTAAAGTCAGAAAAAATTTTTTGATAGCTGACACAACTGGCTATCCATCTTATAGACAGATATTCCAGATGAATCAAACACTTAATGATAAATAAAGCAATAAGAATCTTCCAAGAAAATGTAAGAATGAGGAAACCTTTGTAAAAACTTCAATAAACGCATTAGCTAAAAATGATAACCTATCTAATTACCACATTAACATACTAAAAGGTTGTGTGGCAAGATCATTAAAAGCAAAATCAACAGACCAATGACAGACTAAGAAAAATATTTGAAATTCATGATTATTAAAGGGTTAACATCAATAACATTAGAAAAAACTCTTAAAATGAAATTTACAAGAAAAAATAAAAAATAACCCAACCTAAAAACAGGAAAGGACAGGGATAGGTTAACAGAAGAGAAATCCAAATACCAAATAAAATGTTCAATCTCATTAAGAGTCAAAGAAGAACTATCACTTTAAACCCATGTCCACTCACTAAAATTCAAATAAGTGATACTGGCTATTGCTGCTAGAGATTCTTGAAGAAAAAGACATGTTACTACACCATTATTAGATATGTCTTTTACATTCTTGAAAAACAACATGACTAGTTACATACTCTCCATTCCAAATATGTTATTCCTGGAATACTTCTTAGGTGTTAAAAAAAAAAAAATTCATAATTGGGAGGGGATCCAACATGTAAATTGAATTTCCATTAATAAGTGAATGGTTTAATGTGTCTCTATGGCAAAGAATACTTTATAAAGTCATTTAAAAAATTACATCTACATTAAGGAACTTACACAGATTTTCACAATAAAGTTTTAAACAAGAAAAAGTGTATTTAACAAGTAACTTAAGCATATGTAATGTGAACCAATTATGTAAAATGTGTATGTATTTGTCTATGCTTAAGTAACATGCAAAAAGATCTTCAGATAAGATATTAATGGTGGTTCCCTCATGGTCAAAAAATTAAGGATGAATTTTACTTTCTTTTTAACTTATGTCTGCTTTGTTTTCCTCCCAATGAGCCTGCATTACTTAAATAAGAAAACAAACAAACAAACCATTAAGTTATCCTTTCTCAAAAATAAAAGCAGGTACTTATAGTAGAATAATACCAAATGGGCTGGGCGTAGTGGCTCATGCCTGTAATCCCAGCACTTTGGGAGGCCGAGGTGGGCGGATCACTTGAGGACAGGAGTTCAAGACCATCCTGGGCAACAAGGTGAAACCCCATCTCTACAAAATACAAAAATTAGCCAGGCATGGTGGCACATGCCTGTCGTCCCAGCTACTCAAGAGGCTGAGGCAGGAGAAACGCTTGAACCTGGAAGGCGGAGGTTGCAGTAAGCCACTGCACTCCAGCCTGGGCAACAGAGACTCTGTCTCAAAAACAAACAAACAAGCAAAAAAAAAAAAAAAAAAAAAGATATTTTGCAACCATTTAACTTTTAAGGCAAAAGACACAAGAATGTTTTAAAAACATTTAAATACAATTCTTAATTTAAAATTTTCTCCCCAAATGCGAAAAATAACGTATTTGCAATCAATTCCGTTAATTGTAACAGTAGCATAACAGCTACCTCTCAGGAACGTTATGATTAAATGAGATTATAAACAAAACTCTTCCTTCCATTGATCTTTAAGGAATAGCAAAATAAAAAAAAAATCCTTGAAGCTAAAGCATGGACTAATATCAAGAAGCATAAAATAGCTATCTTTAAATATTATTCTCTCCTTTCCTAAATAAAAATCAATGCTATTCTGAATATTCCATTTTTCTTTCTAACACAGTGTTAAGAAGGTATAACAAAAGGGTTTTTTAAATTAAGGTACATAAATTTTCATTTATATATACATACATACATACATATATATATATATGTAAAATTATCATCTAACATCTGTCGGGCACTGTGGCTCACGCCTGTAATCCCAGCACTTTGGGAGGCTAAGGCGGTCAGATCACTTGAGGCCAGGAGTTCAAGACCAGCCTGGCCAACATGGCAAAACCCCACCTCTACTAAAAATATAAAAATTAGTCGGGCATGCTGGCGGGCGCCTGTAGCCCAGCTACTCGGGAGGCTGAGACATGAGAATCACTTGAACCCAGGAGGCGGAGACTGCAGTGAGCTAAGATCTCATCACTGCACTCCAGTCTTAGTGACAGAGCAAGGCTGTGTCTCAAAAAAAAAAAAAAAAAAAAAAAAAAAAAAAAAAAAAAGATTATCTCCTAATGTAATGCTTAACTTGTAATTACTAGGTTAAGCACTGTGTACCTACAAGTTCTGCTTCCCTTCTAATTGTGATGGGAAGAATTTAAATCCTTTTAAAAGTTGATACATGTAATTCTCATCTCTCATTAAGTCCCACCAAAACCAGATTTTAAAATAAATCAATTTTTCAATCCTTGTCATAGAAAAAAAGGGGAAAACTATGGATTAATGTAAAGATTTAGCAGATAATCCTTAGAACAGAAATAAGAATAACTGTAAAGTAGGTTAAAGTATAGTAAAATTAAAATATTACAAAGGTTAAAAGAGTACTTACTGCACCAGATGCTGTACCTAAAAAATAAAAAACAGGCAAAATATTTACACCATGATAAATCATGCTCTCCTTCATAATAGCTTTAATATTTATTCATATATTCATAGTACTTACTCCTCCTCATCCTCTCTAAAGATTTTGAGACTGTCTCATATAACCTAAGTGCTTGCTATCTTTCCCACAAAATAAACATCTATAGTGCAAAACATGCTCAGAGTTTGAACTTTCAATGCACAAACTTACTTGGACTCACTTGGAGGCAGTTTGATAAGTATTCAACTTAGCCTTTTGTTTCTCTTTTCCCTACTATAATAGGTATCTATCTTTCTTATTCCTCCTTCTCTACTAAGTATATTACCAAAGCACAATAACACCTCTAACCACTGATTCTATAGCTTTAGATTCCTGGTAACTTTATCTAAATTCCAGATTTGTGCTGTAAAATACAGTAGCGAGCAGACACCAGACATCCCTTTAAATTAAAATTTAAATTAAGATTAAATAAAATTTTAAAAATTCAGTTCCTCAGCTGCACCAGCCACACTTCAAATACACAATAATTACATGTGTCTAGTGGCTACTGTATTAAGCAGTACAGATTACAGAACATTTCCATCACTGCAGAAAGTTCTATTAGATGGTACTGTCCTATACTACTATAGAAAACTCAAGGGATTTTGAAATGCATGTTAGTCACAAAACTCCTAATAATAATCTCAAACTTTAGAAACTAGTAATTTAAACATGTAAATAAAAAAAGACGGAGATTGTATGTAAAACAAAACAAAACAAAGTTCATATATACTGAGTACACTCAAAAGAAGCTACTATAGAAAATAACTGTAGAGCCAAAGCGTATTAAAAGTAACTAAAAAAAAAAAATTATGTAATTTTCCAAGATTACTGAGGGTAACAGTACCCAGCTCTGGATATCTAAATAAAAGAAAATAATTGTATTAGGTATTTAAGAACATTTTAAATAATGAAATCTGTGAAACATCTTAAAAAAATCAATTTAGTCCCATTTGAACCCACAGAAAGGCACACAGTACATTTTCAACACCTTTCGACCAATACTGTTTATAACAAAAAAAATATTGTCATAATTGTGTCATAAAGTTCGGCATCTGGAATATCAATTTATGTGGAAAACTATGTAATCATGATACTGGAGGCATTACTATTATATATTAAAATCTCACTAGTCAAAATGGCCAGTTATTGGGAACTGATATTTACTCCAATGGCTATTAATACAAGGGCCAAGGAGATGACAGAAAAGTAACTCTGAAGTAGTCTAGAACCCCAAGGAGAGCCCAGACTAAACACCTAAAGAATGGAGCCACTACGTCATTCTAGTGTTTGCTGAGTACAAATATCAACTCAACCAGAGTTCATTTAACGTATATTCTCTGAGCACCTACTGTGTTGACAGGACTACTGTTAAGTATTGAATAGTCAGATCATCCAACTTTTCAAAATAAATTCAAACTCAAAATCTGCAGACTATAAATGTTAGCGATAATTACAAAATTGAAGAACTTTGTGTGGGCCAAAGTATATCTGCAGACCAAATTGGGTCCAGAACTCCTGACCTAAAACTGTAAAAATTTCCTAAGAATTCAATTATCGCTGGGTGTGGTGGGCCATGCCTGTAATCCTAGCACTTTGGGAGACCGAGGTGGGTGGATCACGAGGTCAGGAGTTCGAGACCAGCCTGGCCAATATGGTGAAACCCTGTCTCTACTAAAAATACAAAAATTAGCCAGGCATGTGCCTGTAGTCCCAGCTACTTGGGAGGCTGAGGTAGGAGAATCGCTTGAACCTGGGAGGCGGAGGCTGCAGTGAGCCGAGATTGCACCACTTACTCCAGCCTGGGTGACAGAGTGAGACTCCGTCTCAAAAAAACAACAACAAAAACAGAATTCAATTATCAATCCTATCCCAATTTCCTATTGCAGAAAAAAGAAAAAGGAGGTTATATAAAGTCCAAGAGATCCTGCTTTTACTCCTCATAATAGGGCTGCTACTGTCCAAATGAGGTCTAACACATACCACCATACAGAGTATACGTACCTGCTGCTACATCCATACTATTTACTCCTGGCTGTAAGAAGAAAAATGAAATTAGTATTATTCATCTTTTTAAAAGTGTATTTTATATAAGTTCCTCATAAAGCACAGTGAAATCAGTACCTGCTATGTATAATCCTCAAGCCTCTGACTCATATTCTTAGCAAAACTTTTAGTGGTCTCAGTTCCCCGAGCTTGCTATAAATTGTAAAAGAGATCAGCAACCGAGACTACGGGAGTAGTTTAAATGTTATATGGTCACCAAGTGTACACAAGGTCCTCAATCCTTTACCCACAATTCTGGAAACCAAAACCCTCTGAAAGCCAACTTTTTTCAAGTATGGTACCAAAACTCACTATAGTGGCAAAACCTGCCCTACATGAACATGAAACTCCACATCTTCATTTATCCCACTTCAGAGTGAATATCCGTTTAGTTTAGCTGCAAAAATATTAACATTATTAAGTTAGACAGCATTGCCCTGGACCCCACAGGAAATGTTTACATATTATATGCAATGTGTTACTTTCCAGTATTATAAAGAATTTTTGAAATATATCTGGTCTTAGGGTTTTGGGAAAGACACTGCAAACTTACCACCCCAAGGAGTATGCCACATCTGTTTATTACAACCACAACCACATAAAGAATAAAGAAGTTAAACTAACTTGAATTTCATAGTAATTTATATTGCTATACTACCCGACAGAGGTGGTAAGGCTGTTCAATAGATTTTCTAATTAATTTGCCACAGCTGAAGTCTCAGAACGTGGATTTCCAATTAAATATTGATTCCTAAATCTAGTATTAAATCACATTATACCAATTTTTAATTAGCGTTCAGTGAAGTAAATGTTTACCCTTTAAAACTTAAATGTTATCAGACCAATAAAATGCTTCTGGCTCACAATGTATACTTTTCAGTATTCTGGTCTTAATACAGAATTAACCTAGTAATTAAGGATGTACATATAATATCAATATAGGAAAAAATGTAAACGTCTATCATTGTAGTTATAGAAACTAAATCCAGGACAAGCACAGTGGCTCATGCCTGTCATCCCTGTGGGAGGCCGAGGCAGGAGGATCATTTGAGCTCAGGAGTTTGACACCAGCTTAGGCAACACAGGGAGACCTCATCTCTACAAAAAAAATTTAAAAATTAGCTCGGCGTGGTGGCACGTGCCTGTGGTCTCAGCTACTCAGAAGGCTGAGGTCGGAGGATTACTTGAGCCCACGAGGTTGAGGCTGTAGTGAGCTGTTATCATGACACTCACTGCATTCCAGACTGGGTGACAGAGCAAGACTCTGTCTCAAAAAAACAAAGAAAAGAAAAGAAACTGAAACTGAAAGTCCACGGTAATTCTTGTATTTTATTACAGTACTACAGAGGCACTTCAACAGCTAACATGATTGCCTATAAAATACATAGATATTATTCCATATATATAAAAGCAATCAATCAAAACATTACTTCACAGAAAATAGTTATTTTCACATGATTACCGGTAAGGCAGGCTGCATGGAAGCCTGAGACATATGAGACATCATCATTCCAGGCATTACTGACGACATCATTCCAGGCATCTAAAATAAAAGTAAAAAAAGGTTACCATAAGACCAAAGCACTTAATATGACTTTAAGAATCCCATAACTTAAGATTTAAAACCACTAAACACTACACCATGTGAATAGTATGCTTAGTAAGTGCTTGTTGAATGAATGAAGTACTTTATCGATAATCTATTTTAATACTTATGTCACAGTTTATATATATGGTCAAAATTATTTTAACAAGTAAATTTAAAAGTTTGGACTATTATGTTATTTCTAGCCTGAATTTAAAAAAACATTAATCTCCTTTTAGTTATAACACAACATTCATATTTTTCTCACTTCTTTGGAGCAAGAGAATTTAAGATAAAATTTTTTCTGTATTTTTCACCTTTGATTTTTAATATATGCACTGAATAAATTTTACAATGTGGCACATTTCAAAATCCTAGATCAAAGGTGCTTAATATCCAAACAATGACTTAAAAAATAATCTAAAAAAACCCTTTTTAAGTCACACGTCATTTATCCCCTCTCATGTACAGAAAACTTAAGGCACATACATAAATATCTGAAGGTATTAGTTTGGGAGCTCAATCTAGTTTACCAATAACTACCATTCAAATCTATGAATTAATTCTACTAAGTTTGAATATAAATCCTGAAAATTAACACAAGTTTCTCAAGAATTTGACCCAATGTTCATCTATATTAGTATAATCCCACGTTCCAATTTTGATTTTAATGACCATTAAAAAGATCTAAGGAAATTCAGAAGGGGACAAAAATTACATACAATAATCACAGGTATTGGAACAAGGTAACCAGTTATTAAACAATTTCAAAGTAAATGAACATTTTGAGAAATAGAAACAACAGAAAAGAATAAGCATATGGCCAGCAGGAACATATAGATTGAAGCCTTTTAAAGGTATGTAAGAACATTCATACACTGAATTGTATTCCTTGTGAAAGTAACCCATGAAGCTAAACGAGGCTAAAGTACCTATTAAAATAAAGTAGCATTGAGTTAATGGGTTAAAAACAACCAATAAACTGTCTAAACATCATTAAACAAGAACTTTTTGACAAAAATTGTGACTATAAGAATGTGGTGGCTGACTTGGAATATGGTCCAAATAATATGTATTTTTTTCTAAGGTATAGAATTTGAAAACTGAAGCACTGGCAAGCCTCCATCATCCAGACTAAGAGAATCAGATAAATAATTTACAAAGTAAGGAGAAAAAATACAACAATCAAATGAGAAAGAACTACAACTAGGCTTACTCCCAGCCCATACATCTCCCGCCAACAGATATATCCTCATAATTAATTTTGCTTTAGGCCAATGTAAAATACGCTGAATCAGGTAACTGGTTGTGTGGGAAAGCAACCAAGATGCATGACAGGCAACAGGGAAACTGCCTGCTACTTTAAGTAACCTACATATAAAATCAAAAGCTAGTAACATAACCAAAACTAGAATTCTAAGCTAAATTGAGATCAAGGTCTGAAAACTTAGAGAGAAAAACTAATCAAAGTAACTTCTCGGAAGAATTAAAGGTATTTTTTAAAGTAGAGTAAAATCTGCATAATGCAATAGAACAGTCTCTCGCCGGGCGTGGTGGCTCACTCCTGTAATCCCAACATTTTGGGAGGCCAAGGCAGGCGGATCATGAGGTCAGGAAATCGAGATCTTCCTGGCTAACACGGTGAAACCCGTCTCTACTATAAATACAAAAAATTACCCAGGCATGGTGGCACGCGCCTGCAGTCCCAGCTACTTGGGAGGCTGAGGCAGGAGAATCACTTGAACCTGGGATGCGGAGGCTGCAGTGAGCTGAGATTGCGCCACTGCACTCCAGCCTGGGCAACAGAGAGACTTCGTCTCAAAAAAAAAAAAAAAAAAAAAAAAATTCTCTTATGGTAGCAGCAGACTGTACAAATAAATATAAATTCAAATTGAAATATCCTGACTTTATCACACACATAAAGATAAAATCTTCTTTAAAACCAAAGCCACAAAAAAACAAATATTTAAGAGTTTAGTAGACCAGGCCAATGAGACCTCCAGTAGGCAGTAATTGAAAATCACTGAAGAACATAGAGTCTGACAGAGTTCTCTCTTTAATTGTTCTTCTTCCCATACCTAAAATGTTTAAACACCTCAAAAATGTTCTTTCAGACTGGAAATCATGGTATTGATTATAGAATGAGATTTAATGTCAAATAAAAAGCTACATTCTCCCTTGGTATCTCTGTAAATACTGGGGGTGAAGACTAGTTAATCTTGTTTTACCCAACAAACTAATCTGCAAGTCCTAAATTAAATATAACTGAATATCCTGAGAGTAAATCGATCATTCATTAATGTAATTTAAACCAAAACTGTGATGTTTACATAAAACCAAAGAACAAAACCACAAATATGCAAAATACTGTATTTTGTATGAAAAACTATTGTAAGAATTTGAGAAATTTAGAGTTCCTTTAGAGGACTGAGCATCCCAGAAAAGTCTGTTTTTCAAAGTCTAAAAAACCTACTTTGTGGCAATGTTATGATTCCCATTTTCTATTAATTCTAGGATATACATAACATAGAGATACTTTTTATAATCTCTTTCTTTGAAGCTGAATCTTTTAAAGAATTTGTGTTGATTTATGCCAGTCACTTTGGCAGCACCATCAATCTGAGACCATTAAAAGTTTCTAAGCTATCTATAACACTTACTGTTAATGGGAATACAGGATGCAAACTTATGAGAATTGGCTACGGCTCAACTCCTCAGACGTGATTTTTTCCTCCCTCATCCCAATAATAAGAGTTAAAACATTCAAATTTCTTTACTGTCTCCTCTGGCATGGTAGGTATAGTTCTTCTTTCCATGGAGGGTATAGCCCTTTGGTGTCTCAACTTTATCTGTTGAGTAAGTTTCAGATTTTCCATTTAGGTGTTTTTTTTTTCCCACTTTTAGGGGCACATAAAATACAGTCATGTGTCATTTAATGACCGTATGTTCTGAGAATTGTGTCATCAGGAGATATCATCATTGTGTATCATATAATGCACTTACACAAACCTGGATGGTTATAGTCTACTACACATCTAGGCTATTATGGCATAGCCTATTACTCCTAGGCTACAAACCTTTATAACATGTTACAGTACTGAATACTGGAGGCAACTGTAACACAATGCTAAGTATTTGTATATCTAGACATAGAAAAGACATAGTAAAAATAAGGTAGTATATGATCTAACAGCACCACCATTGTGTATGTAGTCTGTCATTTACCAATATGGCACTATGTGGCACACAAATGTAATACTGTGTCTCTCCATTTAAGTTCAATGAAAATGGGATGTTGCTTCAAAATACTGAAGGTGAAAAATTATTAACTTAGTTGCTACAATAACGCCACAACAAATTCCATGAGCCACATCATTCTTAAGGCTACAAAGTGGTAGAGTTCATATTTACTTAATGTGAAGCATACTATAAAATCAAAACCATGTACTGCTTTACAAATTCCCATTTAAACAACTTTGGTATTATATGTAAAAGTGCTGTAATTAAAAATTTTTAGTTGTTTGAGACATAAACTAAATTTCCTAAAATGTTAAACATCTGAATATTATGAACAATTTGGCACCTTTAAAAAACGTAGCTGATATATATTTTATACAATTCATAAGTGGCCAACCATATGTATATTTATACTATGTAAACCATTTCTGTTTCCTATTCTTTTAATACGTATAAAACTAATTATCAAGATGTTCTCAGAAGAATCATCAGTTTGAGGAAAATAAAAAATAAATGAACAAAACACTAGGGAGCATCACACAACCTGTTCAGTCATTCTGAGCATCCCAGAAAGTTTCTAATGTTAGATATAAACAAACATATTTCATTTATCACTCTACATATTTTAAAAAATGAAAATAAAAAGTGGTAGTAATGAAGCAATATCAATGCTACAGTGAGTGAATTTTACAAAGTGTAAATTCAGTTGGTCCAATTTTACCATGATATGAAAAGAAAGCACCTTAAAAGTGAAGAACTTCACATGGGGACTTCACAAGTTCTTTCCTTCATAGTTATTTACTGAAGTTTTTCCTACCGGAAAGAAATCACAAACAATTGGACGTATCTCTTGTCTAGTATTACAAACAAAATCACCTGAAAAAAAAATTAACTCCTAAATCTGGTGGTTTTTTAAAAACCATTCTTGCTGCAAACCTGTAGCAGCAAATTGATAATCTAAGTAAGTTTCATGTCTACCTTTTTACTTGGGGTTCTTCATAAGTGTGCTAAAGTAAAATTCCGTAAGATAAGTACAACCTACAAAGGCTGTTTAGTATTTTAAAACAACTATCTCATATACCACTAAATTATTTTATGAACATATAAATAAATACCAAAAATCCTGAATAAATGCACAAACTGAATCTTTAAAGAGAACTAAACATTCATTCGATCGGAAATAAATGGAAATATCCTTAGCAACCAAAAGTAACTGGTGGCATTTTGTGGAAATCATTTAACCTACTTCCTCTTCATCTAAAGCAAGCCTGTCCAACCTGCAGGCCATGGGCCACATGTGGCCCAGGACAGCTTTGAATGTGTCTCAACACAAATTTGTAAGCTTTATTAAAACATTGTTTTTTTGGCTGTTTTTTTTTTTAAGCTCATCAGATATTGTTAGTGTTAGTGTATCTGATGAGTGGCCCAAGACTATTATTCTTCTTCCAAATGGCCCAGGGGAGCCAAAAGATTGGATACCCCGATCTAGAGCAATATAAATTCAAAACATCATTTTTTGATAAGAAATATTTAGATAAATAAAGGGTAGACAATATTTGTACAAATTGTTATCATGCAGAATAGAACCTTACCATGTAATAAAACAAGTGCCAGTATTCAAAATTTGCTAAACTTTCTCAACCTACAGAATTTAGAACTGCTGAAGTACAGCAACCCCTTCAGGGTCTAACGAAATTAACTCAATTACATAATCTTATACTGATATATATAGATAATGCAGTCTGAAGGAAGACTGGAAGAATTCTTATCCCAATTAACAAAGGTGCGATCTTGGGCTAATTTATTTGACCTCTCTGGACCTCAAACTCTTCATCAATGAGAAAAAACATTACCCATCTGATAAGATTATTATAGAGAACAAATGGGATAATACAGATGTGGCACTTAGAAACGGGCTTAATAAATAATATAATAGGCATTATCAGTGCTCTCCATTTAATCAAGGTATATCTTATGTCATCCCTTCCCTCATCTATTCCTTATCTAGCTCTCAAGTACTTCAGTTCTTTTAAGGTGTCTAGGGAAAATATTGTAAAACCATGATAATATTCAATAGAAACCAATCCATGTTAATAAGTCAATCTCAGATTAAGATCATGTTTAGTGCTGGCTCTGCAATGTCACTGAATAACTCACTAAACTCTCTGAGCCTTCCTATTCCCATTTGTAAATTGGACATCCAATCCATCTAGCCAATCCACTTTTCAGTCAGGAGGATCAAATTCAATAGGCTACATGAATCTCTCTAAGTTTATATAAGCATGGTGACAGTTATAATTCTTGACACAAATTATGTGACACAATTTAGAAATAGAGCTAAATGACAATGAACTGTATCACTTTATATTTTAAAAAGCTCTAATCGTAACTGGGGATACACAAAAATTGTATTGCCTCAAGCCATATAGAATGACTTTAAAACTTACTCTAAAAAGTCATCAAAGCCTTCTTTTAGACAAAAGTGTACAAGGACACAAGACCATTATTATCCCCTTCCCCAGGTCTCTCAAATTAGATTCAGTAGCATATCAAGCTAAATCTTTATACTTTATTTCAGTATAAGGGTCTAATTTTCTATACCTAAGAAATATATGATCACAAATACACGATGACTTAGAGATTACTGAAAAATCATCTTTCGAAGAAGTAACAACTTTCTTGATTCCGCATGGCCAAATGGGTGTTTGCAAACAAGAACTTAATGCTCATTCATTTATCAAAAGCTAGTTTTAAAAGTCTTAGCCTAAATTTAAGATTAAGACCTAATGACAAGGATCCCATTCACAATGTAATGTGAATTTTGTTTAAAAAGATCAAAGTTGGCCAGGCGCGGTGGCTCACGCCTGTAATCCCAGCACTTCGGGAGGCCAAGGTGGGTGGATCACGAGAAATCGAGACCATCCTGGCCAACATGGTGAAACCCCGTCTCTACCAAAATACAAAAAATCAGCCAGGCATGGTGATGCGCACCTGTAGTCCCAGCTACTTGGGAGGCTGAGGCAAAGGAATTGCTTGAACTCGGGAGGTGGAGGTTGCAATGAGCTGAGATTGCGCCACTGCGCTCCAGCCTGGCGACAAAGCAAGAGTCCGTCTCAAAAAAAATAAATAAATAAAAAATAAAAATCAAAGTCTAAGATAAATGTAAGATTTTCGTTAAAATAAAAACAAAAACCAAAGCCTAAGACAGAGCAAACTGAATTTCAACTCAAGACAGTGTTCACTAGTTCTTCATGACTAACAGAATCATTCAGACTGGGAGAAGATTCAGATTCCCACTTTGAGTACACTGAGCAAGAAAGCAGCAGAAGTGGCTTTCCTTTTAAATCCACCAATGCAAAATATCATGACAGAGATGATAAATTCCTCTTCAAAAGGTTTTAATTCCCAGTTCTTCCACTTCGTTTTTCTGGTTTCTGTAGTTATCCATGCTATAACTAACCCTTCCTGCCCTTGCCGCGCCCTGACATGCCTAGACATGTCTTACGCCATAACGCATAGCCTTCCCCTTCCCGCCTAGATATCTGTGTTCAATTACAAACAGCAGCCAATCGAGTCAGTTTAGATTGTGCAGTCCAACCCTAGCCAATAGGGGAAAGACACAACAGTAGGGACCAGCTGTTAGGAATAAGAACCCCTTTCCCTCCCTTGTCCAGTGTGCTCTTGCCATTGCTCCATCCGCGAGACACACCCTTCTACAGAAGTAAATTGCCTTGATGAGAAAACTTTTGCCTGAGTATATTTTCACTTTGTGACACCAAGCATTTACTTCCAACAATTTGGGGGCCCACCCAGGATTCCCATTCTCCTCCGGGGAACCGGTCTCTGGTCACTTCTTGTGGGGAGGCGCATCCCATCGCCTTGTTGCAGTGGCCTCAGTGTGAGAGATTGGAACCCATCCAGTGCAACAAATAAACCCAGACTCTCGGCAACAAGAAAAGATACAGGCCAGCAGCTTGGCAAAAGGATTCTCACATGCTGCAGCAACCAGGTAACTCTGCACAGACCAAGGTAAGAAATGTTGCAGGGGTGACAAAGTATTTCCTTGGTGGTTGGGATATTCTGGAGGATGAAAGTGTGTGTGAATGATCACAAGCACTACTGCTTGCGGTGCTGCTTGTGTGAATGGTACCAAGCACTACTGCTGTGCAGAGTGAGTGGGTCCTATCTGCAGTTCTGTGGTCACTTCATACAGCTTAGGGCGGATCCTGCTGTGGGTTTCATACCGGCATGCCAATGCCAAGAGGGGCCTAAATTCCCACGAGGGAAGTAGCCAGAGTGGACAAAGCAAAAGAAGGATGCAAGGATCCTCCAGGAGGCGGGGTTAAAGGATAGGCAAGAAATCTCTAATACAAGGGACTGAGCCTTAACAAGCCTCCAGAGAATAGGCAAGAAGTCTCTAATACTAGGACCTGACATGGGAAATACCCTAAGCAAGACAAGGAGTAAAAAGGATAAAGGTAGCAGTAAAGATATTGCCCCGATAGTCCCCTAGGTCTCATGTTAAAAGACTGGAAAGATAATGAGAAGACTAAACATAAGCAGCAGCAATTACTGTTTTATTTGGACTCAGGGACCCATCCTCAAACCCTCAATCTTCTGGCCAAAGTTTAGGTCAAATGAGAGTGCGATGTGTCAGCTTTTGATTCAATATGTCAATGATAAAAGCCCAGCTTCTTAAGAGGAAATGGACTATGCTCTTTGTTGGAGGCAGGGACCTGTCCTCCTTTTTCCCTTTGAGACAACTAGGAAAGAACCTGATCTAGCATCACAAAAGGAAAAATTAGGTAAGTTAGTTCCAATGCTCAAAGACTCCAGCACATGGGATCCCCTAGACCATCTTCCCCCACTCAGTGACCCCAACCCCTCTCCTCAGGCAGCCGCTGCTGCCCCAGATCCCACTCTAGATCCTTCACCTACTCATGTTACTCCTCCTCCTTACAATCCTGACTTTTAGAAATTATCATCCCAGGAGCCTGTCCCCTATCAGCCTAAGGACCCCTCCCTAAAGGGACTCCAGTGTGAAATAGAGCAATGTAAAAAGGATATCCAGAACTTCCCTTTCCCCTCTACAACTCAAGAGTCAGCCCCTGCTCTCTTTCCCTTAAGAGAAATGCCATAAAGAGGGGGAACCATTGGCTCCGTGAATGCTCCCTTAATCAGTTCAGAGGTCCAGAATTTAAAGAAAGAGCTTAAGCCACTGCAAGATGACCCTTATGGAGTGACAGATCAAACTGATCAATTTTTAGGACCTCAGTTATACACTTGGGTAGAGTTAATGTCCATCTTGGACATCCTCTTTTCAGGAAAAGAAGGGAGTGTGATTCGTAGGGCTGCTATGGTAATTTGGGAACGTGAGTGTCCTCCCAGTCAAAAAGTTCCTACTGTGAACCAGAAATTCCCCGCCCGAGACCCCCAGTTGGACAATAAAAACATGCAGGACCTAAGGGAGATGATAATAAAAGGAATTCAGGAATCAGTACCCCAAACCCCAAATCTCTCTAAAGCATTTGATATATAACAAAAAAAAAGGATGAAGGGCCTATGAGATTCCTAAATAGACTGAAAGAGCAAATGAGACAATATGCAGGCCTCAATTTAGAAGATCCCCTTGGGCAAGGAATATTAAAACTCCAATTTGTCACTAGAAGATGGCCAGACATCTCAAAAAAAATTACAAAAGTAGAAAATTGGGAAGACCATCTCCTAAGTGAACTTCTCAGGGAAGCTCAAAAAGTATATGTGAGAAGACATGAAGAAAAGCAAAAACAAAAGACAAAACTTATGTTATCCACCTTCCAACAGATGACTCCAAACCCATATACTTCTAAACAGAGCTTCAAGGGGCCAGAACCATAAAGGGTCCAAATACTCCTTTAAAGGACTAAGGACCTTGTTTACCAGGCCCTCTAAAGAGTATGGGGAAGCAAAGTCAAAGAATCCCAGAACTGAGAGGGGGTAAGGGCAAGATAGGTGCTACAAATGTAGAAGAACAGGCCACTTCAAGACAGAATGTCCTGAATTTAAAAAGGAGAAAGAAGCCCTTCCACTCATGACTTTCGAGGAAGAATACGGGGGTCAGGGGCCCTGTCTCTTTTATCTTGAGTCCCACCAGGAGCCCTTGATAAATCTAGAAGCGGGACCTAAGCATGAGCTTATCACCTTTTTGGTCAATTCAGGGGTGGCTCATTCCTGTTTGTTTCCCCCCATCTAATATTGCCTACAGAACTTTTGGTAACTGGGGTAAAAAGAGAAGGATTTAAAGAAAAATTTTAAAAAACACAGAAGTCAGATACCAGGATCGATCAGCTCATATTCAGTTTTTGTTAATCCCTGAGGCAGGGACTAATTTATTAGGGAGGGATTTAATGCTGAAGTTAGGCATAGGCCTACAAGTCAGCCCAAGAGGATTCCTCATCTCTTTAACCTATTCATCACTGCAGATGAAAAATACATTAATCCTAATGTCTGGTCCAAAGAGGAGAACTGAGGGAAACTCCGAGTCTCCCCAGTCCACGTCAAGGTAAAACCCCCCGGGGAAGTTGTAAGGAGGAAACAATACCCCATATCCAGAGGACATGATAGGGTCGAAACCTATAATTAAAGGTCTTATTAAAGATGGGCTTTTTGAGCCCTGTATGTCCCCTTATAACACCCCAATATTGCCAGTCAAGAAATCAGACGGATCATACCGGCTGGTACAGGACCTTAGAGCTATTAATCAAATAGTCCAAACTACCCACCCCGTTGTCCCCAGTTCTTACACCATTCTCAGCAACATTCCATTTAATCATCAATGGTTTACTGTAATAGATTTAAAGGATGCTTTTTGGGCACGTCCCCTGGCTGAAGACAGTCGAGATATATTTGCTTTTGAGTGGGAAGGTCCCCATTCAGGGCGGAAACAACATTATCGATGGACAGTCTTACCCTAAGGGTTCACAGACTCCCCTAACCTTTTTGGTCAAATTTTAGAACAAGTATTAGAAAAAGTTGTCATCCCAAAACAAATATGCCTACTCCAATATGTTGATGATATTCTTATATCTGGTGAGGACATACAGAAAGTAACTGGCTTCTCTACACATATTCTTAACCATTTGCAGTTCAAGGGGTTACGAGTCTCAAAGGAAAAGCTTCAGTATGTGGAGCCTGAAGTTAAATATTTAGGCCACTTGATAAGTGCAGACTAGGGCCCGAACAAGTTGAGAGAATTGTGTCCCTACCCTTGCCTCAAACTAAACAAGAACTCAGGAAATTTTTAGGGTTAGCTGGATGTTGCCACTTATGGATTAACTCATATGCACAGTAAACTTTCATATCAAAAACTTCCCCAGGGGAAGCCTGACCATCTCCTGTGGACTTCTGAGGAAGTCGATCAGGTCAAAGAGCTGAACGAAAGGCTCATAACTGCCCCTGTCTTAGCCTTACCTTCCCTAGAAAAGCGTACCACCTTTTTGTGAACATGGATAATGCGGTAGCTTTGGGAGTGCTTACTCAAGAACACAGTGGCTGTCGGCAGCCCGTGGCCTTCCTGTCAAAAGTCTTAGATCTAGTTACTTGTGGATGGCCTCAATACATCCAATCCATTACAGCTACAGCAGTATTGGTCAAAGAAACCAAAAACTTAACCTTTGGAGAAAAATTGACAGTAAGCACGCCCCACTAAGTTAGAACTATCTTAAATCAGAAAGCAGGGAGGTGGCCTGCTGACTCAAGAATCTTAAAAGTATATGAGGCTATTCCGTTAAAAAAAAAAAAGCTGATTTAACATTAACCACTGATAATTTGCTTAACCCAGCAGGTTTCCTAACAGGGGATCCAAATCTAAAGAAAAAACACACAGGTTTAGATTTAATCGATTACCACACAAATGTCTGACCAGACCTAGGAGAAACTCCCTTCAGGACAGGAGGACACTTATTATAAATGGTTCCTCCCAGGTGATTGAGGGAAAAAGACACAATGGGTATTCAGTAATTGACAGAAAAACTCTCAAAGAAAGAGAGCCAAAAAAATTGCCCAGTGATTGGTCTGCCCAAACTTGCGAGCTGTTCGCACTCAGCCAAACCTTAAAGTACTTGCAGAACCAGAAAAGACCCATCTGTACAGATTCTAAGTACACCTTTTGAGTGGCTCATACATTTTGAAAAATTTAGACTGAACGAGGCCTCATTAATAGTAAAGGTCAAGACCTTGCTCATAAGGAGCTAACCACTCAAGTATTGAATAACCTTCAGTTGCCAGAAGAAATACCTATTGTCCACATCCCCAGACACCAGAAAAGCCTTTCTTTCGAAAGTCGAGGAAATAACCTAACAGATCAGATAGCCAAACAGGCTGCCGTTTCCTCTAAAACACCTATTTTTCACTTAACTCCTTACCTTCCTCCTCTTACCGTGATCCCCCTTTTTCTTCTAATGAAAAAAAAAAACCCTAATAACAATAGGTGCTAAAGAGAATTCAGAAGGAAAACGGATGTCGCCAAACCAGAGAGAAATGTTATCCAAACCCCTTATGAGGGAAATCTTATCCTAACTGCATCAAGAGATCCATTGGGGGCCCCAAGCCATGTGTGACGGAGTCCTCAGTTTATGGGAGCACAGAAATTTATACCCTGGCCAAACAGGTTACAGACAGTTGCTTAGTTTGTAAGAAAACTAATAAACTATAAAAAGATTACCCCTTATGGGAAGGAGTCCAGGCTTCAGTCCATTCCAAAGTATCCAGATTGATTACACAGAGATGCCTCCAACAGGGCGTCTAAAATACATACTAGTGACAGATCACCTCAGTCACTGGGTCGAAGCTATCCCTTTTCAAATGCAACAGCCAATAATGTAGTTAAAGCCTTTACTAAAAATATAGTGCCTAGGTTTGGGTTAATAGAAAATGCTGACTCAGACAGTGGAACCCATTTTACCACACACATCATTAAAAAGCTATCCCAAACACTAGACATTAGATGGGAATATCATACTCCTTGACACCCACCTTCATCACGGAGGGTAAAAAGAATGAATCAAACTCTGAAGAACCACTTAACCAAGTTGGTTCTGGAGAATTGATTACCATGGACCAAATGTCTTCCTATTGCCCTGTTAAGAATCCAAACTGCCCCTTGGAAAGATATTCATCTTTCCCCTTACGAGATGCTCTATGGAATGCCTTATTTACACTCCATTGCGGACATTCCTACCTTTGAAACAAAAGACCAATTCCTTAAAAATTATATACTTGGTATATCTTCTACTTTCTCTCCTCTTAAAACCAAAGGTCTCCTAGCACAGGCACTGTCCCTGGAGTTCCCAGTACATCAACATCAGCCTGGGGATCACGTCCTCATCAAAAACTAGGACGAAAAGCTCAAACTGGCCTGGAAAGGACCATACCTAGTGCACCTAACTACTGAAACCACAGTCCAGACAGCAAAAAAAGGATGGACCCATCACACCCGAGTCAAAAAAGTGCCGCCCCCTCCAGAGTCATGGGCCATAGTCCCAGGGGAAAACCCTACCAAACTAAAGCTAAGGAAAATTTAACTCTCTTTCATCTATTCTATTACTCCTTCTTCTTTCCTCTCTATTGCTGATCACCTCATTATTAATGTAACCGAGTCAATTTCGCCTCAAACTATTATATTTGATGCTTGCCTTGTTATACCCTGTGGAGACTTGACACGTCGAAGCAGCTCTCCACTCCAAAAAAGTACCTCTGTCCTTCCTGGCTCTGCTCAGACTGGATATTAGTGAATCGGGATCATTTAGTCTGGAAAGGTTTCAATAAAGACCCCAATGTCAACTGGGAGTATTGCCCCCCACACCCCGCCAAGACAGAGCTTTTATGCTGCAGTTGGTCCAATGTTCTGTAGACCAATAAAGAGCACAGATGGACTGCCCCAACCAGTAGTTGTAAACGTTCTGTAGACCACTAAAGAGCACGGATAAACTGCCCCAACCAGTAGCTGTAATTTCCTAAAGCCATACATTCACTTTACTAAAGAAACAGCTTCCCCTAGCTGTGAGCTAAACCAGTACTGTCCAATACAGGTTATTATCTCAAACCCTCCAAGTTCTTCCCCTTCTATAAGCCGGTTCCCTTCTTTAAGCCAGTTTTATGGCATGGGGGCTGAGGTTTCAGGAACAGAACCTATTGGATCCTTTGAAATATGCTGCATTGATCCCCTACTGCCTACACTTTCCCCTAAGCCTTCTTCCAAAACCTCTCACAACAAAACTATTGCTCCTCCTCCATCTAATGAAAAGACCAAGGTAGCTATTGTAGAAGTTAAAGACCTAAAACAAACTTTGGCAACTGAGACAGGATATCAAGATGTGAATGCTCTTAAATTTAAAACTCGAGATCAAATAGCTGCAGGATTTGAGTCAATATTTTTGTGAGTGACAACTAATAAAAACGTAGATTGGATAAATTACATTTATTATAATCAGCAGTGGTTTATAATTACACCACGGATGCTGTCAAAGGGTAACAGAACAATTGGGGCCCACTAGCCAGATGGCCTGAGAAAACAGAATGGCCCTAGATATATTAGCCAAAATAGGGGATGTTTGTGTTATGATTAAAATTCACTGTTGTACCTTTATCCCAAACAACACTGACCCCACTGGGAACATAATAAGCGTCTTACAAAGACTTACCGCTTTATCCAATGAACTAACTAAAAATTCTGGAGTCGATAACCCTTTCTCAACATGGCTAGAGAGGTAGTTCAGTAAATGAAAAGGAATCATAGCCTCAATCCTTCTCTTACAGCCATTATAGGTGTGCTCATTCTTACAGGATGCTGTATCATACCCTGTACTCATAGTTTAGTGCAAAGACTTATAAAAACAGCTCTCACCAAAACCTTCCTCAGCTCTCCTCCACCTTATTCAGATAAACTCTTCCTTCTCCTAGACATGCATTGTGTCATAATGGATAGCCTTTCCCTTCCAGCCTAGACAGCTGGGTTCAATTTCAAACATTAGTCAACTGGGTCACTTTAGATTGTGCGGTCCAACCCTAGCCAGTAGGGGAAAGACACAACAGTGGGGACCAGCTGTGTTAAGAATAAGAACCTCTTCCCCTCCCTTGTCCATCTCACGATTGCTCCATCTGCAAGACACACCCTTCTACAGAAGTAAACTGCCTTGCTGAGAAAACTTTTGCCTGAGTGCTATTTTCACTTTGCAACACTGAACATTCACTTCCAACAATCACATCTCTAATAACTGCTAAGTACAACTAACTTGCTTAAAATAAGTGATACATAATGTACAAGTACTTGACCAGACAGCGAAAGAAGGCAAATACAGGTTGAGAGGCCTTTATACAGAATGCTTGACACCAGACTGGGATTTTTTCAGATTTGCAGATATTTGCCTTTTTACCTACTGGTTGAGCATCCCTAATTCAAAAATCTGAAACATTCCAATGAGCATTTATTTCGAGTGTCATGTTGGCACTCAAAGTTTTAGATTTTGGAGCATTTCTGGTTTCCAGATTACAGATACTCAACCTGTATAAAATATTCATAGCCACTAGATTTCCAAATGTACGGAAATACCATAACAACCAAATCAGCAGTTAGAAGACAAAAATGAGTTCAAAATGGCATCTCAGGAATGACCTCCTTGAGAGCAGGGCATACATCACCTGTACACTAGGTACCACACCCAAGATACTTAAATGTGTACTGAATAAAAGAAAAATAAAGGTAAGGAAAAAAATAAGAATGAGACTGATAATTTCTACTTGGAATGTCATCTATTAATTCCTACTTATAAACCTTCACAACATGGACCTATTTCTCTAGGTTAAAAACAGGTTGGGCAAGGCGGCTCATGCCTGTGATCCCAGCACTTTAGGAGGCCAAGGCAGGAGAATCACTTGCGCCTTGGAGTTCGAGACCAGCCTGGCCAACATGGCGATACCCTGACTCTACTAAAAATACAAAAATTACCTAGGCATGTGGCACGCACCTGTGATTCCAGCTACTTGGAGAACCTGGGAGGATGAGGTTGCAGTAAGTGGAGATTGCACCATTGCACTCCAGCCTGGGTGACAGACACTCTGTCTCAAAACAAACAAACAAACAAACCCCAAAATCCCTAGTACACTGCTATGGTGTAGCATATGTACCAAATCTTTTTTTTTTTTTTTGAGACAGTTTTGCTATTGTTGCCTAGGCTGGAGTGCAATAGCGCGATCTCAGCTCACTGAGACCTCCACCTCCCAGGTTCAAGCAATTCTCCTGCCTCAGCCTCCCAAGTAGCTGAGATGACAGGTGTGCGCCACCATGTCCCGCTAATTTTTGTATTTTTAGTAGAGATGGGGTTTCACCATGTTGGTTAGGCTGGTCTCAAACTTCTGACCTGAAGTGATCCATCCACCTCGGGCTCCCAAAGTGCTGAGATTACAGGCATGAGCCACCGTGCCTAGCCTCAAATCTTTACTATCTATTAATACTACTATTAGTCTTATCATGATATTCAACAAGCCTAATTTAAAAATCAAAGGTTAATCTATTGACTTGTTTCCTCTTTTGATCCACTATCTAATGAATACATTCATTGCACTACACAAGCTGTTTCGTTTATGCATATGTGTGTTAACACTAACTTATTTTGATGTTGCCTTTTTCTCCTAAAGAGCAAACTAAAAGAATAAAGGGCCCTAATTCAGCATTTCTCACAAAATGCTAATTTCATACAATGTGCTACACAAAGCAAAACAAATGCTTTATGTGGGAGATTTATGGGGGAGATGGTCAAATAAGACAGAAATACTAAGTAAAAATTGTAAAAGGCTTCTGCAAGACTTCTCATCACTTTAGTAAATATTATGCCTTGTGAATTTCAAAAGGGGAGCAGGGGATGCCGGTCATTCTTCTCAACTGATGTGGTCCTCCTTAGATCTTTCCACACTAAGTTTGTGAATAGATGAGCTCATATTTAAATGAACTGCTATCTAAAGATAATGAAAATAAACGTATTTGTAGTCTCACTATTAACATTTGTCAAAAATCTAACCACATTGAGTCAAGAATTTACAGACATTAGGTCTGAGTTAAGATATTTTTTAAAAGTACTTGCTTGAGTCATCCACATGTACCCAGAAGTTACCCAGATTCAAGAATTATGAGCAGATGACCTAAAAAACAAAAATTCTATCTCTTTTTTGTCACTGGCTAATGCCCAATTCAATGGCATGGATCCTGTAGCTACTCAAAAGGAAGGGTAATTCAGAAGGAACAGCAACAAATAAATTTGTCAAATCAGTCAGGTAAGTCTAAGGTACCAATACACTAAATTTCTCTGCAAGGCCTATATCCTACTTTGTTATTTTTTCCTCTACATTACCTCTACATTACTTATAATACCTTACACAATGTAAATGCTATAAAAGTTATTATACTTTATTTTTAAAAATTTGTATTTTTTTGTTGTTGCTTTTTTAAAGACTATTTTCCATCGCAGTTGCTTGAATCTCTGGATACAGAGGGTCGACTGCAAATGGAAATATTTTAGTTTTATTCTCCAAACAAAAATTATTTATTTCATCTTATTTATCTTCCATTTTTGTCAAATGAAAAAGTAAGAGTAAAGAGGCAGACACTAAAAACAAGAATAAGTAGTAACAACGTAAAGTCACAAGTAACCACTGGAAACAGTCACATTTAACACTGACTGACTTATGGGCTTATACTGCAGGAAAGAATACCTGTGTATTTGTTTCATTCATTCAACAAGTATTTTACTGAGCACCCATGATGTGCCAAGAACTGTGCTCAGCACCTATAGGCTTCTTAAAAAGTACAGAACATAGCCCCTGCCCTCTAAGAGCTTACAATCTATTACTTGTTGGAAAATTAAAGCAAATTAAGAAACCATAAAACAAGTCAATAACTAGGTGCCAAAATAAGTGAAACGGTAAGAGTTATGGGTAGATTACAAATATTTTCTTTAATAATCTGAAGGGGAGGTATATGTTGGCAAAAGTCATTTTTGAGAAACTTTTGGAGAAGGCAGGACTTGAAATAGTACAACATAGGTAAGCAAAGCAAACTTCATGGTGATACTGAGCTGGGGGCAGGAGGGTAAGAAGAACAGCCTAAGTTTGAAGTTGTGAACTAATATAATCACTCAAGACACCGTGAAAAGACCAGCCTAAGTTCAAATTAGGGAGTGTAAAGACATGCAGCCTTGAATCCTGCTTTGACATGTACTATGGGGAGGTTCTTTAAAGTTAAGCTGTGGAATTTAGATACTATGTTATAGGCACTGAAAGTACTGGAGATTCTTGGGCAAGGAGATAACACATTGAAATCTAAAATTTGTGGGGGCAGGGGGGCATCCTTGAAGCAAGAAAACCAACTCAACTCAAAAACTGTTGAATAACCTAGGCATGGGAGAGTGACGACTTGGGCTCATGTGGTAGCAGGAACTGAAATAAAATAAGATCTATTAGAGCCAGCCTTACTCAATATAGGAGCAAGAAAATCAAACTCATTTGTAAAAAGCAATTATTCATTTATCAGTTTACTGACCAAAGACCAAAAAAAAAAAGCACTGAATAAATAGAATTAGGGAGGCATTACTAAAGGAATTTTCTGTTCTTTCCATATCATCCCATAAAATCTGATATCTACTCTTATCAAATGATCTGAACTGAATCATAGGATGTTAGAGCTGAAAGGGACCTTAACTCAATTACTCTACTCTTCTCACTGATAGAGGAAAATAAAGACTCAAATAGGGAGGAAAAAAAAAGAGCCAGCTAGCATGACTCTGGGGCAAAGGCATAATCATCTGTGATAAAGATGGCAGGACCTGCATGTCCTTTGTGTAGAAAACACAAAAGACATGAAAACAGTATTTACTATGGACACTGAGGAAGAAGACAGCCTCACACATAATTTTATTGATAGAAATCTCTACAGAAAATCTTTATTTTTTTGAGATAGGGTCTCACTTTG
Source organism: Homo sapiens (assembly GCF_000001405.40). Lineage (NCBI taxonomy): Eukaryota > Metazoa > Chordata > Mammalia > Primates > Hominidae > Homo > Homo sapiens. Next base: position 152,712,900 of record NC_000002.12, read on the forward strand.
TCACCCAGGATGGAGTGCAAGGCGTGATCTTGACTCACTGCAGCCTCGACCTCCCAGGTTCAAGCAATCCTTCTGCCTCAGCCCCCTAAGTAGCTGGGACGACAGACGCACACCACCACACCCAGCTTATTTTTAAATAGTTTTTGTAGAGATGGGGTTTCACCATGTTGCCCAGGCTGGTCTCCAACTCCTGAGCTCAAGCGATGCACCCGCCTCAGCCTCCCAATGGGAAATTTTTGAGTACTGCCATCCAGCAGGGAAAATTCTTTATCTTTCTTTACTAACATTTAACCAGTGATCCTCAAAGCATCTTAAATCACATATTATTTAAAGCTTAAACAACCTGTAAGGTCCCTTTCAGCTATAAGATCCTATAACTCTAAAAGTATGACTTTCCTATAAAGTTATATAGAATAAGAGGCAAATTTAATCTACAAGATAGAAAACTGAAATAAACCTGAAAGAATATTAAGCTCAATTTGATAATCATCAAATATTTATTACTACTAAGAGTCAGCCTAAATGCATGAGATGGCACTCTAGGTCATCTCATGAATTAAGAAAAAAAAAATTTGAACACACCACTTCTTTAAGCTAAATAGCTTGATGCATTTGAGAAATTATGAACCCTGGCTTCCGTACATCATTATGCTACCCAGTCTGCATATTATTTTACAAACAAGTTTTACAGTTTCATGTCATATTGGTAACATTCCAAAGACCACAATTATTTGGCAAGTAAGACTGCCACCAATTTTAGTCTTTAGCTAGTCCCAGCATGAGATGTTCATGCAAACCAGTCAACACATGAAGGTTTTTATAACCTTCAGTCCCAAAGTCTAAAGAATTTGTGAACTGACTTTTTTAAATTGCATGGCAGAACCCTCCCAACTGTCACTACTGTGAATGATACAGACAGACATCCTGCTTCTTCTCAATTATCTTCTGACCACTTATTCCTCCTGAGTACTTCCAAGAGTGGCAGAAGAAATAATGCAGGAAAAAGGATCAATTGTCCTATTTATTATCACCTTTAATTTTTAAAGCAATGTTTACAGAGTTTCAAATATGATTTCTGATTTGAGAATTCAAATTATCCATGCTCTCCCAGTCTGTTATAAAGCTAAAACAAGAATTTGTTTTACCAAGATTTGGGACCCATATTTGTTAGTGAAATATTAAGGGGATAAAAGGGAATTATATAATTCTGACAAAAACAGCGGAGATTCTTTTGGGACTTTCAGGGCATAACTCCTACTAAAACATTTATTTATTATACTAACAGGAGCCTTCAGAGGGAGAAGAATTCTAAACATCTAAATAATTAGGTCTACTTAAAGGCACGTGGCATATATTAGCCTAGGAAAAAGTAGAAGAAAACCACACCAAAAAAATCAGTTATTTGAATGGATGTGTACCGAGTAGCAAGTAAACTTACTAGAAAGATGGTCACTGATACAGCTAAAGAGAAAGGGCCATAAAGCAAACTGTGACCAGCTTATGTCAATGAGATACATGAAAGTACTTTTAAAAAATAAAATCTGCATTTTTTTTTTTAACTAGAACTATGACTAGCTGGTATCTTGGTTTTGGTAGTGCAATAGCACCATTACAGCAAGGGTAAGCAGGTCAATCCCTTGCAAAACTTACCTTGATTGGCCCAATGGAAACAGAAGGCCCCAGAAAAGAGAGAAGCATCTGGCAGTAGCAAATTGTTTTATTTTATCTTTCTGTGGAAAGAAACTAATTTTAAATAAGAACCAGAGCATTTAAAGAATAAATATTTTTAAAGCTCATTATCTAGTTAGAGCAGCTCTACCAAGAAAACAAGAAGAGCTCCTTGCTCCTTAGAGATGGAAAGAAACAGAAGAGGAATCAAAGTTGTTTCTCCATCACCTAGAGAGTTTTAAAATTTGTGTTATTCTAGAGTAACAGAATAAAAGGCTCTTTTATTTAAAGAACTCCTGCAAGCAGAATCTTTTGGGGCTGGTGCCTTTGAATAAAGGTTTTGTTTTGTTTTTTAACAAAATTAAGGGCAATATTCCAAATTAAAAAAAAAAAGAGGAAAATCACTGGACATTAAGCCCTTCTACTCTTAAGGTTAAGTAAAAAGAGACAGACACATAGCAAGCTCCTTTTCCCACTGCAATTTCACCAATAACTTTAACCATGAAAGCTTAAACAATTATCAAACAGTACTAATTAGCAAAAGATCACATGAAATTGGCTTCCAAAATATTTTGTTAGCCTAAATTTTTGATGATTTATGGAAATACTCAAATGGAAATAACCCAGCCACCTAAAGATCTATTATAGAACTTAACATGAAGCACAAAATTACTCATGGTAACTGAACCTGTTACCTTTCTTGGATGCTTCTCTAGAAACTCAGTTCTACCGAAATCACTGAATCAGCATTAAAACCTTTTGATCCAAATCACTCCTACAAAATGTCCATTTACAATTTATGCTAGAGATGGAAGGGACAGCTCATAAGCAGGAGTGTAGAAGCAACAAGCATTAAAAAAAAATAGTATAAGTGGAAAATGAACTACCTATTGGCACTGTCCTATGAAGAATCAGAATTATAGAGCACAAACTCCCCACCCTCCCTCACCCTCCTCCAACACACAAAGAGGAAGATATTTCAGGAATAAAATTCGCTCTAAACCAAAACAATAGCTATTTTCAGATTCTATTTATTTACATGGTCTACCAAAATCAGTTATGTTGCTGTATCAGATAATATTTACTTAGACCATCAACTTCAATTGGCATTCTTGAAAAAATAATCATTAAAAATAAAAGCCTGGATCCACACTTTACTTTTAAATAATAAAGAAAAAAATTCTTAGTTTTGAGGTCATCAGTAAATTTCTCAGAAGACTTTTTCATTATTTAAATTTCTCAGAAGACTTTTCCATTATTCAAATTTCCGTTACAGTCATGATTTAACATTTGGCTTATTTGAAATTATTCGGGCATAAACTAATCATTAAACAGCTATAACTACTGACCTAGATTCTGAAATCTTGATAGAATACCTGAGGCAAAAACAAATAAATAAATGCAAAATAAAACAAAAACAGTCTTACTTGTCCCATTGGTGGCCCTCCCATAGGGGGCATCATCTGCGGCATCATTCCATGAGGTACAGGAGGCATATTCGCTCTCTGACCCATAGGGTGCATTCCCATTGGGGCATAATGCATGCCAGGGTGCCCCATCTGAAAAACAGTGAACATTTTTAAATGAGCAAATAATACTAAATGCTTCTCAAAAATCTCATTTCAACAGATCAGTTATCTGAAGCGACATAATATTAAGCTTATGTGTAATAACATCATTGGATTAGTCTATACCTTGTTTCAAACAAAACGCATTCTGCTAGTATTTAAAACGAGCTTGCAAATTCCGTAAAAAAATGGGAAAAGTTAAGATGAATCCTGGACCGCTGGATCATAGGTTTTCTCTCTCTTTTTTTTAAGCACTGACTTAACCAGCTACTAATTGGCTTGCTAAGCTTGGAGGATACACATTGAATACTAATTTTAAAACTGTTATGGTGAAAACAACAACTCTCCTATTTCATGCAGATATAAAAGATAGCCAGCTATTGTTATTTTATAACACTACTGATTTTAAACTTTAAAATGCTCTATCCAATTAACTCAGGTGAGAGTCGGTCTTACAAAACACAAACAGTATGGCTACCCAGGCACAATTCACTCCTAACAAACTTATTTCCTAACATAACCTTTAAGACAGGTAAAATTCCTTCTGCCAAAAATACATTTTCAAAGACTGAGGTTCTGTCACTCACGGACACTAAATGCAAACAACTAATTCATCCTTTTTAACGCAGTTTAAAAAGACAACTACTTTCTTTACCGATGAGTCCATTGTTCTATGTTTTAAATTAAAACCACCTAATTATCTCCTGCCAATTGTCCCAACAGTTCCCCCTGCAGACCACCCCGACGACTAATGAAAACAAATTTTGGCAGCCGCTGTTAAAGTCTTACAGTATCAAGCCCCTGCCTCCCCCTCCCAGCTAAAATCGGGCCTAAAGCTCCAAGACGCTCACCCCGCCCAAGAGCCAGCACCTTCACCACGCATCTGTCTAGGCCAAGCCCACGGGGAACTTCCAGGGTCTCACATCCTTCTCTTTGTGCATTTCCACCCTCCACTTCTCTCCCTCAGAACATATCCCACCATCTCGAGTTCTTCCTTCGTCCACTCTTATCTTCTTCTCCTTTCGGAGAAAGCTTCCTGTTTCTCACTCCGTTTTTCATTGTGCCGCCTTCCCCCTGCCCCACTGATCCCTTACCGAGGGCCGTCTCCTCAGGAAGCCGTCAGCAGAGACCCAAGAGCCGGAGCAGAGGCTTGAGCCGGACAATCTCCGCTCCCCGTCCCCAGGACCCTGCGAGGGAGGATGGCTCTCCATTTCACTCACCATGAGGCCTCCACGCTCAGCTCCCGTCCCCGGCCTCATCGTCGGGCTCAGACTGCTCCGCCGGCGGCCACTGCCGCTACACATACCAACAAGAAGCGATCTGAGTGGCTGGCGCCCACTGGGGCTAAAGGTTAAAGGCTGCCCTGCGCTACGGGGCGGGATCAGCGGGGCCAACAGGCTGACGGGCTTCCCCGCTGTCCAATCAGAATGCGCCGCCGACACGCAGCTCTGCGGCGATTCGCCCCCAGCCTCAGCCTCACTCGGCGTCGCCTGCATGGGGGGGGGGGAGGAGGAGGACGGAGGAAGTTTCTGCGCCGAGTCCTCCGTCGGGAAAACTCTACCAACTTCCCCAGGGGAAGGGAAGACAACAGTGTCCCAGCTTCCCGAGCTTAGACCGCCTCACCCCGTAGGGGGTGGGGCAGTGGGGGTCTGCCACCTTCACCCTCCCCGCCCGAGTTACGTACGCCCCACAAACCTGAGGCCGCCAGGGGTAGGGTGGAGGGGGCGGGGGTAAGCAGCCTGTAGTGTTAGCGGTGGCTGGGACCGAATGCGCGCGCGCGGTGCTCGAGGCGGAGGGGAGGAGGCGGGGAAGGCGAAAGGAGGGGTTCGGAGGAGAGGGTTCGATCTCCGTACGCACCAGGTGGAGAGCGCGCGCCTGGGGAAGGAGGCGTGTCGAGTAGCGGGAGGGAAGTTGTAGTACGGGTGGGGAGAACCACACTAAAGGGAGATGGGGGTGAGCAGTTAAGGAACCGCGAGAGCGCCAGGTAGAGAGGTGCCCTTAATGGGGGAACCTGGAGAAGAGTGTGAGCGTAGTGGGGAAGAAGGGAGAAGACAAATAGGTTCGGGAATGTGTCTCCGAGGGCGCGAGCGGGCGCTAGGACCCGGCGTCGAAAAGATGAGGCTTTGGGGCTGTCGGGGCGCGCGCTCCCGTTGGTGACGCGGGGGTGGCGGAGGTCTCCGGCCGGGACGAAGCCCCGCAGGGAGTGGATACTCGACAGCCTTCGGCCTCCGCTCGCTTCTCCCTGCGCGCTTTCCTGCTCCCCTTTCCGGCTACAGCCCTGGGGTCGAGCTCTGGTCGAAGCGCATTCCGCCTCTCCTTTGGCCCTGCGGCTTCCTTTGCAACCCGCCGCCCACCCTTGCTCTCCGTGGTTTACCCCTGGGCTCTGAGGCCTGGTGGTAGCGGCCACTGCCGCGGATTGGCTGTTGCGGACCCGGGGCGGGGCAGGTGGGAGAGGCTCGTTCTCCGCGGGTTTCGTTGTGTTTCGCGCCATGTCGTTTGCTGAGAGCGGGTGGCGGTCGGCTCTGCGGCGCCGCGGTCCCGGCACCCCGGGCCCTGTGGCTCGGCCATCGTATTCCTCCTTTACTCAGGGGGACAGCTGGGGTGAAGGCGAAGTCGACGAGGAGGAGGGATGCGACCAAGTGGCCCGCGACCTGCGGGCGGAGTTCTCGGCTGGGGCGTGGTCAGAGCCCAGAAAGCGCTCGGTGCTCCCGCCGGACGGGAACGGGTCGCCCGTTCTGCCCGATAAGCGCAATGGTATCTTTCCCGCGGCCGCGGGCAGCAGAGCCCAGCCTCGGCGGTGGCCGGTCCAGGTCCTCTCTATTCTCTGCTCGCTGCTCTTCGCCATTCTTCTCGCCTTCCTCCTCGCCATCGCCTACTTGATCGTTAAAGGTATTGAAGCCGACGCCTTGAAAGTCTGTCCAGAGTAAAGTTGAGCCAGGGTGTGGCTCTCGTCTCCACCCATCTCCCTTTCCCTCGCGCTAAGCCCTCAGGCTGGCAGCTGCTTTCACCCAGAGTCCTCATTTGCATCTTACTTTGCTCTCCCGCCCTTTGCCTTTTCTAAGTGGAGCGTCCTGATCCATGATCAGGAGACGTATTTTTAAAAAGGATCGTTTGATTAAATGGGTACTCTTGAAGAAATATCTTCAAGTCCTTGAACACTGGGGATGAAATATTGTGAAGATTAAACAAAATGCGAAACACCCACCATTAAAAGGAGACAGTGAAAAGTGCATATAATTAAAATAGGCCATGTTCAATGGCCTTCATCCACAAATAAAGATGTGCTGTCCACCAATTCCTCTACACAGAATCTTGAGGGACAAAGATTTTCATCGCATAGTCCAAATTTCTTCTTTTATAGGTAAAATAATTAGCCTCTCAGTTTTTAAGTTTGTATCCAGGTGTAGTGCACGGAGTTCTGTTGCAGAAAGTATAGTCCACTCGTCCTCTAATAATTTTGTTTTTCTGTCTGAAGTTGAAATATTGGCCGGTTGAAGTTTATTGCAAGGCATACGGTTGTATAATTTAGTTGGCTAGTGTATATTATAGTGGAAAGAAGCAGAGTTAAGTTTAAATTTCCATTCTCACTAGTTTGTGACCTTTGCCAAGTTACTGAAAAAAAAAAAAAAAAAAAAAAAACAAAAGAACTTTGTTGTATGAAAAGCACCCAAAACATTGTCACTGAAGTGTTATTTTTGTACTTCATTAAATATAATTAAATCTATTTAACTCCAGTTTTTATTTGTCCTCATTGCTTCCCAGCGTTTAGTGGGCTACAGATGGCATGGCATCTAAAACCTTACAATGCTTGATTTTCATACAGAAGACACTTTGGCCAGTTGATGTGGGTTTTACCTCTTCATAAAATGGTAAACTGAATGTGCATAAAATGCAAGCTGTCAGTCTTAAATGATTGGCTGCCAATGTTTCATTTATCATTCCCCTCCCCACTTTTTTGCCCTTTTTTGCAATTCTGATAGTTTTGTCTCCTAGGTGGTTTATTTCTGTTTTGCTCGGAGACATTGCCTTTGTATCATAAAGTCACAAAACCATGATAAGTGGAATTCCATTGCAGAAGACATTGAACTGTGCTTATTTGGAAGAATAGAGAAAGGAACTGAACTCCACCTAGTATGCCCTTTAGTGTTTACCACTACCTTAGGGAATAAACAGTACTCTCATCCTATGTACGGTATATAGCTGTTGGCTCCCTTAGTGGTCAACACATTAATTTGCTTGCTGAAGGTCACATAGCTGGTAAATTGAATCAGAATTTGAACCCAGTTCTTTGTGACTCCAGAGCACTTTCCACAGCTCCACAATGCCTTCACAGCCCTTGAGTTACTTTTCAAATTATAGTATTGCTTTCCTACCTAAGTCCCTCTTTGTATTTGCAGAGTTGCATGCTGAGAATTTGAAAAATGAAGATGATGTAGACACTGGACTATTAGGTATGGACTTAATTGCCGCTTGCTTTGGTTTTGAGCTCACGTTTGTGTTTCTAGATCATGTTTGAACTAACTCTGGGATAAAATACTTAATGTATTTCTATGTGCAGTCATTCAGTCTTGTTTTTAATTTGCATATGTTGGTGATAAATGTTATTAGATTTCCTTTATATGTGTGGAGTATGTGTATGCATATATGGTATGTTTGCTATAATTTTTTAATGGGGCCAGGTGCAGTGGCTCACATCTGTAATCCCAACACTTTGGGAAGCTGAGGCAGTAGAATCACTTGAGCCCAGGAGTTCCAGACCAGTCTGGGCAACATAGTGAGACCCTGTCTCTACAAAAAATAAACAGAATTAGCCAGGCATGGTTTCACTCATGTTTGTAGTCCCAGCTACTTGGGAGGCTGATGTGGGAGGATCACTTAAGCTGGGAAGTTCAAGGCTGCAGTGAACCGTGATAGTTACACTGCACTCCAGCCTGGGCGACAGAGTGAGACCCTGTCTGAAACAATAATAATTTTTTTAATGGGTACTGGTATGTGTATGTACCACACACACTAGTAATACATTTTAAACACAACTGCATGTGACTCAGGTCCAGAGAAATATTTAACATTTTCTAATTACCTTCTGGAAGAGGCTTCCCACAGCTCTTCTCAGGAATTTAAAAACAAAAGAACTTCCTCACTATCCTAGCAAAGGTAAATAATGTCTTATGTAGGCTTCAGGAGGAATTTAAGTTCAAATATCTTTATGTGCAGCTTTTTTTTTTTTTAAAGCATTGACCATCCTTGCACAGGTAAATGACTAGGAGAGTCAGACCTCAGTTTCTGCAGTGTCTGTAGAATGCTGTAGTTCACAGGTTTCCAGTGAAAAAGGTTATTCTATATTTCTCTCCACCAAAATGATTCTGAAGAGTTGAAAACTTTACCTGTCCAGCATATTTTACTCCTATTTGCTTTGATCACTCTAAATTGGGGAGGGGAGATCAAACTTAATCACTCTACATTCGATCACATGAATCAAGTCATTTGATGTGATCACTTTAAATTAAATCATTTGATTTGATCACTGTAGATAGGTGGTTGAGACACTATGACACATGTCCTCCCCTCTCCCATTCTTTCCTAAACTCTCTAATCTACCACTTTATGGCTAATCACCCTTATGGTGACACTAAGTATAGTGTACCTTATTTCAGCAGAAGGGGAAACATGAACCCTTTATCTTCAAATTGCAAAGAAGTTGGTTTCTTAGATATTGCATGGAAACTTTTGTCTGTTCTTGTCAACATCTTGCATGAGAAAACATACTTTTTAGTTACTCATTTTATCAGTGTATGTTTTTACATTGTTTTATCTCTAGAAATAAGCCAAGATTATTAGGCTTCTCAGAGCTTTTATTGATCTGTCACCTCTTGATGCAGTGGAAACAGAATCTTATGAATTAGGCATGAATTCTAAACCTTTTGCTGTTTAAAAGTTGTCCTGATTTCTCATTTAGGAGTAGAATGACGGGCAGTTGTTATCTGAAGGAATGGCTTGCTCAATATCAAAAGGAATGTGATAGGTCTTTTGACATGGTCCTGCTTCCTTTTCCACTTAGGGTTAAATAATCCCATGTTGCTTTTAGGTATGCATGATAGATACTTAATATTTTTACAGCAAATAGGAAAATCATTAAGATTTTGCTAATGGCATGAATTTATTGTCAAGAGTCAGGAATGAGCAGAAAGTGTTGTATCTTTATGGTGAAAAAAACCCAACAGCTATGCCAAAACAAAGCTCATTATTTTGAACCAATGGTCAGATGAGCTCCAGTGGTCAGATGGAGAATAAAAATAGTTAATATCATTTAATGGGCTAATTCAATCAGTTTCCTGGGGGTTAATTTTAAAGAATAGTTATAGCAGATGTATGTATTATAACATATGGATAGAGAATAGTTGTCTCTACCAGAAGAGGATTCTTAAAAATCTGTTTCAGTGAAACAGGGCCAAGATGATTAAGCTCTTAATAAGATTGAGGTGATCGGCCACGCGCGGTGGCTCACACGTATAATCCCAACACTTTGGGAGGCCGAGGCGGGTGGATCACTTGAGGTCAGGAGTTCGAGACCAGCCTGAACAACATGGTGAAACCCCGCCTTTACTAAAAATACAAAAACAAAATTAGCTGGGCATGGTGGCACAGGCCTGTAATCCCACCTACTCGGGAGGCTGAGGCAGGAGAATCACTTGAACCGGGGAGGTGGAGGTTGCAGTGAGCCAAGATTGCGCCACTGCATTCCATCCTCAGCAACAGAGCAAGACTCCAACTCAAAACAAAACAAAAGATTGAGGTAATTGTGGCAACACCTGCCTTTTTTTCTAAGCTGCAATTCTCTACTGTTTTCAAGAAAAATACAAGTTAGCCTATTTACAGAATGTTTTGAATTGACTCCTGTCCTCTGGTTAAAACTCCTCTTGAGATAATTGATAGCTGAAAAGGTAGGATGGTTCTCTCAAACTTGACTTCCATCTAAATCAACGCTGAGTTGATTAACTTAGATATCAAGAAAAATTGCCTCATTAGTTTACCCCTGAGGAGATGCCTATGAAGTTACATCCTTTTTACAATTAATAAGACAGTTTTCACATGAAGAAACAATTTGAAATATTTAATAAGAAAATGTGTTGAAGTCATCCATTACGTTTGGGAAAAGTACCATGCAGCCTTTTATCAGATGATAACGATTTTATTATATTTCACTATTTATTTTGCCCTGTTTATTAGGAACCTCGTAGCCAAATGTAATAATGTTTGATTGTTTTGTATATTACTCTTTATTTCTTGGCATACTTATTATTGCCCACACATGCTATTATCTTAATATTTCCGTGACTCATATTTAAAATTTACTGCAAATTTCCTCATTCTTTGTTTGAAAGTAGGTTGGTTTTTAGAAAAAGCAACGTGAGCACAGTAACTGCTCTACCATGAAAGAGTTCTCTTTCTTTTTCTAGACAGACTGACAAAAATTTTGTACACTGCAGAATTTAATTGCAATTTAATCCTAGTCCAAGATTGGCATGGCAGTCAGTAAGAACAGATTATAGCAGCAATTCTCATTTTGGTATGGGTAACAATCACTTGGGGACTTGCTTTTTTAAAAGCACCTGTAGATTTTGTTTTGGCCATCATGATTTCGTGATACAGAACATTAGAAGTGTTAAAAAAAGTCCAAGAGAAAGGATGTGTGGGAGGTGGCCCATTCTCTTAAAAAGACACAAGTTGAGTAAAACTCAGTTTCATCCTTACAATGAAAATTGATTGAAACTCTGAACTTGAACTTTTTAGCCAGTGTGTGGACTTTATAATTTGAACCTATACTCTATTAAGAAAGTGTTACAGTGCTATCTGTGGCTGGGTGGGGTAGCTCTAATATTTCATCTAAAAAGTCACAAATATCCTATTCTATAGCACAATTTTTGTAAAATTGTCTTACCTATTTGTATTATTCAAGAAATGATGACTAAGGCCAAAAAAAAAAAAAAAAAAGAGAGAAAGCCAAAAAGGACTGGAAGGATATAATCAAAATGTTAGTTTATCTGGGTTTCCGAATTGATTGGTTGTATTTATTATTTTTATTTTCTACAATGTATAAGTGTAACTTGCAATAAGAAAAACTTTAAGGGAAAGCACAAATTTAAGTTTAGAGAATAATGTTTCAGTAATTAACAATAACACCATTTATTGCACTTTTACAATATGCCAAAAGCCATTAATTTGTGTGTTATTTCCTCTAGTATTCTCAACTACACTGTATCCATCAATGTTATTTTCTTCTAAACCAAAACTCAAGAAAGTATGTATTATAATTTTTATACCATAGATAGTCTAGGTAGTATAGCAAGGCAGAAAAAGAATGGGTTATCAGCAAGAATTAGCCATGTGCAGCTAAATTATTAGTCATGAAATTATTACAGGACTCTTCTTAACACATAAAAGCAGTAATAAGAACCAGACATTAGGACCCCTAAATCTCAATAAATTGAGTTGACATTGTGTGGTACTCTGTAGTCCAACTTTGGTGGTTGGGAGGGACGTTTCTTAGGCTAATGAAGTCAAAAGTTAGCTGGCATCAGAATCACCTGAAAGATAAATTTTGCTGCTCTTCACATGGTGCAGAATATCTGACTCAGTAGTGTGAGATGGAGCCCAAGAATTTTCATTTTTGACAAGTTTTGAGTTGATGCTCTGCATGCTGCTAGTTAGGGGGCTATATATACTTTGAACACCACTGGCCTAGTAGTTCCCAAACCTGACATAAAAAAAAAAGCAAAAAAACGAAGACCCTGGAGATTTTCTTTTTTTGCTTTTACGGAATCTTAGACCCTATAATTATCTACTGAATCGAAGTAACTTAATTGGCTGTATGTGTCAGTGTACACTGTACAATCAGGGCTCATTGGACCATTTTTCATTTCTGAATTATTTCGAGCAGTTCTGTTTGTAAGGATTGAAATTTCATGACTTATTCTTTCTTAGGGATCTTCAAAAGAATAAAGAAAACTGAGCTATATTTCTCATAAAGTTTATTTGATCTTGAAATTACCACATTGGTCTATTGGACATTTTTTAATTTTGAAATACGTTTTGGGATTTTAGTGGTCACATATTGTTCTTTCTCAAAACATTCTCCTATTTCATTATTTTAGTATTACTCATCAATTCTCAACTATGGTCGAAAGAATAAAATAATTATGATGGAATTAGGATTCCAGTAAGACTTTCCTAAGACTTTAAGTATTTTTTTCATCTTTTATGAGGTCTGCATCCTAATTTATTTGATACTGTTTGTAAGTGGACAGATGCTAAGGGCAGATGTGTATACAAAGGTGATTTGGAAAAAAAAATGCAAAAAAGAATTATTGGGTTGACCATTTGAATTGTTTGTAATCTAAAAATGAAAATATGTTACAAATTATGGAGCAAAGAAGATTGTTGTCCTCTTTTCGTCAAAATAAGCCATGAAAGGCTTAAAAATTCCTTCAAACATTGTGTTTTAATGACGCAAGTGCAAAAAAAAAAAGCAGGAATAATGACAAGCTGTAACCAATTTGAGATGTATCTGAAATCTGGAAGTGGTATTTACAAGATGGATATGTTGTAGATTCATACATGAAGTTAGTAAGCAATTATTTGCACTCAGGTCGTGCCCATTTTTGGTGTACATGACTTTAGGGAAACTGGGAATTGAAATTCGGATTTGCTGTATTTATTTCTTATGAAAATTTTTAACAAAGTTTTTTTCCTGCTGTCTTTTTGCTCTCTAAATTATTCTTCAAGTGTCATGAAAATAAAGGAAATAAAAAAGCCTCTTTGGACTTATATGATAAAAATATTGATGACTGTTTTCCCTGTTATACTGAAGATTACAAGCTTCAGAGGAGAATATAAATTTAACAGGATTGCCCATGAATTAATTGTTTAAAGCTGGATGATGGGTATATGAGTTTTATATACTTCTCTCAACTTTTTCCTGTGTTTGAAATGATCTGTAATAAAAGTGTTGGGTTTTTTTTTTAATTTTCCCATGTGAATCTAATGATTTACCAATGTTGGGAACTACAGGTGTTATTTATTTTTGAAATTTCAGTCACTTAATCTGTCAGAGGATCACCTTCCTCATCTGTTTCAACAGAAAGATGTAGAAATGCTACAGTCTGGGTTGCAGGTGGTCGGGCGATTGGGTGAAGGCCTTAACCAGTGTAACTGCTATAGCTACCATGCACTCTGCACCCACTATGCTCATGTTGCATTGGCAGGAGAGGAGAGAGCACTTTCCTCTGCTCCTGCACTTGGCTTTGACGTGTAAAGAGACACTTTGCTCTAGGGATTTAAAGACTTGAGCTATCTATAGAATGTGATTTAGAGAGGATACCAAATTATTTAAAATAATGGTCATCCTCTCAAGTTAGAAAACTATAGAATCTAATAAAGTTGAGAACATTTGCTTACATAAACATTTAAAAATTGATGGTTAGTTTCATGCATATGATACATCTAAGTTTTATTAGTAGCCAGCTGGTAATAGTTTTTACAACTTTTAAAGTTAGCTAAGTACAGCCATACACCACATACCATTTTGGTCAACAGTGGTCTGCATATATGCCTGTATGATGGTGGTCCCATAAGATTACAGTGGAGCTGAAAAATTCCTATTTAGTGGCATTGCAACTGTCCTAACTTGGTAGTACAATATATTGCTCACATGTTGGTGTTGATGCTGGTATAAACCAACCTATTACCAATCTAGTTTTATATAACCTTCCAGTCATAAAAAAAAATACAGCACAATTACGTGCAGTACATAACATAATTCTTGATAAACAATTATGTTACTGGTTTATGTATTTACTATGCTTCTTATTGTTTTAGATTATATTACTTCTGCTTAAAAAAAGTTGACTGTAAAACAGCCTCAGGCAGGTCCTTCAGGAGGTATCCCAGAAGAAGGCATTGTTGTCATAGGAGATGACAGTTTCATGCATGTTGTTGCCCTTGAAGACCTTTCAGTGGAAAAAGATGTGACAGTGAAAAACAGTGATATTACCTTGACCCTATGTAGGCCTAGGCTAATGTGTGTGTGTCTTAGATTTCAACAAAGAAGTTTAAAAACTAAAAAATTAGAAATAGAAGCTTATAGAGTAATGGTATAAAGAAAAAACATTTTTGCACAGCTGTACAGTGTCCTTTTGTTTTAAACTGTTAGTAGAAAAGGGTAAAGTTAAATTTTAAAATTTATAAAGTAAGAAAGTTACAGTAAGCTAAGGTTAATTTATTAATGAAGAGAAAAATTTTTTAATTTAGCGTAACCTAAGTGTACAGTGTTTATAATAGTCTATTGTAGTGGACAGTAGTGTCCTTGGCCTTCACCTTCACTCATCAGTCACTCGCTCACTGATTGACCCAGAGCAACTCTTTGTCCTGTAAGCTCCATTCATTGTAAGTACCCTATACAGGTGTACCATATTTTATCTTTTACACTGTATTTTTACTGTACCTTTTCTATATTTAAGTATGTTCAGATACACAAGTACTTATTGTTGTATTACAGTCGCGTGCAGTATTTGGTATAGTAACATGCCGCACAGGTCTGTAGCATTGGAATAATAGGATATAACTGTATAGCTCATAGGTGTGTAGTAGGCTATATACCTAGGTTTTTGTAAGTACGCTCTTGTGATGTACAAACAACAACGAAATCACCTAATGATGCATTTCTCAGAACATATCCCTGTCATCAGTGTATGATTGTATTGTATTTTCATTGTTAGTATCATAAAATGCATTAGTTACGTAAGTAATTTAATCTCACCAGGAAAGATTCCAACAATTAAAGCAAAGGCTTTCACCGATCTACCTGTGTGTCTTTTTACATCTTTTTCTCTTTGTTTACATATGTATAGTCATTTAAAATACATGTTTTTTTCACTGTTATAGGAAAAATATAATTGGAATCATGTATATTTTGCAGCCTTGTTAAAGTGCCTTTTGGAGTATATTCTGTATTAGTATACATAGGTCTACCTCATTTTTTCATGACTGCATTGTATTTCATAATATAAGTATACCAGTTTATTTAAACATTTCAAATGTCAGAATCTCTTACCCAGGACTTGGAAATTACTAGTATACAGTCACGTTTAATCCCATTGTTTACTTATGAAGTTTTATGAAGTGTGTGCAATTGATTGCCTAACACTTATTTAATAGGAAACCTTTCCCTAGTATAGGAACCATGAGAGTTTTGTTTTTTTCTGGTGTATTCTGATTATATATAATATGTGTAAATTGGTGCCTCTGTGTCTGACTTCATAAAACTTCTTGAAAGTTGCCTCATCCCCGTAAGCTAAAACTGTTAAACAAAATGAAAATATTTAGAGCATATAACAGCCTCTTTTGCTGGAAGGTTTTATAGAAATAAAGTTGCCAGCATATTTTTAGAAGAGTAACTGCTCCCTGACACCAGAATGGCTTATTTTGAAAAATAAGCCAAAACAAATATACCCTTAGATAGGTGTCTATAATATTCCAGCAAAGGGATTGGGATAGGAAATTCCTACCCATCCCTGTTTTTGCTTTGGATGAAAACAGTCTTAAGAGGTTTCAATTGATGGAAAAGATTAGTATACATCATTTCATTGGCCAGACGTGGTGGCGTCTGACTGAAATCCCAGAACTTTGAGAGCCCCAGGCAGGCGGATCATGAGGTCAAGAGATCAAGACCAGCCTGGCCAACATGGTGAAACCTCGTCTCTACTAAAAGTACAGAAATTAGCTGAATGTGGTGGTGCACACCTGTAGTCCAGCTACTCTGGAGGCTGAGGCAGGAGAACTGCTTGAACCTGGGAGGCGGAGGTTGCAGTGAGCCGAGATTGCGCCACTGCACTCAGCCTGGCAACACAGCAAGATTCCTTCTCAAAAAAAAAAAAAAAAATTAATATACATCACTTTGGCTGGGCACAGTTGCTCACGCCTGTAATCCCAGAACTTTGGGAGGCTGAGGCGGGTGGAACATGAAGTCAGGAGTTCAAGACCAGCCTAGTCAAGATGGTGAAACCCTGTGTCTACTAAAAATACAAGAATTAGCTGGGTGTGGTGGCAGGCGCCTGTAATCCCAGCTACTTGGGAGGCTGTGCCAGAGAATTGCTTGAACCTGGGAGGTGGAGGTTGCCTGGGTGGCAGAGCCAGACTTTGTCTGTGTGTGTGTGTGTGTGTGTGTGTGTACACACATATATGCACACACATCATTTCATCAACTGATGAATATTGAGCTGTAGAGAAGAACGAAGGATGTGTGTATTTATTTAAAAGCCTGCAACCTTTGGTAGCAGTTATTCTGGAAATTTGTAACATCTATGTCCTTGTACAACTGTACCCTTAAATACAAGAATGTTCCTTGGAGCATTGTTTGTAATAGAGAAAAGCTAGAATTAAAAAAAAACACACACACAACAGAACTGTGGCTGTGGGTGCTGATAGGAAAGGTCTCCAGAATATGTGAAAAAAGCAAAATGCAGAACCATTTTTCTGGTGAGAATCTCACTTGTGGAAAATAAGCTGAGAAGATATATATACGTTTTATATATAACTAGCTTTATATATGTACCTGTATTACCTAGATATGTATATAATTTTTGGAAAGATGCACACCAGACTCTTAGCTGATCACTTTTAGGAATGAAATTGGCAAACTGAGGAAGGAAGAATTTCATTTAATATGCTTTCATTTTTATATTCTTTTTAAAGTTGTTAATTCTTTCTAAGGGCTTATAAAACATCAAAATTTTAGCATGAGGATTCTGCAGGTACTGACTTGTAAAAAATTTAGTTGTTGGGGAGTTACCATTTTCTGTGGCTTTTCTGCTTATTTGCAAATGAATTAGGTAATTTCCCGAATCATAAACACTTCTAGACCACAATATTGCAATGTACTTTTTTTACCCCTATCATTGTGACCTGACTTACCCATGATGCAGCTTCTGATTAGTTTAAAATGAACATAAAATAATAAAAATGCTCAATGCGAAGTAAGTACTTAGATTGTGGAATAGTAATTTTGGAAAAACTCAAGAATATTCTTGTATTAAATTTGACAGGTACCCTATTAAAGCACTCAAGTGAAAAAGTTCAACAGGCTTTAGAAAGCCTCACATTTGATTATTTTTATGTTACTTTGTGTCTTTCCTCACTTATCTAGAAGTTTCATCGTTCTATAGCAGTCCCCAAACACTTTATTTTTCTTAACTATCATCTTTGTTCTGGAGAAGTATGTTAAACTTTGAGTAAACTTGTCAATTATTTTCTCCCCTCTTTAGACATAGTCATCTAAATAATAGCAAATAACAGCTATTTGGCAGTATAGCAACCCCTAAGTTGTAGTTGTAGACTAAATCTTATAATTTTTTTTTTTTACCCTCTATCCTGATAGATTGGTAGGAAGGTTATTCTAAGGTTCTGTTCACCCAATTCCAGGTTGGGTTGAGGTGCTAGAGGTGGATACTGTGCCAGGATATTGGGGTGAAGGTGCAGACTAATCCTCAAGACATTTGCTATAGTGAGTATTGAAGTATCTTTTATTGTGGTCAGGATGGTGTTTCAGATGTGGCAACTTCCAGCCACATGACCATGTGGTGTTTCTATGCCAGGCTTAGGGCAGAGGCATCTGCAGGCTTGGCTCTGTACTTACCTACCAAGATACTGTACACAGCTATACTCCCTGTGTGGTTTTGCATGGGCTTTTCTAGATGCTTTTGTCAGGAAGCCCCAGTAGCACTACTCCCTTTCCCCATTTACACACATAAGTGCAAACATGCATACAACCTACTTTATTTAAACTAAGGAAATCTTTCTCACTTGTCGATAAGCCCCTCACTCTCTCCCTGTTCCACACAAACATTTTATCTGTACTCCAATCAACTCATTGTCTTTGCTGTGCATTCAAGACATATTGTGTTTATCCACACTCCTATCCCTGATTATATCTGTACACTGGTTTCTGTAAATATTGTGCAATGTAAAGTAGAAAAACAGGCTATTTCTTCTTTCTGCTTTGCCACATCCCTCTTCTGGAGAAATGAACACAGAGCCCATTAGCTCTTTAACAGGTGGGAGATGGGAGGAGGGAACTATCAGGAGATATAATTTACCACACTTTCTATTAATAATTCTTCTGAGTCTGTACTTTAACAGTTTTTTCAGTCTGTTACTGAGCTTCACAAGATTTACAAACAGTCCATTGCATGTACTTTTTACCTGCTTCTTGCTAAAATAAGACTGGTGGATAATTTGTATAGTCAGGAAATTTGATAATTCGTAAGTCATCTGCTAGGGTTCTCAACTCTTCCTGTATTCTTGAGGCATGGAACACACTCTCAGAAACCTGTTTTAAAGACGCAGTTTAAAAATGAGTCCACAAAGATTCTGATACGACCTCCTTGCTGCTCCTCTGTTCAAAAAGTACTACCTGACTGAATTTTTTTATTTTTTACAAATTTACTTAGTTCTATTTTGAATAGGTAGAATAGTCATATGGGTCAAAATTCAAAAAGTGTAAAAGAGTATAGACTGAAAAGGCTTACTCTTTTCTCCCAACCACTCTTTCCTCCCTCCTCAGAGAACCAATGTTAAATTCTTACATCCTTCCAGAAATTTTTTAAAATATCTAAGTACAATATACATTTCTTCATATATACAACATATGTATATATGTATGTGTATAATACATATTTTCCCCTTATTTATACAAATGCATAGAGCTGTTCTGAACTTTCAGTTTTTCAGCTCACCAGTATATTTTCAGGATCTTTCCATATCAGTACCTAAAGAGCTTCCTCATTCATTTTTATAGCTGCATAGTATTCTATTGTATGGATGTACTTAATTAACCAATCCTTTACCTTCATTACTGATAATTTAGGTTGTTTTCAATCTATGTTATTATGAACAAAGCTACAGAGAACAATCTTGTATATACATCATTTTATACAGGTTTGTATAATATACAAAGGTATATATATATAAAATTGTATATTATAATATACAGAGATATATTGTCCTAAAGACATATAAAGTTACTGGAGTAAAGAACATATATGTGCATCATTTTAACAGATACTGCCAAACTGCTCTCCATAGAAATTAAAACAATTTACTCTCCAAAACAGCCATGCATGAAGAGTTTCTGTTTATTCACAGCCTCAGCATCAGAGAATGTTATCCAACTTTTTGATTTTTGTCAGTTGATGAAAAAATGATACCTAATTTCTCTGATTATTAATGGTATTGAATTGAGCATCTGTTCATGTTTTAACATTTGTAGTTTTTATTCTGCAATTGCATTTAACTTTATATTTGGATTTTGGATTGCTGGTCTTTTTTTTTATTGGCTTCTAGGAATTATCTGTATTAGCAGGAAATTTTCCCTTATGCTGTAAGTTGCAAAGGTATGTTTTATTTAAAAATTTTTTGTCATTCAATTTGACATTTTATTTTGCTATGCATATATAGTAATATGTGTGTTTACCTATATACAGTTGTCCCTCAGTATCCATGAGGAATTGGTTCCAGGACCCCCTCTGGATACCAAAATCTGGATCCTCAAGTCCTTTATATGAAATTGGATAGTATTTGTATATGACCTATGCACATCCTCCCATTTACTCTCTCTAATACCTAATATAATGTAAATGTTATGTAAATAGTTGTTATACTGTATTGGTTTTGATTGGCATTATTTTTATTGTTGTATTGTTACTTTTTTTTTTTCCAAATATTTTTCATCCAAGGTTGGTTGAATTCCAGATACGGAACTTGTGGATAGGAAGGGCTGACTGTATATAGTTGAAATTCTGTGTCTTATATGAGTCTTGAATTTTTGTATCATGGTTAGAAAGGTCTTTATCTCTCCAAGGCTATAAATGACTTTTCCAGTTTTTCCAATGATTGCTTCTACAACTTTATATTTAGATTATTTGGTACGTTTTAGAATTTAGTCTGGTATAGGGTATCTGGTATGGATCTAACTTCTTTTCCTTTTTGTAAGTGGTCACCCCATTGAATTAGTAACATTTTTTATTAATCTATTTGGGCCTTCTTCCGAATCTTGTGTTCTGCTTCGTTCTGTTGTTTGTTTGTTTGTTTGTTTTTGAGAAAGAGTCTCACTCTGTCACCCAGGCTGGAGTGCAGTGGTGCTGTCTTTGCTCACTGTAACCTATGCCTCTGGATTCAAGTGATTCTCCTGCCTCAGTCTCCCAAGTAGCTGGGATTACAGTCATGCACCACCATGCCCAGCTAATTTTTGTATTTTTAGTAGAGGTGGTTTCACCGTGTTGGCCAGATTGGTCTCAAACTCTTGGCCTCAAGTAATCCTCTTGCTTCAGCCTCCCAAAGTGCTGGGATTACTGGCATGAGCCACCACGCCCGGCCCTGTCGTCTATTTGTATATCAGTACACACCGTTTTAGGTATTCAGTTCCTATACTATTTCAATATTTGGTTGGACTAGTCTCTATTTTTGCTTATTATTTCATGTCAATTTTAGAATTAACTATTATTCTTCCAAGAAAAATATGCTTACATTTTCCATCTGAATTCTGATGTTACCTCCTTAAAGTGGTAACATCTTATTTATTCAAAATAGTTATCACAATATATAGTTATCTTGTTAATTTACTTACATGTTTTATTATCTTCCTATCCCACTAGAATTACTTCATGAAGACAGCAATCTTTTTTATTTTGCTCATCCCTATATCCCCATTACCTAGCACAATAACCAACACATAGTAGCCCCTCAATATAGATTGAGTGGGTGAATAAGTGAGTTAATTTATAAAATTTTTGAAAACTTGACATCAAAATAAAGCTGTACTTCTTACTAAAGGGAGTTGACCACTTAAATATCAGTATTTCCTGTCTTCCTATAACCACAAGAAGAAGTCATTATCCTTTTATTATTATTAATGGGTTATGAATAGTATCCAAAAACCTTTAAATTAGCTTACTCCTTTCTTTTCCCTTTATGCCTCCTATTCTTCTCAACCGTTTTTCCTTAAGTCCATTATAATATTGTTCTTTTGACTTGACTTCTGTGAGAAAATACAGTTCCAAACTCAGTGCGAATAAAATCTAAGGTCCCACACATTTGTAAATCAGGAGTCAACTTTTGTTCATATACTGAGCAAGGTTAAAGAATCAGAATAGGTTTATAATGTTCATAAGAAAACTGTAAAGAGGGGATACCCCCAAATTGAGGCAAGTTTCAAAAGTGCATGGCGTGGAATGAAAGGAATCACTTAGTACTAAATAATAAAGATAGCAAGGTATGATTTATGAAATTAAATGAAAAATCTGATGAACTTTTTTTCTTTTTCGAAGCGGGGTTTCACTCTGTCTCCCAGGCTGGAGTGCAGTGGTGCAATCTAGGCACACTGCAACCTCAAACTCCTGGCCCCAAACCATCCTCCCACCTCAGTCTCCCAAAACACTGTGATTGCAGGCATGAGCCACCTTGTCTGGCCTCAAGACATCTTAAGAGTCTTGTGAAATGTTTTGACCATGTTTTCTGTAGTTGAATTTTATAAAACTGAAGATGTTATGTTCTTGTTGAATTTACCCTTTTTTCCCACGTATTATCATTTAATTAAAATATTCAATGATATGACTTCTAGTTGTGCTTTAGTAATGTACACTTATTTCTACATAAGTTAGCTTGCAATAAGTTCAAATCTCTTAAAATATCAGATCCATATAATTTAGAAGATGAGAAATATACATGATCTGAACATGAGAGTACTGGTTTAATTTAAATTGTTTTGGTGTTAATAATGTACTTTTTCCCCTCTCTTTTCCTGTTAAGGATTCTGGACTCTACTTATAATATCCCTAACTGCTGGATTCTCCTGTTGCAGCTTTTCTTGGACAGTGACTTACTTTGATTCTTTTGAACCAGGAATGTTTCCTCCTACTCCTCTTTCACCTGCCAGGTTCAAGTAAGTATTCCTGTTTCCTGTTTCTTTTTTAAATGCATTTCAACTCTTGAAAATACTAAAATACTCAGAAGCAAGAGGCTGATCGTGAGGTATGTTGAGGTTTCAGTCTTTATAAAGCACTAATAACAGGACTTTTCAGCTTGTAGGCTCAGCCTTTAGATACATGAGAATAATATTTAAAATTCTATATCTAGATAATGCTTTTTTTTCTAAAAACTGAAATTCAGGGGCTTATTTCACAAGTAAGAACCTTTGATGGCTATTTGTCCTTTTGGAATAGAATTTGATTTAAAACAGTTTATAAAGGCAAAATTAATACCAACAATTTGAAAGTTTTACTAGGTTCACACATGGTCAGACTTACAAGAACATAATAATTGGATTGGACTTTTCCTTAGGATTTTAACTTTGTGTAATAATTAGCAAACATTTATGGTACCCAATTTATATGTCTAGACCAGATTGGATGCTTTTCGTAGTGGAACAGTATTAAATTTCTTTGGTCTATATTTTCCATGTTTCAGAGAATTTTAGAAAATTCAGTAGTGTTCTAACCTAGTTTATTCATGCCAGGAAAGTTCCAATTTTAAATATAAATTCCGAAATAAGAACATCTAAGATCTCTAGTTTATTCTGGAAATTTGGGGAGGACATGAAGACAAGAAACTAAATTATATTAAATTTATGTATGTTATTCTAATACTTACTATTGTTACTACCAGGTCTAGCCTACCTCATGGACAGGTTGTAGAGATAAAAACATTTACTTGAGAGACTTTATAAAATCAAAATTGTGCTAGTATAGTTATTAATAATCATTGGTACTACTGGCCTTCATTATTAGTAAACTCCCAATTTTTTTTGTCTCATATCTTTTAAAATTTTGGCTCGACTTCAAATGAAATGTGAATTTGTATATATGTGTATTATGTATATGTATACATTTTTAGTGTTTTAATCCCTATGTGTATATGAAATGTAAGTCATATGCTTTCCAATAAATTTTAGTTATGTGTTTTTGAGGTGGATAAACAATAATCTAAATTGACTAAGAGTTAAGCCTAACATTACAATGCCATCCCGTAGTTTACATGGGTACCACTCAATTAGAAGTTTACTTTAATAACAGGTATAAGTCTAGGGTAATGAGACTCGTTTCAAAAAAATCACCAAAAAAGTAATCGTATTTTTTCCTTTTATTTATATCTCACTTCCCTGAATTCTAGCCACACATTTCTTGCTGTTTAATAGACCTTGCTACCCAGATTTCAGAAAGCATTTTGCACTTAGAGTGATTAAAACTCTGTCTTTGCTTTGAAGCCATCAATATCCACCCATTTCACTCACCAGAGCTTGAAATTCTTATTCATTGTATTTGTCTATTCACCAAGTCCAGTCCTTCCTGACTTTTTAAATGTCATTAGAATGCTTCCTGTTTGCATTTTCACTGTTTTTGTACTATTTAAGGCTAGTGTACTTGACTTCTTGGCCTTCTGTCCTCTAAGTTCTCACTCTTCTAATTCACTCTATATACAGTCAGCCCTCTGTATCCATGGGCTCCACATCCTTGAATTCAGCCAACCATGGATAAAAAATATTTGGGAAAAAAATTACAATACAACAATAAAAAGTAATACAAATAAAAAACAGTATAGACAACTATTTACACAGCATTTACTTTATATTAGGCATTATAAGTAATCTAGAGATGATTTAAAGTATAGGGGAGGATGTGCATACGTTATAGGCTAATACCATGCCATTTTATATAAGGGACTTGAACATTCATGGATTTTGGTGTTTGTGGGAATCCTGGAACCAATCTCCCAGTGGATACCAAGGTGCAACTGAACTGCTGTCTTTCCATTAACAAAAAGAGATACAGTCACAGCCCTCTATTGGTTAAAAGCCTTCAGTAGCTTTCCTGTTGCCTTCAGAATAAAGTCCAACTCTTAAGTATAGCAGAACAGTCCTTCCCCAAATGACCCTACCCTACTTTTCCAACCTCAGCTATTTCCCTACTGCACCCTATATTGTAGTCACATACCAGATTAGCTTGACATCCCCCTCATAAACTATGCAATTTTGAGAAGTCATGATTTTACTCTTGCTGTTCTCTCTCCCTGGATTATCATTTTCCCTTTCATGTTGTCTTTTACCACTGTCACGATTCATTAACCTTATAAGTGTAAGAAGCCTCTGGGGTTAGAGAAGGTTTTAGTATTCTGTTAAAGATCTGCTATTCTGAGGGCATTTAACTAATTTTAAAAAAAATTATCTTTGCATTTTGTATTAAATTAGAATCAATTTAATAAAGGGCCTCAATTTTCCATGTATTTATTAATGTATTAGTCTGTTCTCATGCTGTCTAATAAACACATACCCAAGACTGGGTAATTTATAAAGGAAAGAGTTTTAATTGACTCACAGTTCCACATGGCTGGGGAGGCCTCACAATTATGGTAGAAGGCCAAGGAGGAACAAAGGCACATCTTATATGATGGCAGGCAAGAGACTGTGCAGGGGAACTGCTCTTTATAAAACTGTCAGATCTTGTGAAACTCACTCACTATTATGAGAACAGCAGCATGGGGGTAACCACCCCCATAATTTAATTACCTCCCACACGGTCCCTCCCACAACACATGGGAATTATGGGAACTGCAATTCAAGATGAGATTTGGGTGGGGCACAGCCAAACCATGTCATTCTGCCCCTGACCTCTCCCAAATCTCATGTCCTCACCTTTCAAAACCAATCATGCCTTCCCAACAGTCCCCCAAATTTCAGCATTAACTCATAAGTCCACAGTCCCAGGTCTCATCTGAGACAAGGAAAGTCCCTTCTGCCTATGAGCCTGTAAAATTAAAAGCAGGTTAATTACTTCCAAGATAACAATGGCGGTACAAGCACTGTAAATACACCCATTCCAAATGGGATAAATTGGCCAAAACAAAGGGGCTACAGGCCCATGCAAGTCCGAAATTCAGTAGGGCAGTCAAATCTTAAAGCTCCAAAATGATCTCCTTTGACTCCGTATCTCACATCCAGGTCACACTGATGAAAGAGGTGGGTTTCCATGATGTTGGGCAGCTCTGCCCCTGTGGCTTTGCAGGGTACAGCCTCCCTCCTGGCTGCTTTCACAGGCTGGCATTGAGAGTCTGCAGCTTTTCCAGGCACATAGTGCAAGCTGTCAGTGGATCTACTGTTCTGATGGCCCTCTTCTCACAGCTCCACTAGGTAGTTCCCCCGTGGGGACTTTGTGTGGGGGCTCCCACCCCACATTTCCCTTCTGCACTGCCCTAGCAGAGAGGTTCTCCATGAGGGCTCCACCCCTATAGCACACCTCTACCTGAACATCTAGGCGTTTCCATACATCCTCTGAAATCTAGGTGGAAGTTGCCAGACCTCAGTTCTTGACTTCTGTGCACCTGCAGTCCCAACACCACATGTAAGCCACCAAGGCTTGGGGTTTGCACCCTCTGAAGCAACAGTGTACATTGACCCCTTTTAGCCACGCCTGGGACACAGGGTACCAAGTCCTGAGACTGCACAAAGCAGCAAGGCCCATGAAACCATTTTTTTCTCATAGGCCTCCCAGCTTGTGATGGGAGAGGCTGCTGGGAAGACCTCTGACATGCCCTGGAGACATTTTCCCCATTGTCTTGGCAATTAACATTTGGCTCCTCATTATTTCTGCAAATTGCTACAGCTGGCTTGAATTTTGCCTCAGAAAATTGTTTTTTCTTTTCTGTCACATAGTCAGGCTGCAAATTTTCTGAGCTTTTATGCTTTTCTTCCCTTTTAAACATAAGTTCCAATTCCAAACCATGTTTTTGTGAATGAATAAAACTGAATGCTTTTTTTTTTTTGGGAGATGGAGTCTTGCTCTGTCACCCAGGCTGGAGTGCAGTGGCGTGATCTTGGCTCACTGCAAGCTCCGCCTCCTGGGTTCATGCCATTCTCCTGCCTCAGCCTCCTGAGTAGCTGGGACTACAGGCGCCCACCACCACGCCCGGCTAATTTTTTTTTGTATTTTTAGTAGAGACGGGGTTTCACCATGTTAGCCAGGATGGTCTCGATCTCCTGACCTCGTGATCCGCCCACCTTGGCCTCCCAAAGTACTGGGATTACAGGCGTGAGCCACCGCACCCAGCCAAAACTGAATGCTTTTAAGAGCACCCAAGTCAACTCTTGAGTGCTTTGCTGCTTAGAAATTTATTCCACCAGATACCCTAAATCATCTCTCTCAAGTTCGAAGTTCCACAGATCTCTAGAGCAGGGGCAGAATGCTCCCAGTCTCTTTGCTAAAGCATAGCAAAAATCACCTTTGCTGCTCCAGTTCCCAATAAGTTCCTCATCTCTGTTGGAGACCACCTCAACCTGGACTTCATTGTCCATATCAAGATCGGCATTTTGGTCAAAGCCATTCAGCAAGTCTCTAGGAAGTTGCAAACTTTCCCACATTTTCCTGTCTTCTTCTGCACCCTCCAAACTATTTCAACCTCTCCCTGTTACCTAGTTCCAAAGTTACTCCCACATTTTCAGGTATGTTTACAGCAGCAACCCGCTCTACCGGTACCAATTTACTGTATTAATCTGTTCTCACACTGTTAATAAAGATATACCTGAGACTGGGTAATTTATAAAGGAAAGAGGTTTAATTGACTCACAGTTCCACATGGCAGGGGAGGCCTAACAATCATGGCAAAAGGCAAAGGAGGAGCAAAGGCACATCTTACATGGCAGCAGGCAAGAGAGCATGTGCAGAGGAACTGCCCTTTATAAAACCATCAGGTCTCAAGAGACTCACACACTATTAGTGGAACAGCCACATGGGGGTAACCACCCCCATGATTCAATTACCTCCCACCAGGTCCCTCCCATGACGTGGGGATTATGAGAACTGCAATTCAGGATGAGATTTGGGTGGGGACACAGTCAAACCATATCAATTAGTAATTAGCATTTTTTGTTTTTGGGTTTTTTGAGACAAGGTCTGGTTTGGTTCTGTTATCCAGGCTGGAGTGCAGTGGCATGATCTTGGCTCAGTGCAACCTCCACCTCCCAGGCTCAAGTGATCCTCCTGCCTCCACCCTCTAATAAGCTGGGACTGTAGGTGTGTCAGCATGTCAAATAATTTTTTTATTTTTTGTAGAGACAGGATTTTGCCATGTGCCCAGGCTGGTCCCAAAACCCTGAGTTCAAGCAGCCTGCCCACCTTGGCCTCTCAAAGTGCTGGGATTACAGGCATGAGCCACTGCACCCAGCCTAGTGATCCAGTTTTAATATGAAATGGTGTCATATTAGAGCCTTAGATTATGTACTTATTAATAAATCTAAAAATGGTTTTGAAATGTATATAAAATATATGTTGTGTATGCACAAATGAATACAAAATATAAAATATAAAATATACACATTCATTTCTATACATACAAAATTTAGATGTGTATATATATTTGTGTATGTGTATATATTTGTATATAAATAGAATATATACACATTATAAATGTGTATAAATACAAAATAATGCATATATATATTATGTAGTCCTAGCTACTGGGAGGCTGAGGCAAAAGGATTGCTTGAGCCCAGGAGTTTATTATACAAAATAATGTGTATATACATTTTGTATTTGTACAAAATAATGTGTACATGTATACAAATATAAATGATATATATACCCAAATATAAGTGAAATATTTACACACACACACAAATACAAATGAAGTTGTTTTATAGTCAAAACCCTGCCCTCTAGTGTTTATGGAAAATATGCCGTTATTTCAGAAATGTCAGATTAAGTATATTCTCTATGTCACCAGTAGAGTGAGTCCTTGTACAGGGAAACAACTTCTCCACATTTTGAGAAAGTTGAAATCTTCAGACTTTTATTTTCTTCAAAATCAAATTGATATATTTTATCAATATGCGACATCATACTTTTATAAAAATATCTTTGTGACAGGTTATGTATTTTATCACCTAAAATAAGCAATAATATTAATGTAAGCATTTTTCCTAATTATATAAAAGTAATTCAGATTCTTTATTGAAAATTCCAAAAAAGAAAAAGAAAAATGGAAATAATCAAGGAAAATTACTGCTGACATTTTAACATATATTTTTCCATTCTTTATGCATATTTTAAAAATTGAAATTGGGATCACAATGTATATACTTTTTTGTAAGAGAGTAAAATAAATCATATATAACTGGTTTGTTAAAATAGTAGTCTTTTGCTATCTCTGCAGACTTAAGTACCTGGGTTTTTTTTTTTTTAACAGAATAGTTGAAGTGGGAAAACCATTTGAGAAGACCATATTTACTGTGACTATCAATTGTGTTTCCTTAGAAACAAACCCCTCAGAGGAAGAAAAAAAGTAACATTTATTACTGTTTAGTAAATATTAGGTGACATATTTAATGAAATCATCAGTTTGGGTCAATAATTCATAAGAAGAGGTTGAGATTAGAAATAAAAGCATTTTCCTTTATTCAAATTTTTTATGTTTACTGTTATATATTAGATAAATCTTAGCAATTTTCACTTTTACGTAAGCACAAGATGTTTAGGAAATACAAGATAGAGAACTTTGCAAGATATATTTCCAGATAGGTACTTAATGGACTTCAACAGGCATATTTTTTGGAAAGATGGTTCCATGTATTTGTAAACTTCGCTAAGTCAAAAGGTATAGTGCAATATCACATATATAAACTTGTCAATTAGTAAGCTATCCTTTTCTTTGTGTATTTAATCCAGTAGACTGGATGGAAAGTCTTGTTTTGGTTGTTATTAAAGGTTTGTTAACAGTGTTAAAGAACAAGAGGCAGAGGCAGTAAGTTTAGATTTTTTGGAATATCTAAATAGGCATTCCCATGTTTCACTATGTTATAATTCATTATCCTGCTTCTTCTACACTACCTACTCAACATCTCCAGTTCATTTCTCATCACTTTTCCCTGTTCATTGTCTGGGTTTTGTGAGTGATTTCCAAGAGACAAATGTAACAGTGTATATATAGTCAGTATTTTAACATTTTGGTTATCAGCTTTAATTATAGTTTTCAGGAGTTAATGCATCTAACTATGTTACCTACCCGTGGAAAAATACTGCATGCAAAGAAAAGCTAGAACTCTAAAGATAATCGTGGGCTGGGCATGGTGGCTTATGCCTGTAATCGCAGCACTTTGGGAGGCCAAGGTGGGAGGATGGCTTGAGCCTAGAAGTTTGAGACCATCCTAGTCAACATAGTGAGATGCTGCCTCTACAAAAAATTTTAAAAAGTATCCAGGTGTGGTGAAATGAGCCTGTATTCCTAGCCACTGGGAGGCTGAGGCAGAAGGATTGTTTGATCCCAGGAGTTGAAGGCTGCAGTGAGCTATTATATCGTGCCACTGCATTCCAGCCTCAGTGACAGAGCAAGATACGCTCTTTAAAAAAAAAAAAAAAAAAAAAAAGAACTTTGGGGTTCATTCTAGGCTTGGCCATTGGCAGCAGAACTTTAAAGTCCTCTTGATTGGGAAAATGTTAGTTATGGATACCAGCTGTGCCTTACAGTACATTTTCCTGAACAAGTCTACCTTTTAAGCTAATATTCTAGGATTTCTAGGGATGTCTTAAGAGAGTCCTATTAAACATTATGGGGGAACTAATGCCCTCCTAAGCCACCCATCTCGTAGGTGTTACTATTAGTCTGGTGTTTCCATTTTTTAATAGATGAAGAAACCAAGTCTCAGAAGTTTAAGCCACTTGCACAAAGTCAAGTAATTTGCAAGTAACATAGTTTGCAACTGACTGTTTATTTTTATTCACCATACTAGCTAACTTACCTCCTCTGCATTATGAAATTCATCATCAATAGGAGGAATTTCACTAATTGAAACAGCATCATTTTATTGACAATTAACAGGCACTCTGAGCTTTTGCTATGTGGCAGTTTTGCCCCCACAGTATTGCTAAATCAAAAGACTTTCTCTGTCTTTTCCATTGTTTTCTCCTAGTACCTGTATTCCACTTTAAGACTGCACTCCACGGTTCACATCACCTATGCTCAAGCTTCATCTAGTGGTGAAAGTATGTAGCTGCAGGTTAATAGTTATTCAGTGTGCTAGAAATAAAAACCACTCTGATAATAAATGTCACATCTAGGATAGAAATGTTACTCTATAGTAATAAGCTTAGTGGAAAAATGATAACATGAGTGATGGGTCGTATTGCTGACATGAAAAAATGTTCACTATTTAGATCAAACGTCAAATTTAACAGCATATACTCAAATAACCTTCACAGTAGGACATTAACATTGTAGGAATGTAAAACAACCTGGGGATTCCAAAATAAGTCATTCTTGGCAAGTAAAGTTGGTTTATTAATTTTAAGTCTAGTTAATTTGTATAACCTAAGCATACAGAGTAAAGTGGCAAGCGCCCCTAGCATGTAATGATTTCCGTAGCTGAAATCATTGTGAAGGGAGTTACTATGCCAAGGAAGCTCCTTAATAGGACTATTATTTTATGCTAAAGATATCCATAGATATTTATTTCCAAGGAGGAAAAAAAATCAATGCTTGTATTTAAAGTTGTGAGGATAGTTCAACTATATAAATGGAAATAAAGTACTGCTGGAAATTTCAAATTGCAAGCTTATGCTGATCAAAGGTATATAAAAGTAAGATTTCTGGTGAATTGGATATCTGAATCCAAAGCTTGGATTGTTGAATCATCCAGTGAGAAACTGATTTTAAATAATTTTCTCTCTGTTTTGAGAAATGCTATAGAAATAGCATGTCTTGCAGTCACAGCATTGTAGTTTTTGGAGCATGTCTCAGTTCTTAAATCTTCAGTTGACTTCTATGCTAAGAGATTTCTTATCCTGAATCTTACAAGTGAACATGAGTCTTTTTGAGGCATAGATTGAATTGTTTTGAAAAGAAATCTCCACCTTGAGTATAACTCTGTTCAGTTTAATGACCTCGAACATCTATGTTTATGCTAAAAATATTTTTGAAAGGCATGATTTAAAATTTTCCTAGATAGCTTTTAAAAGAGACCAAAACCTTCAAAGTCATCTCACAGATAGTCATTTTGAATTACCAGAAGTCAAACAAAATTATTATATTTTTATCATAACTAGACTCAGTTTTAAGCTACAGTATTCTTCAGGTGTCCTTTGAATAATTACATTTGTGCATTTCCTAGGCAGATTGGAAGACACAGTTGAATGTCTATTTTATAGAAGTCAGCATGAATTTACTCTTACATTTTTAGAGAAATTTGAAGTTTGGTATCTTCTCTTTAGATATATTATTGGTTGTATTTATGGCTTATTTGATATAGGGTTCATGGCCAAAATGCAGGGAAACTTCAGTTATTAGTGTTATATCATGATTTCTAGGCATATGCCAAGGTAAAGAGTGGTGTCTTTTTTTCACAAATGCCTGCTAAAATATAATCTATGAGATTAGATTGGGAATTTGCATTATTTCACAGTTAATATACAAATCAGCGGGTATCTGCTACCTTCCTCATGCTATCAATCTTTATTGTCTGATCACTATGAATTATCCATCTTTCCATTTCTTCTTCTTCCAACCACAAATAACATTTGATAAATATCCAGACACTCAATTTTAGAAAACATGCTTTTAATTTAATTTTTATTTAATGTAACATTATTTATATGCATCCTTGTTTAAAAAAATTGTATTGCCTTACAATGCAATCTGGAATCTGCAAAATAAATTGTAAGTGAGAAAGAAAAGGGAACAAGTTAATTTTAGTTTGAATTAATTTTTGGTAAATTGTTTTTAGTAACTATTTTAGAGAGTAACATGATCTATTACTCTTTTACATGTGTTACTTCCTATGTAAAGCGTTCTGTATGTAATTAGATGCTAACATTTGTGTGTGAGAGTGTGTTGTTAACTGTAGTAGGGAGCAGCAGATAGTAAAATACTTTGACATGTGAATTTCCTGGAACATTCAGGATTCAGTATTGGCATCCTGTATTATAATGTTACTTTTCTATTCAACATTAGTTTGGGTCTTTAAAATATTGTTATTAGGGTTTTTCTCTGACGTCTTCACATTGAGGGTTAGGAAGATAGAGAACAAATAAAACAGTTGAATCATAATATGCAATTCAAGAAAAGGGAACAAGTTGATTTTTGTTTGAATTGCTTGAAATTTGAAATTTCCAGCAGCACTCAGTTTTCTTTAATACAGTTAGCCTATCCTCATAACTAAATACAAGCACTGATTTTCCCTCCTTGGAAATAAGTATATGTGGACATCTTTAGCATAAAATAATATACGAGTGTTACAGGTTCTTAACTTGGGCATATATATAAGCCTTGGAGGTCAAAAACAGTGGGTTAGTTAGTATTCAAATTAGAAATTTCTTTTCCATGCAGACTAGATTTAACATTGAGCACAGTGAATTGACTCTACTACTCTTTGATACAGATTTTGGAGAGCTGCCTCTTTGTCGAATCAGATTCTTTATTGCCATGAACTAATGAAACAGATGTCAGATGGCTAATTGCAGTAGGAGAGAAAAGCTACTGACAAAAGAGATGGTTCAGGAACTTGGCCTTGATATTTGAGTATCATGAAATCTCATTATCTGGGGACTATTCAGAGCCATCAATTACAGTGCTGTCACTATTAATGAATATATTGATGGCATTGCACCGCGGCTTCTTGAAGTAAAGGGTTAAAGTACATGCATATTGTGTAAGATATATTTCATTACTGTTCTGAATGGAGATATGCATAGATATAACAAAATCCTCTAGGAAATTGTATTAACTATTGGTTTTATTGTTTCCATAAAGTGATACAGCTAATGAGTGCTTGCTTTGTACCTTTTTTTTTTTTTTTTTTTTTTTTTTTTTTTTTAAAGACAGGTTCTCACTTTGTTGCCCAGGCTAGATAGCAGTGGCATGATCTTGGGTGACTGCAACCTTTGCCTTCTGGGCTGAAGCGATCCTCCCACCTCAGACTGCTGAGTAGCTGGGACCACAGACATGCGCCACCACATCTGGCTAATCTGGCTAATTTTTGTATTTTTTATAGAGACGGGGTTTTGCCATGTTGCCCTAGCTGGTCTCGAACTCCTGGGTTCAAGTGATCCACCTGCCTCGGCCTCCCAAAGTGCTGGGATTACAGGCATGAGCCACCTTGCCCAGCTGCTCTTGCTTGTGCTATTTACAGTGTTATATATGAGTAGCTGAAGAGGGACAAGTGTCCATATGCCCAGAGCAATACTGACAAGAAATACTTGAGAGACAGTGCTTGCCAATTTTGTACTTGGAACCCTTTTTGTTTGTTTAACAACCTATAAATTACCAGAGGCAGCCTGATATAATTAAAAAGGGTCTTGAAGTCAGGAGAGGTAGCTTCCAAATCCAACCTACCCTAGCAGAAGGACATTTGAGCAAGTCAGTTAGTATATCCAAGCTATAACTTCCTCATCTCTAAAATGGAGTAAAAATAATGGTACCCTCATAGGCAGTAAGTGTAAGTTTACTAAAGCAACAGATACGTCAGATGATAAAGCAGACATAGTGTCAGAGGTTTTCTTTTCTTAAGGTTTTTTGAGCTGGAAGTCTGACCATGGCCTGCCACAAGTTGCCAGTTATCTTTTCTTGGATAATTGTTATTTATCCTGAGATTTTATCCTTTCTTTTTTTTTTTTTTTTTTTTTTTTGAGGTCTTGCTTTGTTGCCCCAGGCCGAAGTGCAGAGTGGCACAATCATGGCTCACTGCAGCCTCAACTGCCTGGGCTCAAACAACCCTCCTGCCTCCGCCTCCCAAATTGCTGGGACTACAGGCGAGTGCTGCTATGCCTGGCTAAATTTTTTATTTTTATTTTGTAGAGATAGGGTCTCACTAAGTTGCCCAGGACAGTCTTGAACTCCTGAGCTCAAGCAATCCTCCTGGCCTAGTCTCCCAAGGCACTGGGATTACAGGCGTGAGCCACCACGCCCAGCCAACAACTAATTGTTAATATTATCTCATTTAGTTTTAATAAGAACACTAATGAAAGGAATTATTATCCTCATTTTAAAGATTGAGAATTAGATTTTCTGGTAGGTTAAAATAGTTCTGTGACTAGTACAGCCATGACTAAACTCCAGTGAGGAGAGAGCTAGCTTTCCAGGTCTTTCATTCTGATCATATTAAACAATTGAGCTTCCTATTCTCTCCATTGTCTCTTGCTTCTGCGCATACTGTTAGGTGTTTAGAACACTAAATCCCTCATACTCAATTTTAGTTCAGGTATTAGCTCTTCTTTGGAATTTTTTCTCCCCTTCTACAAGCTGAATGGCTCCTTTATGTTCCAGTAATACTGCCTGCAAAACAATCTACTACGTCACAAGATTCTGTTATCTTCGAAGGCAGTACTGACTCCTTACTCATTTCTCTCTCTTTTTTTTTTTCCTTTTTTTGTTGGTTTGAGATAGTCTCACTCTGTCACCCAGGCTGGAGTGCAGTGGCATGATCTTGGCTCACTGCAACCTCCACCCGCTGGGTTCAAGCAATTCTCCTGCCTCAGCCTCCAGAGGAGCTAGGATTACAGGCCACCACACCCAACTAAGTTTTTGTATTTTTAGTAGAGATGGGGTTTCACCATGTTGGCCAGGCTGGTCTCAAACTCCTGGCTTCAAGTGATCCACCCGCCTTGGCCTCCCAAAGTGCTAGGATTGCAGGCGTGAGCCACCATGCCTGGCCAAAATTTTTTTTGTAGAAACAATGTCTCCCTATATGCTCAGGCTGGTCTGGAATCCCTGACCTCAAGCCATCCTCCTGCCTCAGCCTTCCAAAGTGTTGGGATTACTGGCATGAGTCACCGCATCCAGCCCTACTAATTTCTCTATCTCCTGTATGTAATTTAATACCTGATACCGAGTATTCTGTAAATCTTGGTGAATGAAAAGGGAATTGAGAAAGTTATAAAGAACTTTAGAGTAAAAAGTAAGAGGCAAAGTCATGTGTGTTATTTTTTCCTTAAGGAGAGACATAGCAAAGAAGTGAAATTAGGGAAGCATTCTCTTTAAAATTCTAACCCTGATTTCTTAAATAACAATGGTCAAGTTCATTGAAATCAACTTTGTCTGCTCTTCAGCAATTTCTAACAAGTAATTTTTAGGACAAAAGGATATAATAAAGTTAATGTAGTTTTACGTTTCTAAAAAGGAAATGCTTTTTAAGTTAATAAAATACGGTGTTGCTTGTTTTTTTGTTTTGTTTTGTTTTCCAAGTTTCAGGTTTAGTGTTAAGATCTTTTGATTCCAGATAAAGAACTAACTGATAGTAACTCCAAACAAAGCTTATACAGCTTAAAAACTTTTAGCAATTGGAGATTCCTGGGCTAGGGATAGAATGAGAAAACAAAGGCAGCTCAGATGTGTGAAAGGGGAATAGATTAGTACCATCTTGCTCATCCCTTCTCCCTCTGAGCCAATCAGACACAGAAACGAATAGCCAGTTGGGTCTTAAGATGGGCCTTTAACATATCTTCTTATTCTGGCAAGCACAGAGCGCTTTCTGCTTAAAGCAGTATCAGCTGGAAATGAAGTTATTATTTTAAATTACAAGAGTTCTGTCATAAAAGCATCTCTGACATGTGGGAATACCTGTGTGGGAAAGAAAATACAGGAATAAATATGGCATGGAACAATTATTCTAACAGAGTGGAGTCTGGTGTTTAGTATTGTAGTATAGAGATTCAGTTCAGATCAACCAAAACTAGCATAAAAACAATAAACAACCTGAAACATGACAAGAGACCTGCTCAGTTCTGTTATTCTGTCTCTAACTTTTTCTTTTTAAGGTAATTTATTTGGAATTTTTGGAAGTTGCTTATTCAGTGCTTTAATTTATGCTTCAAAATATAAGAATGTAGTCACTTAAATTGCCAAAGTCATTGAATTCATTTGAATCTTATATTTTAAATGTATTCCATTCCTGAAAAATGAAAATAATTATAATTCTTTTATAATATATTCACTTTGCAAGTTACTATTTAATAGTAATCTAAATATATTGCTAGACATTATATTTTCACAGAACAAAGTCTAGATATAAATAATGGAAGTCTGGGTTCTCCAGTGAATTATAAAAGAAGTCGTTATGTAGGAAGAGGGTAATATCAAGCAGAAACACACACACAAAAACACACACACACACACACACACGCACGCACGCGAGAGAGACCTTTAATTCTCCCATTTCTTTCTTCCATCTACTTCTTGGGTTTGCTTTTATACTACTATTGTTTGTTTCTTTGTTTTGGTTTTAAAGCAAGCTTAGGTTTAGGTGTTTTACTTGGAAGGGAGAATCTAAGTAGATGGTCAGAAGAATTTTTAAAAATCTCTTCTGTACCTAAGTTTCTTTACTATATAGCTAAGATGTATTGATCATTTACTATGTGCCAGACACCTGGTATTCACAACAGCTTTGTAAGGGTAGATTCTATTTTTGTTTCCATTGTATGGAGAAGAAAATTGAAGGTCAAAGAGGTCAAACAATGTTGCCATCTTCATACCCCTTGTAAGAGGCAAGGCTGGCACTCAGACCCGTGTTTATCTAATCATAGAGCTTGAACTCTTAACCACTATCAGGGACTACATAAGTACTTCATTGTAGAATTTTTTATTATTGAAAGGAATTCTCTAGAACCAGAAAAAGGTCATACCTTCTATATAGCTTATCTTTCAGGATATGGAAGTAGATCTAAAGAAACGTTCTGGTTTTGCCATTGGGTACTCTATTTTACTACTTATTCTTTCATATGGTCAAATGAAGAGTCACATCTTAACAATGTTGATTTAGCAGGTTAAATTATATCCATTAATTTTCATCATAGATAGGTCTCCTTAATTGACTCTTTGGGACTAAAATATTTATATCCTCTGCATCATTGTTCTAGTTTTAAGTACAGGTAATGTTGACCAATAACCTGTTTTAATAGGTAAAAAACTGTACATAATCTTTTTGAGGTGTTTTTTAGGATTATTTCTTGCTACCTGGGATACTTACAGAAATGTAGAACTGAGACCGAGCGCAGTGGCTCACGCCTGTATCCCAGCACTTTGGGAGTGCTGGGTGGATCACCTGAGGTTAGGAGTTCCAGACCAGCCTGGCCAACATGGTGAAACCCCATCTCTACTAAAAATACAAAAATTAGCTGGGCATGGTGACACGTGTGTTTGTGACCCCAGCTACTTGGAAGGCTGAGGCATGAGAATCGTTTGAACCTGAAAGGCGGAGGTTGCAGTGAGCCAAGATCACACCACTGCACTCCAGACCAGGTGACAGAGCAAGACTCTGTCCAAAAAAAAAAAAAAAGAGAGAGAGAGAGAGAAAGGAAGGGAGGGAGGGCGGAAGGAAGGAAATGGAAGGAAATAGAAGCGACCTTAGGTTCATCTGGTCCAGTTTTTCTCCTGAGAAGCATGAAATCTTAAGTTGGAGTTCCACTTCTGGTTCTTTTCTTTCCCTTTACACAATGTACCTCTTTTGTCTGTCAGTCCATTGCTGTACCTTTTAAAACCTGGGTTAAAGCTTGTATCATTAAGGAAACTTAACCTTGTTAATAATATTGTGTGCTCTGCTCGTTTACATTTTATATCCAGTTAACACAAAAGCATTTTAAAGCAAAGGAATGTTTTAGGAAAATTCATCTGTGCAATGTATTTAAGTACATGGAGAGAATGTCAGCAACTTAGAATTTCTTTGTGAATTTGTTTTAACCTGTCACATTCGTATATGCAAATAATAATTGTAGTAACATCTCCACAAATAGTCATGCCATTTTCAAAAATATATAAGCCTTGTAAATTTTGAAGTAAAATGGAAGGTCTTCAAAGTGAAACATTTCTATGATGTTGCCATGAAACCGTGGGATTTTTTTTCTTGTTTTTTTCTTTTACCTCATTCAGTAATGCAGTTTTATCTACTACCCACTTTTGAAGTTTGGCAGTATTAATAATAAATAATGCTGTAGTTTTACTTGAATGGAAATTTTTTAATTTTTATCTGATCAAGTTTCCCACGTTTGACTTTTTTTTTATTTTTAGTTGACACATAATAATCATATTCATTAGTGGAATACAGAATGAATGATAGTCCCATACAATGTGTAATGATCAAATCAGGCTAATTAGCATATCCATCACTGAAAACATTTATCATTTCTTTGTATTGTGAGCATTCAAAATCTTCTCTTAAAGCTTTCTGAAAATACGCAATAAGTTACTGTTAACCATATTTACCCTAAAGTGCTATAGAACACTAGAAGTCATTCCTCCTATCTGATCGTAATTTTGTATCCGTTAACTAACCTCCTGCTATCCTCTCTCACCCCACCCACTGCTGTTTCTTCCCCGGCTACCCCACCACCCTTCTCAACCTCGAATAACCACAGTTCTACCTTCTACTTCTATGAGCTCATTTTTTTTAAGCTTACACATGTGAGTGAGAACATGTGATATTTATCTTCTTATGCCTGACTTATTTCACTTAATGTCCCCCAGACTCATCCATGTTGCCAGGAATGACAGTATTTCATTTTTTTTTAATGGCTGAATAGTATTCTGTTGTGTATATGTACCACATTTTCTTTATCCATTCATCTGTTGATGGACACTTAGATTGAGTCCATATCTTGACTATTGTGAATGGTGCTGCAGTAAACATGGGGTACACATATCTCTTGAATATACTGATTGTCCTTTCTTTGGGTAAATACCCAGTAGTGGAATTGCTGGATTATATGGTAGTTTCATTTTTAGATTTTTGAGAAACTTCATACTGTTTTCCATAATGGCTATATTAATTTATATTCCCATCACCATGTTAGACTATTACACAGAATTTCAGAAATTATAGTCATTTTGCTTTATTGATCTAAATTACGTAATAAAGGTAAGTTGCTTCTGATCAGGCTTATTCTTCTGGGATTAGGTCCTTTCCTTTCCCTTATCTTTCTCTTCATGAAATTGTAGAAGAACCAATGAATAAAAATTACATATTCTCTATTCAGTCTTTTCAAACCCCTCTACCCTTCTGTTACCATTTGCCTAACAGTGTTTTCCTGCTTCAGAGTATGGAAATAAAAAGTCATGACCTGCAATAATAAGAACCATTTTGGAATCCATAGTAGACTCCATGATGAAACTGAACAAAACTGAAACCAAGCCTGGGCAACATGGCAAAACCGTATCTCTACAAAAAATCAGCCAGGTTTGGTCATGCGTGCCTCTAGTACCAGGGTTACTTTTAGGAATGCCTTGAGTAAGTTGTCCAGGTCGTTGGCATTTTGAACAAAGAATTGAACAAAACCCTCAAAGTAACAAAGGAACAAAATACATGAACGAAGCAGCGACAGCAGGGATTTATTAAAGTGAGAAAGTGCTCCGCAGGGTGGAATTGGGCCCGAGCAAGCGGCTCAAGGGCCTGGTTACAAAGTTTTCTGGGTTTTAAGTACTCCTTTTGAGGTCCCTGTTGGCTGCCTCTCATCTGGATGAAGGATTTGGTCTTTTGCTAATTAAAGGCTGAGGTGAATAGGCACCCTATGCAGGATGTTTGCCCTTTCCATCTGAGATGTAGTGGAAGCGAGAAGGTTGTAGGGAGAATAATAGTCTTTGATCCTTTGTTACTCCGGTGTGGGGAGATGGGGCTTTTCCTTTCAGTTTAGCTTTAAGAAGTGTGCCTTAAT
Organism: Homo sapiens; assembly: GCF_000001405.40. NCBI lineage: Eukaryota > Metazoa > Chordata > Mammalia > Primates > Hominidae > Homo > Homo sapiens. Next base: position 152,752,858 of record NC_000002.12, read on the forward strand.
TGGCTTTAGGTTCCCTGCCCTAGACCCAGGTGTTTTCCCTTTGATTGAACTTTAGGAAATTGGCCTTAGATTCCCTGCCCCCAGATCTTGGTGTTTCTCTTTTAGGAGGTTAGCACAGATTGGCCTTAGATTCCCTGCCTCCAGACCCTATTCTCCTGCCTCACCAGCTACTTGGGAGGCTGGAGTGGGAGGATCACCAGAGCCCCGAGAGGTGGAGGCTGCAACGAGCCATGATCATGCCACTGCAGTCCCGCCTGGGTAACAGAGTGAGACCCTGTCTCAAAAAAAAAATAAAAGCAGGAGACTGAAAGGAAGCCACCATTCTTTTTACTCCATGTAGATATGACAGCTCTTTTGAAAATAAGCTGAATCTTGATTACTTCTACACTGCTAAATAAAAAACTGATTCTTAGGAATAGGGAGGAAGGGACCTGTAAAGAATTAATTATAGGTTTTGTTCCTCTGACCTAAAAATGCCTTATTGGTAAAACATCTCATCACCACCACCCACATACATACGCTCAGAAACATAGATCTGTTTTTAGATGCTGTAGTCTATTCAGATGCCTTTTTTATTTCTGTATCAGTTTACTTCTTTTTAAAATTACTTTGATTTTAGGTTATGATTTGAAATTTTAGAATATTTATTCTTTTTGCACATTTATTGTATCAGTTGAACTGAGTATCAAAATGCCAATTTTCTACCAAGAAAAATCCTATTGAACTACTACTGAGATCTCATTGAATTTATAGGTGTTTATTAAAAAAAAAAAGAAATTGACACCTTTACAATGCTGAGTATTCCCAGGTTATGGTGGAGACCTCCCTTCATTCAGGTCCTCTTTTTTTTTTTTTTTTTTTTGACGGAGTCTCGCTCTGTTGCCCAAGCTGGAGTGCAGTGGCGCGATCTCAGCTCACTGCAAGCTCTGCCTCCTGGGTTCACACCATTCTGCCTCAGCCTCACGAGTAGCTGGCACTACAGGCGCTCGCCACCACGCCACGCCCAGCTAATTTTTTGTATTTTTAGTAGAGACGGGGTTTCACCATGTTAGCCAAGATGGTCTCGATCTCCTGACCTTGTGGTCCACCCGCCTCGGCCTCCCAAAGTGCTGGGATTACAGGCGTGAGCCACCACGCCCGGTCCAGGTCCTTTTTAATGTCTGACAGTAAAGTGTTTTTTTGTTTTTTGTTTTTTTTTTTCATATAATTTACATAGGATAAAACTTTACTCTTAAAATGATTAAGTATTTAATATTTTCACTAAAAACTACTGAATAACAATATTCAGCAACCATCACTGCTAGAACATTTCTATCACTCCAAAATGAAAACCCCATACCCATTAGCAATCACTGCACCATTTCCTCCTGCCTCTATCCCCTGGAAACCCATAGTCTACTTTTCGTCTCTATGGATTTGCCTATTCTGGACATTTCATATAAATGGAATCGTACAGATTTTTTTTTAATGTAGTCTTTTGTGTTTACTCCTTTCACTTAGCATACTGTTTTCAAGGTTCATCCATATTGTGGCATATGTCAGTACTTCATTCCTTTTTAAGGCTGCATGGTTTTCCGTATGGATATACCATTTTTTAAATCCGTTCATCAGTTGATGGACATTTGGGTAGTTCTACTTTTTTACTATTAGGAATAATGTTGCTATGAACACTCAGGTACAAGTTTTTGTGTGACTTGTTTTCAGTTTTCTTGGATATATACCTAGAGTGGAATTGTTGGGTCATATGTTAACTCTGTGTTTAACTTTTTAAGAAACCTCCAAACTGTTTCCTACAGCAGCTGTATCATTTTACATTCCCACCAGCAATGTTCAGGACTTCTGATTTCCCCACATCCTCACCAACACTTGTTTTCTTTTTCTTTTTTTAAATTATAACCATCCAAGTAGTGAGTAAGATGTGCTATATCTCTTGTGGTTTTTGTTTTCCATTTCCGTATAACTAATGACATTGAGCATCATCAGCTTTTCATGTCCTTATTGGCTATTTGTATGTATGTGGGCGGCAAGCCACCCAGGTGCCAAGGCAAGAGACCGAGGGCATGAGCTGTTCCACTATAATAAAATATATAAAATAAGAATAGTTATACTAGATATAGATCATAGATGTGATTATATATGAATATCATTAATCATTAGTTTGTAGCAATTACTCTTTATTCCAATATTATAATAATCCTCTCTCTACAATCATAACCTAGGAAAAACCAGGCCATACAGAGATAGGAGCTGAGGGGACATAGTGAGAAGTAACCAGAAGACAGAATGGGAGTCTTCTGTTATGCCTGGCCAGGGCCACCAGAGGGCTCCTTGGTCTAGCGGTAACGCCAGCATCTGCGAAGACACGCGTTGCCAAGCGGACCATGGTCTAGCGGTAGCGTCAATGCCAAGGGAAAACACCTGCTACTTAGCAGACCGGGAAGGGGAGTTTCCCTTTCCCCGGGGGAGTTTAGGGAAGACTGTACTCCTCCACCTCTTGTGGAGGGCCTGACATCCGTCAGGCCCGCCTGCAGTTATCCGGAGGCCTAACCATGTCCCTGTGATGCTGTGCTTCATTGGCCACGCTCCTGGTCCACCCACTTTCATGTTCCATCCTGTACACCTGGCTCTGCCTTTTAGATAGCAGTAGCAAAATTAGTGAAAGTACTAAAAGTCTCTGATATGCAGAAATAATGACATAAGCCTGTCTCTCTCTCTTCCTCTCTCTCTCTGCCTTGGCTGCCAGGCAGAGAAGGGCCCCCTGTCCAGTGGACACGTGACCCACGTAACCTTACATATCATTGGAGATGAGTCACACTCTTTACCCTGCCCCTTTTGCTTTGTATCCAATAAATAACAGCGCAGCTAGACATTCGGGGCCACTACTGGTCTCCGCGAATTGGTGGTAGTGGTCCCCCGGGCCCAGCTGTCTTTTCTTTTATCTCTTTGTCTTGTGTCTTTATTTCTGCACTCTCTCATCTCCACAAATGGGGAGAAAACCCACCGACCCTGTGGGGCTGGACCCTACATGTGTATATCTTTGGATAATTGTTTATTCAAATCCTTTGCCCTTTTAAAAATTTGACTTTTTGTCTTTTTATTTTTTACTTATAAGAGTTATTTTATATCTTAGTAGACTCTATCAGATATAAGATTTGCAAATATTTACCTCCATTTTATGGGTTTTCACTTAATAATGTCCTTGGAAGCACAAAGGTTTTTAATTAGATGATGTCTAATTTAGGTTTTTTCTTTAGTTTCTTGTGCTTTTGTTGTCATATCTAAGAATCTGTTGCTTAATTCAAGGTCATGAAGATTTATACCTATGTTTCCTTCTAAGAGTTTTATAGTCTTAGTTCTTGTATTTAGGTCTTTGGTCTATTTTGAGTATATTTTGTATATTGTGTAAGGTAGAGGACCAAATTCATTCTTTTGTGTTCAGTGTCCTATAACACAAAAAATACACATTAATTTGAGATGAATTACAGATTTAAATATCAAAAGAAGAAAAGTAAAACCTCATTAAGATACAGAATATCTTCATAACCTTGGAGTAGTCAAAGATTTAATGAAAAAGCCACCAAAAAAGCACTAGCCATTTTTTAAAATATTAACTGGACTTTATTCAAATTAAGAACTTCTGTTCATCAAAAGATCTTATTAAGAGAGTAAAAAAAGACACACCATAATAAACATTATTTACAACACGTATCTTTAACAAAAGATTTGTATCTAGAATACGTAAAGAACTCTATAAACCAATAGAAAAAAATGAGAAAAAGTTTTGAACACAAACATCAAAAAAGAGGCTTTCTGAATGGTCAGTAAGTACATTAATCATCAGAAAAATAAATATTAAAACCACTACAACATACTCTGCAGACCTACTAAAATGGTTAAAATTTATAACACTGATAATACCAAGTGTTCATGGTGATGTGGAACAACTTAAACTCATACGTTGATAGTGGAAGTGTAAATTGGTACAACTATTTTTCATACTTTCTACTAAAGCCTAATGTATATCTACCTTGTAACTCAGCAGTTCTACTCCTAGGATCTATCCAAGAGAAATAAGTGCAGATTCCCACCACCCACCGAAGACGTGTTCATAGTACCTGTATGTATAGGAGCCCCAAACTGGAAACACCCATCAGTAGTAAAATGGGTAAATACATTTTGCTATATACTGCAGTAGAAAAGAACAAACTAATACTACATACAACATGGATGAATCTCACAAAGACAGTACTGAGCAAAAGAAGGCAGACGCAGAAAAATATTTATTGTATGATGCCATGTAGATGTAGTTTCAAGAGCAAGTGAAACTAATCTTGGTGACAGCCCTCAGTATTGCAGTTACCTCAAGATCTGCAGGAGGTAAGTTGAATATTTAAAAGGGATCTTTTTGCAGTGCCAGAAATGTTCTCTATCTTTATGTGGTTGGTGAGTATATGAGAGTCTACCACAGTAAAAATGCATTGAACTGTATATAAATGTTAGACATTTGCATTTTACTGGTATGCTTTAATTAAAAAAGTGAAATGCATGTATAGATATAGATTGGATGAGGTAGACATTGTATTTAATTATCATTTATTGAAGATATTAAACTCATTAATTGAAGATAATATTTTCATTTTACTTGAGTCAATTTTAAATAAGTCCTCTATAGAGTTTTGACAAAGGAGAACCATAATTCCTTCAGTCTTTGTTAACAGACTTTAGAGATCACAAATGAGAGTCACAAGAGAGAAAGCCTGCAGGGATTGTCTGTCTTCCTCCAAAGAGGAAAATCATGGTGAATATTTTGAAAAGCTTTAAATTAAAGCAAGTGATTCTTCAAAGATTTAAGTCCTTTACCTAGCAGTAGTCTGTGACAATTGCTACAGTGTTCCCAGTGGGAATATGGTACATTTGAGATGACAAAGACTAGGAACCACTACTCCCGAGCATTTTTTCATTGCCATTAAAATGCATTGCTTTGCCTGCTTAGTAAGGAAGTCACTGAACATTTGAGCATGTACATCTCAGTAAAATTCAATTCTACCAACATTGTAGTTGTCGGCTTAGTAAACTGAACTTTAAAGGTTTTTCTATTTTTGTGGGATTGTGAGGATCACAAACTACTAAAACAGAACAATTAACTCTGGAAACCTTTTGATGATTAACTTTATTGGGTGAGTACAGTCATCCCCCTTTATCTGTGAAGGACTGGTTCCAGGATTCCACACAGGTATCAACATCTGAGGATACTTGAAGTCTCATTCAAAAATGGCTTAGTATTTGCATATAACCTAAGCATATCCTCTCATATACTTTAAAACATCTCCACATTATTTATAATATTATACCTAATACAATGTAAATGTTATATAAATAGTTGTTTTATTGTTCAGGGATTGACAAGGGAAAAAAGTGTATACATGTTCTGTACGGATGCATTTTTTTTTTCAAAATATATTCTACCTGCTTGGTTCATTTCGCAGATGTGGAACCCACTGATATGGAAGACCGAACTGTATTAATTTAAAAGTTTTTTGGATCGTCACTAAATATTTTATGATGAATGATAATGCTGATTGTTCAACTTTAGGTTTCTGTTCACTAGTCATCAACATATATTTGAGGAATTTCTTTTTTAAAGGGACAAAGCATTATACCTATTTTACGATGTAGATAGGTAATATAGGTAGGTAGATTAACCCTTAATAACACATGAGAAGCATCTTTGACTAGCCCTAGTTGGGTAAAGAAAGGTTGAGTCGAAAGTAAATAATAACTCCCTTGGAACAGAGCAGGGAACCATCAGGAAGCATCAGGGTCTATGTAGCTTCAGATGAATGCAAAGGGCTCTTCTTTGAAGAATGTACCTTCTTCAATCTCTGCCACAGATATTGTGCGACTGGAATCACTATGAGGTGCTCTTCAAGTGTTAGTTCACAGCTAAGTGCTTCTCTGGCTTTGGCTACTCCTTAGGAAAGGAGGAGAGGATATGGGTATTTATGACCGTCTCAGTCCAGGGCCCTTACTGCTTTTGTCTTTTGGCTTTTACTTCTGCTAGTGCACCTTCCTGTGTGTCCTCAATTTGTTTTGCTCCAGAAAGGAGAGTATTCTGTTCTGCCTTCTAGAGAGTCTCAGTTGGATACTACCTTCTTTTCTTTTTAATATGTCTGATTCTTACTAGGATAAGCAAATAGTATTATTGCAATACAGTTAGTGGGAAAAACTGTTGTAAGATTGTTACAAGATAAAGGAAACAAATGTCAGGGAATATTCATGCACATAAGAGTTATTAAACTAGTTGGCACTCCTAGCAATCATAAAAGAGATGTGTCTTTGCTGATTCTTAAGAACTCATTGAAAACCACTTCAATTAAGTAACCTATTAGAATGATAGCTGAAATATCTATGAAAGACATAGGGAGTTCCTTCATATAACCTAAAAGTGGTGCAAACAGAACAAATACTTGAAATAATATGTATTTTAAGTCAAATCAAAGTAAGAACAGACAGCATGGAAACACACCGCTAATTAATGAAAGAACTGTTTGTAAAATAACAAAACTTATACCTTAGAATTAGGTTATGGCTACACACAGTGACAATGAAACACAGTAAAGAAATAATAGGGATGAAACTCAGCATTACTCATCAGTAATGATTTGAAACAACTGTAATTGTTAACCAGTACAGTTTTGACACAGGACTTAATAAGATCTATCCACTATTTATCCTGCAGATGTCCAATATTCTTTAAGTTTTGTATTCATATGTGAACATTTGGGAAATACACTCCAAGGTCATAAGTATTTTCGATGAAAACTTTTGGTGTCTTTGTTATACCACGTTACATTTTTCTTTTTTGATTTGTGTTTTTCTTTTTTTCTAGGAAACTGACTGGACATTCTTTCCACATGGGCTATAGCATGGCGATTTTGAATGGCATCGTAGCTGCTCTTACTGTAGCATGGTGCCTCATGTAAACCCACACTGGAGCGATATTGTTGGCAAAACTTAATCATGATTGTTTTGTAATAACAAGAAGGAGCATCACTGTCTACTCAGAAGACTGAGAAACCTGCTGTTCATTATGTAGTTCAGATATTTATCACAATCATCCTCATTATGGAAGACCTTTTAAAGCATTGTTTTAGAATGTCTGAGTATTAAGATACAGATTAATTGGGAATATCTGAGTATTAAGTACTTTCTTCAGAGTATAAGATGTTTACCTCATCTTTTTACTTTTGTGTGTGTAGTTCTTTCAAGTTGTAGGAAACATTTTAATGGAATTTAAACTCAAAAACTTGAATACAGGACAATGCTTGCCTTTTCATGTATGTACTACATTTTTTGCTAAGAAATACTGATATTTCTGTTTAGTTGAGCTAGAAATACTTCTTATTTATACATTTAGGAAAGCAAATAATGCCTACTACTCCGACTTTTATAGAAGCTACTTTTAAATCAGAATATTTAATTTTTGATATTCATATAATTAATAGAAGTTGCATTTATATTTTTTATGGGGCATAGTTCCTTATGTGTTTTTTTAATGTATTTTCATACTACATACTGAATTTGTATGTTTTTAAAATTGTTACATCTAGACAACTGTAAACATTATTTTTTTAGCTAGTGCAAACCTAGTACCTGCCATTTTTACTAATTTTTGTCTTTAAAAAAAGCAAAAAAGCACATTGACCTAAGTTGAAAATTAAGTAAGTTTATTTTTAACAAAAAATGCCTGAAAAAAGCTAAATTATTTAAGTCATTAAGATATTGAGAAAAAATTTGAAATTTTTACTATTTCTGTTTCCACAATTCCAAATATTTATCTTGGTGTATATATTGTTACTTTAACAGAACTTGCATTATTTTGTTTTTAATAAATATAAACATGAAATTTTTGTATGTGAGAATGATTGAACTAGTTTGTTCTTAATCTCAAAAATTTAGTTACCAAAGTAGAAAAGGTATTTTGATACTAGATATTAAAAACTACATATAGTTAATATAATTTTATAATTTTTGTAATTAAATGTGCTCCTGTAATTGTGATATTTTGTTTTCTAAGTAATTAAGCCTTAATTTTTCCCCTATGTTACTAAAGACTTTTAATGTTTAGAAAGTTACCTCAGTTTTAGAAAGATGGACTACTTACAAAGCTGTTTTCCCTGGCCATAGGAAAACTTACAATAAGAAACCATTAAGTAGTCAAACTGCTTATTCAGGCTAAGTGGGAAATGAATTTGTGCAGTGTGTTCCCTTAATTATCTACTGAATGTTGTTACCGACTAAACAAGGTTTCTAAAAGTCTCGCATTTCTTTTACTATTCAAAACTCTTTGGTTGGAAATGACTAATACTGCTCCAATTTAAATTATCTGAAATGTGTGTGTGTGTGTGTGTATCTAAATATCAATCCCATGGCTTAAGTATTCCTACCAGAGTGGTGGTTGCCATCAGTCTATTTTCACTCCCTGCCTTCCTTCCTGCACGCTTAAACTCTTCACCCTTTGACTCCAAAGAGCCCTTTCATTGCAAAGATGTACACAAGTAACAGAATCAATTTATCTTCTCTCCACCACTCTGTATTCCCACGCACCACCAATGTGAGTAACTCCCTCCAGATTGTTTGTGTCTAATGACTAGGAAAGTTATTAACAGTAGACCCTAGATAGAGATATGTACACCCTAGACAGTCATGTGCCATATAACAACGTTTTGGTCACAACGAACTGTACTTATGATAGTGAATCCCCCCGTAAGATTATACTGCTGCATTTTTTACTTTATTTTTTCTCTGTTTAGATACACAAATATTTACCATTGTGTTACAGTTGCCTGCAATATTCAGTACAGTAACATGCAGTACAGGTTTATAGTCTAGGAGCAATAAGCTATACCATATAGCCTAGGTGTGTAGTAGGCTATACCATCTAGGTTTGTGTAAGTATACTCTGATGTTCACACAATGATGAAATTGCCTAATGACGCTTTTCTCAGAATATATCCTTGTCATTAAGCCAAACATGACTATATATACCTACAAGATATATATTAATATAGATAAATATAGAGAGAGATGTATCCGTAAGATATTTTTGTGGAATCCTAATTCTTCTGGACTGTTACTCCCCTTTTTTGGGAAATGACCCTCCTCTCTCCAGTCTGACACAGGGTCCAAATATAAATCATCTATATGCAGAATGATTAGGCAAGGATAGTCACCTAACTCTGGCTGAGCTAATCCTAATCTCATTTTGCCTGGCTACAATGAGTAGAATAGAGAAATGACTTCAGTGAAGTATGTCTCTTCCCAGGATTTTTCAGCTTGAAATTAAGATGTGACGAAGCTGGGAAAATGCAAGCCCAGGAAATGCTGGCAGCTGTAGTTCAGCCAGGCTCAGTGGGAAAGAATAAGGCTGATAACGGATATTGCTAATGGCGTTACCCTGGTCCCTGAAGCCCAGTGGCAATCCTGCCATTCTTGATACGTGAGTCAATAAATTTCTGTCTTTTGGCCTTTGCAGTTTACATTGGCTTTTGTCATTTGCAACAAAACAAGTCAAAATGAGCTTATCTAGCAGCTGGAATCCATCTCTATTGTGAAACTGACTCAGATGATCTCATCTCCTTATGTGTAGCTTACAGCATTCTATTTAGTTACTTGTGAAAGATAAACGGGGTGTAAGTATTCCTGTGGCTAGTGATTAGTCTCAGGGACTTGAAAAGACATTTTAGAATAAATTAAACTATTATTAATCTTGCTGTTTCATCAAGAAATTATGTCCCCAAATTCAGTTCCACCTTAAGTGTTATCAGAAAGAATATTACTGTAGTTATCAAGATATGATTCTTTAGTTAATACAACGTAATGAGTTTGAACTACAACTGTTACTTAATATCTTAGCATTTCCCGGTTTCCTTACCTGTCGAATGGGAAGAATAATACTTAACAAAATACTTAAACTACAGTGAAAATACTACATGTCAGAATTTGTAGGACCTAGATAAAACACTGTGTAAGGGTAATTTATAACTTCAAATACATTTATCAGGACGAAAGTACTATTGAAAGCTAAAGAGCTAAGAATGCAGATAAAAAGCACAAGCAGCAGAGTAACATCCCCGCCCCCACCACACACACAAGAAAGATTGGAAATAGGAAAGATAAGGATACAATCAATGGAGACTCACACCAAAGAAGTGGGGACAATATCCAATACCAAAAGTCGTTTCCTGGAAAAGATATGATTGACAGACTTCTGGTAAGTCAGATTTAAAAAGAGATTTTCTATATTTGTCTATTTTCCTATTTCTGCCCATGCTCTTGGTTATGTCAGCTGCCAGAAACCATCTGTATTAGGGTTCTGTAGATGGACAGAACTAATAGGATATATGTATACATGAAAGGGAGTTTATTAAGAAGAATTGATTCACACGACCACAAGGTGAAGTCCCACAATAGGCTGTATGCAAGTTGAGCAAGGAAGCCAGTAGTGGCTCAGTCCGAGTCCCAAAACCTCAAAGGAAGGGAAGCCAACAGTGCAGCCTGCAGTCTATGGCCAATGGCCTGAGAACCACTGGTGTAAGTCCAAGAGTCCAAAAGCCGAAGAACTTGGAGTCTGATGTTCGAGGGCAGGAAGCATCCAGCACAGGAGAAAGATGAAGGCCAGAAGACTCACCAAGTCCACTGCTCCCACCACCTGCCTGCTTTATTATTGCCTCTCTGGCAGTTGAGGGGATGGTGCTCACCCACATTGTGGGTGGGTCTGCCTCTCCCGGTCCACTGACTCAAATGTTAATCTACTTTGGCAACACCCTCACAGACAGACCCGGGAACAATACTTTGCATCATTCAATGAAGTGGACACTTAATATTAACTGTCACACCATCTGACTAAGGAAAAGGGAATCAGGACTGGTGGGGAGGAACCTAGAAAGTGCCAGAGAGTCAAGGAAAATGAAGCAAAGGGACTGTCTGATAGTGGGAATAGCCTGGTCAGGATAATGTATATAGATGGATCCTTGCAGAGAGTGCCCAGTTGGCCAAGATTAGACTGTGTGCCTACTCCTTTGGCTTCTCTAGTTGAAGGCAGCATCTGAAATTATTTTGGGATGGTTGAATGGATATCAAGCAACCACAAATACAAATAATCACTGTACACTCTGCTGGTCAGCTTCTCTTTTCACCCTTAAGCTTACAACAGTACTCATATGTAACAATGTAGCCATTGTATACTATATCCAATACCAAAGCCAGGACCTTCAGATTATGTCCCTTCTAGTTTTGCCACATTCTCTTATTGATATTCTACAAATTATACTAGTCATTTTAATACTTATTAAGACATTGCTTTTTTATGTGAACTAGAACAATATTTTTAAGAAGGACAAAAAGATGGGAAACTTGTTAAAATACACTTTATATATGAGAGCAAGAAAATACAGATCAAAGTTACTGTCATTTAAATTAAGCATTTGGTTATGACACCTTCCCTTCTATACACATGTATTCTATTTTATCTTTGCTTTGGCTACTACGTTGGCTAAGTTTCTTCCCTGATAATGGCGACCAAAGCTTTATTTCTGACACATTTCAGCTCTTAGTTCATCTTTTGCCACTGTATGTGGCAGTACGAGAACAAATATATTTTCCTTCTATATTCTTCCTTGCTTATTATGTGGCAGCATTTGTATTATAATGTTAAAACACACCAACTAATATAGTGACCCTCTTTTTTGCATGATTATTCATGGCATACAGAATCTAAAATTACCAGATGGCAGTTTGAACTTCCGGTTCTTCTGAACCAGTTTTCTTTTTGAACTTCCTTAAGTACTAAAACCTTTAAAACAGAGTTCAGACTCAGAAGAACAGAAAGCAAAAACTTTATTATTGGGTCACTGGGTGTAATAGAAACATCCGGCAGTGTCTTGGTTCTTGAACCCATGTAATATGGGCATGGGAGAAACCAGCAAAAATCAGTTCTTGGATAAAAACATACATTGCATCCAGAAAGATGCCATTTTAGTGTTAACTGTCAGCTAGCTTAATAACTAACTCTTGAATAGATTATTTCAGTGTTGAAGGTGCATTATAAGAGAGAAGTCAACAAAATAAGAATTGAGTGTGGCCAAGTGTGGTGGCTCACACCTGTAATCCCAGCACTTTGGGAGGCTGAGGTAGGCAGATCACTTGAGGCCAAGAGTTCAACAGCAGCCTGGGCAACATGGTGAAAGTCTGTCACTACTAAAGATACAAAAACCAGTTGTGGTGGTACATGCCTGTAACCCCAGCTACTAGGAAGGCTGAGACAGAATCACCTGAACCCAGGAGGCAGAGGGCAGTGAGCCGAGATCACACTACTGCACTCCAGACAGATTCTGTCTCAAAAAAAAAAAAAGAAAAAGAAAAAAGAATTGAGCAATTGAGCACGTTGTCTTACCTCCTCAGGGTAGTAAGTTCCTTGACCAGAGCAATGTGGTGGGAATCCATGATAATGTATAAATTATGCAGTAAATAGTAGGGCTGCCAGAGGCAAGGAAAGCAAATCTAAGACCATAATGTATCTACCAGTGGGGACAAAACTGCTAAGTGCTACCTCATCTAATGCAATTAATTGGCTATCAGGTAGCTGGCTCATCCCCCAAGATATGATGCCATAAAGAGAGAGAGGGAGAGAAGTTGGTGGGGTGGGAGTGGGGCAGCAGAGATAGAAAGGCAGCAGCAGCCAGGAAAGCCTCTGAAAGTGTGGGTCCATCTGACTACCCCACCATCCTAGCATTTTATGCTCCCATTAAGCATTGGCTTGACAGAGACTACCATCTACAGTATAGGTTATGCTGTCCACCTGATTATTTAGAGCCTCTTTCGCAATGAAGGCTTTGTTGTGAGCATTCACATAGCTCAGAAATATTCTCAATTCTGGGTCCATTTAAAGAGCTCCATCTATATATCTCTTCCCCACCTTTCTTAAGTTGGCACCAGTCCTTTGTCAAGTCCCTGGCAATCCAGCCAAACTACTAGTTCACTCTCCTTGAATATACATAATCCTTATTTCATACCATACTTCTTCTAGCCAAGGAGACAACAGTATGAACTGCTTGAAATTTATATTGAACTCCCTAGGAAAAATTTCTTTTTCACTGCACATTGCTACCACCTATGAATGGGGGTTTATGCCCCCCACCACCTCATTTTTGGCTGGTAGTAACATATTACACAGAATCATCTATAAATTGGGCTTGAGTTTCAACATCAGTCAATTATCTATACCAAACCCTCGTGAGGCCAGGCTGCGGACTGAATGAAGAGAGGCTGCATGACAGTAGGAAGCAGGATGGGAATCTGATCATACAACTTACTCAGGACTTGAGGAAAATGAAAGGATGCATCTATGTCAGTGGTTCTTAAGCAAGGGCAATTTTGCCTTCCAGGGGCAAAACATAGAAATTTAGCTAATTACTTAGCAATGTTTTGAGATGTTTTTGATTGTTACAATCGGGGGCTGCTACTGGCAACTAGTCAACAGGCCAGATTGCCAAAGATTCTACAGTTCCCAGCAGAGAGGACAGTTCCCCAGGAGAGAGAATAATTCAGTCCAAAATATCAATAGTGCCAAGGTTGAAAAACCCTCATCTATGTTGATGACAAAGTGAATCGGATAATATCTGGTCCAGAATGGAAAGCTGAGGTCATAGGGTTACCTGGAGTTCTAAGATGTGGTGTTCATTCTCGAAAATGCCCCAGTAGAAAGAGCTGTTTCTCTAAAGAGTTATTAGCTAAACAAGACTTCTCTCTGCCAGTACCCTACAGACGTTTGCGTCGCAAGGTCTGCCAAAGTTTTCAACTACTATGGCCTTGTATATTATTAAAGTTCCCCATGTAATGTAGCCTCTAGCCAAAGAATTCTACTCACAAAACCAAAAAACATAACCCATAAAAAATTTTCTTCCCATCTCCATAGGCAGCCTATTTTTGTTCTCAAAGGAAAAATACTTCTGTAAGGTTACACACAGTGCTGTTAATGAATTGAAGCTGAGACTACATTTGGCCATTTAAAGTTCCTTATATTACTAGACAATAGGCAAAATGGCTATTCTGGTACTGATTGCAGTGATTAATAATCCATCTACCAATGGGAAATCCAGTTACTGCAATACAGTGGAAGCCAGAAGGAATATGGACAAAGGTCCGAGCTGCTTCCATGTTAGACTCTCATGTTTAGTTAGAGAAATATTACAACACCTACATTGGCAGAGGCTCAAATCCCTCAGGAATGAAGTTTTGGTTAGCCTACTTGATTAAAAAATCCCTATATTTGTTAGAGTTTTGGCTGAAAGCCAAGGGAACATGGAATAGATATTGAACAGAATAAGTCAAATACTAGACTAGAGCCTTATCAATTTCAAAAATGAAGAGCCATAACCTCTACTCATTTCCTTTGTATGGCATGTGTGTTCCTGCTTTTTTTCTTCATTTCTTCCATTATTTTATGTAGGATTTTAAACATTTGGCTAACTTTATAACTTTATGTAGGGTATAGGTTACAGAATATTGTGATGAAATTACTATAGAACAGGGGGGCAGTGGAGAATTCCTGAGATCCTGGATATGGCACTGAATACAATAGTAACCTATGAGGCTCTTGATTGTCTTCCTGTAAGGAAGGGGTCAAATGAACAACAACTTGTTGTATAGTATGAGGTGGAATAGTTTTTTGGAGGAAGAGTTCTCATGGGAAGTAGTGAGTTTGTGTGTGTGTGTGTGTGTGTGTGTGTGTGTGTGTGTGTGTATTTTAGAAGGGGTCTGACTGTCACCCAGGCTGGAGTGCAGCGGCCTGATCTTGGCTCACTGCAACCTCCACCTCCCAGGTTCAAGCAATACTTTCACCTCAGCCTCCCAAGTAGCTGGGATTACAAGTGTGTGCCACCATGCCTGGCTAATTTTTGTATTTTTAGTAGGGACGGGGTTTCACCATGTTGGCCAGGCTGGTCTCGAACTCCTGACCTCAAGTGATCTGCCCGCCTCAGCTTCCCAAAATGCTAGGATTACAGGCATGAGTCACTGCACCCGGCCTGCAAGTTTGTGTATATTGGTATTAGTCCATTCTCACACTACGATGAAGAAATATCTGAGACTGGGTAATTTATAAAGGAAAGAGGTTTAAGTGACTCATAGTTCTGCAGGGCTGGCAAGGCCTCAGGAAACTTACAATCATGGTGGAAGGGGAAGCGCAAATACATTCTTCATATGGCAGCAGCAAGAAGAAGTGCAGAGCAAAAGTAGGGGAAAGCCCCTTATAAAACCATCAGATCTCATGAAAACTCACTATCACAAGAACAGCATGGGGGAAACCACTCTCATGATTCAATTACCCCTCACTTGGTCCTTCCCATGACACATGGGGATTATGGGAACTACAATTCAAGATGAGATTTAGGTGGGGATAAATATTGGACAGGCAAACAAGTGGAGTCTATTGGATATTTTGTCATTTTTTGACTGCTCAACCCCAAAACTCAGTTATATTTTGCGAGAATTCCTTGTTATATGAGTGTGGGAGACAAGTCTTCAGGATGCATTAGAGAAGGCTAAATATTGGATATTTACTTTCTCCCAACCTGATTGCTAGTGAATATAACCTTGGTGCCACCAATTTTATGCTCCTGCCCAAGTCTTTGAATTGTGAATGAATGACACAGTAACTGACAAAAAGTTGAGAATTCAGTCACAGTTGTACCATTCAGTGGTAGTGACAATGGCTTCTAGCTGTCTTTAGCAGCAGTTGGGCCACTAATTGAATCCTAATCAAACTATTTTAAAGCAAAACCTTAGCTGTAATCTCTGCTACCAGCCTTTCCTTGGTGTCTTGTCATTTTATGATCCTGGTTCTCTGGCCTTTCCTTCAATTCTGTGAGCAACTCCCTAATGTTATAACAAAATTATTTTCTTCTAAAGCTAGCCAAAGTTAGATTTCCATGTTTAAAACCAAGAACCAAACATTCATCGTATCTCAACTCTCCACCACTACCTATCCACAAAGCCCCATTAAAAAAACCTTTGTTCCACCACAATTTCTGCCATCTGGACTCATTTCTTATAATACTAATTTTAAAAAGTATAATATGCTATCTACTCTTATTATTTTATAATGACTCATCTTTTTAAAGTCTTTTAGACTCCTTTTTATGTGCATAATACCTAGGCTGTGAAGGGGGCCAGCCCCTCCACACCTGTGGGTATTTCTTGTCGGGTGGGACGAGAGACTGAGAAAAGAAATAAGACACAGAGACAAAGTACAGAGAAAGAAAAGTGGGCCCAGGGGACCAGCCCTCAGCATACAGAGGACCTGCACCGGCACTGGTCTCTGAGTTACCCCAGTATTTATTAATTACTATTTTCACTATCTCAGCAAGAGGAATGCGGCAGGAGAGCAGGGTGATAGTTGGGGAGAAGGTCAGCAAGAAAACATGTGAGCAAAGGAATCTGTGTCACAAATAAGTTCAAAGGGAGGTAGTACGCCTCAATGTGCATGTAGGCCAGATTTATGTTTCTCTCCGCCCAGACATCTCAGTGGAGTAAAGAATAACAAAGCAACATTGCTGCCAACATGTCTCGCCTCCTGCCACATGGCGGTTTTTCTTCTATCTCAGAATTGAACAAATGTACAATTGGGTTTTATACTGAGACATTCAGTTCACAGGGGCAGGCAGGAGACAGTGGCCTTCCTCTACCTCAACTGCAAGAGGCCTTCCTCTTTTACTAATCCTCCTCAGCACAGACCCTTCACGGGTGTCAGGCTGGGGGACGATCAGGTCTTTCTCATCCCACGAGGCCATATTTCAGACTATCACATGGGGAAAAACCTTGGACAATACCCGGCTTTCCAGGACAGAGGTCCCTGCGGCTTTCCACAGTGCATTGTGCCCCTGGTTTATCGAGACTAGAGAATGGCTATGAGTTTTACCAAGCATATTGCTTGTAAACATTTTGTTAACAAGGCACTTCTTGCACAGCCCTAGATCCCTTAAACCTTGATTCCATACAACACATGTTCCTGAGCTCAAGGCTGGGGCAAAGTTATAGATTAACAGCATCTCAGGGCAAAGCAATTGTTCAGGGTACAGGTCAAAATGGAATTTCTTATGTCTTCCCTTTCTACATAGACACAGTAACAGTCTGATTTCTCTTTTTTTTCCCTACAGCCTGGAGCTTACACACAACAAGCGCTCAGTAATTGTTTTTGTTTGTTTTCAGTTGGGGTCTTGTTCTGTTACCCAGGCTGGAGTGTAGTGGTACGATTAGTGCTTACTGCAGCCTCAACCTGTCAGGCTCAAGTGATCCTCCCACCTCAGCCTCCTGAGTAGCTAGGACTGCAGGCGTGCACCACCATGCCCAGCCAATTTTTAAATTTTGTTTTAGAGACAGGGTTTTGTTATGTTGCCCAGTCTAATCTTGAACTCCTGGGCTCAAACAGTCCTCCTGCCTCCGTCTTCCAAATTATTGGGATTACAGGCATGAGTTACTGCCACTGTGCCTGACCCTCAGTAACTGTTTATGACATTTACTGAACTAGTCTGTGCATAGAATTACAAAGTCATATAAGGAAAAAATGAAAAAATTTTTGGAAGATATGACTTCACTTTCTGAGCATCTTATAATGCACAAATAGACAATAAGAAAACTTACTACAAGCACATAAGCAAGTATTTCCTATGGTAGTACAAATATCTTTATACAATACTAAATTTTTTTCAAAAACACAAAAAAGGGGCCAGGTGCAGTGGCTCACGCCTGTAATTCCAGCACTTTGGGAGGCTGAGGCAGGTAGATCACCTGATGTCAGGAGTTCTAGACCAGCCCTGCCAACATGGTGAAACCCCTGTCTCTACTAAAAATACAAAAATTAGCCAGGCATGGTGGCGCACACTTGTAATCCCAGCTACTTGGGAGCTGAGGCATGAGAATCACCTGAACCTGGGAGGCAGAGGGTGCAGTGAGCCGACTGCACTCCAGCCTGGGTGACAGTGAGAATCAGTCTCAAAAAAAAAAAAAAAAACAAAAAAAAACCCAAAAGGTAAAAGTAATAAGTATGGTTTTAAAAATAAAGTGTATTTCTGGATTTTCTTAAGATCTGACCATTTGCAGTTTCATTGGACTGAGCAGATAAGTGATGTGATTAAGGGACAGATAATGTGATTTATCCATATTTTTATAAATTAATATATCAGAGCAAGCCTCCACAATAAAGTATTTTTAAATACTGAGTCATTAGAATAAAAGCCCAAATTATAAAAAATTACAGGTCGCTTCTCTGTGTAAAGACATATCCAGCAATATGAGAAAGTCCATTAAAAAACAGTGCTTAGAATGATAATTTTATTTATAACCTGAAAAAGTTGTACACAACCAAACATCCAAATTTACAGATGACACTAAACTCTCCTAGGTATTGGAATTTGGAAACATTTTATAAGAATACCTCAGAAAGCCATACAAATGGGCAGGAAAATGACAGATGTTTAAGAGTGGACAAAACTTGGTAACATTATGAGGAAAAAAAGCCCCCAAATTTGTACATCAGGAACCACCAGGGAAAGCATTAAAAACAATTGAAATACATAACTTTGAACTAAAGTTCTGGCCTCCAGTACTCAAGAAAAACATTTCAAATCCCTGCTGAAAAGATATACCAAATTTAAGAGTTCTCAATTCCAGGACTCCACTTCCCCCAACCCCAACCCCAACCCCAACCCCACAGATACCAAAATCTGTGGATGCTCAAGTTCCTCTTATAAAATGGTGTATTTGTATATAACCTATGCATATCCTTCAATAGGCTTTAAATAATCTCTAGATTACCTATAATACCTAACACAGTGTAGATGCTATATAAATAGTTGTCATGCTATATGAATAGTTGTCATACTATTTTTTATTTGTATTATTTTTATTGTTGTATTGCTATTTGGGTTTTTTTAAACTTTTTTGAATATTTTTCATTGGTGGTTGAATCTTCGGGTTCTGGAGGGTCATCTGTATGTATTTGCCAGATGTGGAGGGAGGGCCATAGTAATTAGTGGTTTATTCAATCATAGAGGGCATAAGTAGAATTAAAATAGGCTTGTGCAAATATTATATATTCCCAATATAAAATATTACATATTCCCAAAATATAATAATAAGGGGTCCTCAGAGCTCCTAATTGATAGTTTTAGAAGAAAAAAAATTCTCAGTGCATTGCAAACTTACAAAATATAATTTCTATCTAGAGGTAGAATGAGCTGTTGTAAGTCTAGATAGTTTTGATAAAGGTTTATAGAACCATGAATAATAAATGCTGCAGCTTTTGAAGGCAGAATGTTTCAGAAATAAAATTAATCTTACAGGAAAAATGTTCTGGAAAGTAATGAAGAATTGTTTTGTGTTACCACTATGAAGAACACTGAAATGGATGAACGATTATTTTCTGACATTGACCTTAGCAGCCTTTTCTTTCCAACAAAACTTAGTAACACTGTTTTCTTGACACTTCTTTCAGCATGGTACTCCTTGCCCCTCCCTCTGTTCCCAGAAATCAACTGTGTTTTACACTTACTATTGAAATTAACTGTGGAGTTGGGCCCATTCTGGACTCACTGAGCTCTTCTTTTCCTTCTCTTTAGAGAAGACTAAAGAGCAGCCACTTGGTGGCTTTGGGTCAGCTCCAGAATGGATCTGGATATTCAGTTCAGTGTAATATGAAGGGGAAAACAGGAATCCCTAAGAGCAGTTTAATGTTAAAAACAAAGTCCTGATCCCCCCGAAATTTTTGTAGGTGTTAGCACTGCTGCTGCAATTTTAACCTTAAAAAAATCTACCAGCCGGGGGCAGTGGCTCACGCCTGTAATCCCAGCATTTTGGGAGGCTGAGGCGGGTGGATCACAAAATCAGGAGTTCAAGACCAGCCTGGCCAAGATGGTGATACCCCGTCTCTACTAAAAATACAAAAAATTAGCTGGGTGCGGTGGCAGGCGCCTGTGATTCCAGCTACTCGGGAGGCTGAGGCAGGAGAATCGCTTGAACTCGGAGGGCAGAGGTTGCAGTGAGCCAAGATCGTGCCACTGCACTCCAGCCTGGGTGACAGAGTGAGACTCCGTCTCAAACAAAAACAAAAACAAAAAACAAAAAACTACCATCTTAAAATCTGTAAGCATAATTTATATTTTTAAAAATAGGACTTTTTAAATCTGTATTTCAGCTAGATACCAGAAAAGTAATTACTACTTCTGGGTGAGTTATAATCAGTCACAATTCTTAGTGCTGTACAAACCTGTCCAAAGTGAAGGTTAGAATGCTGACTCTAAAAGTGTAATGACAGCATAATTTTCCACTTGGCATTAAATACAGGTAGTGCTTACACTGTTGGATGTTATAAGTTCCTATTGATATAAAATATAAAGTGCATGACATATTCTACATAAGTTTTTATACAAAATTGTACTTTCAAATTGAGCAAATTTCTATTTGTATTAGGTTCACAGAAACAAAGTAAGAGTCATACTTAAGTATAGTGTAGGCATCTAATAAGAAACGTTTTATATAATTCATAGAATAAATTTTTTTACCTGTTTCTTGCTATCAATGGAATAGAATAAATTATTTTAAACTGAAATACCTACTAGAGTGAATTTCCTGAAAACCTTTCTTGTTAAACAAATTTTTATACTTAGTCTTATGGCAGGTATAAATCAAAACTATTAGTAGATCCTATTTCTCTGTCTCCCAGTAAGAACTGAGTTTTTATTTTGTAGAAATGTCTCAGAAATAAGGTCAGTGAAAAAAAGCTTATTTTAGTGCCATAAACATATACATGTAAAAGAAAATAAGCAGTTTTCCATAGAAAAAAAATCTTTTTTTTGAGACAGGGTCCTGCTCTGTCACCCAGAATAGAGTGCAGTGGCATGACCACAGTTCACTGCAGCCTCAACCTCCAGGATCCACTGATCCTCCCACCTCAGCCTCCTGACTAGCTAGGACTACAGGTGTGTGTCACCACGCCTGGCTAATTTTTTTTATTTTGTGGATACAGGGTCTTGCTATGTTGACAGAGCTGGTCTCAAACTCCTGGGCTTAAGTGATTCTCACACTTTGGCCTCCCAAAGTGTTGGGATTATAGGCATGAGCCACTGTGCCCAGCTGAAAAAAAATCTTAGAAAAGAAATTTTATTTTGGTAACTTATTACTACCAAAAACGGGCAGATACACCTCAAACCAACAATGAAGATTTTAAGCAATTGGAAATTTCTTAGTATTTAAAGAATAAATCTTAATGATTTAGGTAATATAATAAAGAATATGCCCTCCCAGGCCCCCCAGTGCAATATGAACTGGGAAATCAAAGGAAAATTTTAAAAAGTAACTATAGCAAGGCTCTTATAATATATTTATTCATGTACTCCTATATTAAGAACATTTTTTATAATACAGGAAAAAGGAAAAAATGTGTAGCAAATGGCTGATGTTGATACCATGAAGCTAGGGGAATATAAGAGTATTAAACTGTAGTTTAGGACATGCTCCTTCCTGGTTAAATATCTGAAGGCTTTGTAGGAACAATTCAATGAGTGACTAATGAAAATTTCTTTTGGTTTGGCAATATGTGTTAAGAGCTTTGATCTCCTAATTTCACTTCTAGGGCTTTATCCTAAATAATACAGAGCACAAAAAAATTCTATATACCAGATATATCCTTTATAGCATATAATTTATTGTGGTAGAAAATAATGAAAGTGAACTAAAAAACCAATAACATAGTACAGAAACACAATGGAATACTGCACAGCATTTAAAAATAATGGCTGTCAAGAGGAATAATATAGGAAATGTTATAACATTAAATAAAAGAAAGATACAGAATGAAGCTGTATTTCAACCATGTAAAATAACTGCATAGAAAGAAGATGTAAAGAAGATTCATTGAAATAGAGGTTTTCTGTGAGCCATTAAATTACAGGTGATGTTAATTTTCTTCTTTACAGATTTCTACATTTTCTAAATTTGCTATAAATGTATATTCTATAAATAGAAAACTTATTTTTAAAAATTAGGAATAGTAATTAGCTACTTATAATTCTTGTGAGGATTAAATAAGATCCTGAATATGAAATTGTCTACACATGCTGTTACCTTAGGAACAATAAGAGAAGGGGTGGCTCCCCTATCTAGCAATCAGAGTTGCTTTTATTACTGTCAGAAGAAAGTAACACAAATTAATCCCTGCATGCTGCATATAATCAAATTCTATAGCTCTATTTATACACATTTTCAGGGATATTCATTGAAGAATTGTTTTAATAGCAAACAGCAGGAAACAACCTAAATGATCACAGCAGAGGACTGATTAAATCTATTTTGTTCATCTACACGGTGGAATACTAGGCAGCATTCAAAAGAATGAGGTAGATCTGTAGGTATCGAAAAGAAACATCCATGGTTTAGCTGTACTTGAAAGCTAAATTGCTAAAAAAGAATGTATTGTATAATCCCAGCTTCGTCAAAGACAGAATAAAGACAAATTCTTACATGTTATACACATGGGTCTGATACAATACTCTTTTAATGGGCTAAACAGGTGATATATGACTAAATCTCTGATTTAAAAATTGAGAAAATACCAAAGTGTCCAACTACTTTTAAGATGTTAATGTTTAAAAGCATAGCATACTTCAGATGTTTTTTACCTCTATTACTGCGAGACGTCAGTAATTTATTAAGAGTAATAAAGTATCTGAGATGGGCAGGGTGGCTCCTACCTGTAATTTTGGCACTTTGGGAGGTCAAGGTTGGAGGATTGCTTGAGCCTAGGAGTTTGAGACCAGCCAGGGCAAAAAAGTGAGAACCTGTCTCTATAAAAAGAATTATTAAATAAAAAATTTAAAAAGAATAATAAAGTATCTGTTAAGACAATACGGGTTCAGATGA
Source organism: Homo sapiens (assembly GCF_000001405.40). Taxonomy (NCBI): domain Eukaryota; kingdom Metazoa; phylum Chordata; class Mammalia; order Primates; family Hominidae; genus Homo; species Homo sapiens. The sequence continues at coordinate 152,775,832 of NC_000002.12, forward strand.
AAGAAATGTGCTCGGGATACTTTATTATATAGATGCTGTGTAATCTCTCAGAAACAAAGGTTGAAATGCAAAGCCTTTTTGTATACCCAAAGTCTTGGATCATGCTGTACCACTTTGACAAGGTAAGTTCATACCAAGGATGTGATTTATGGTGAATATCTGCGTTTGTTCTGGGGTGAGAAGGGCTGGAGCCTATGTGAATGATTCCCAATAAAAACCCTGGATCTCAAGGCTCAGGTAAGTTTCCCTGTTTGGCAACACTTCACACATTGTCACACATCATTGCTGGAAGAATTAAGCATGTCCCCATGGGACTCTGCTGTGAGGGGACACCTGGAAGCTTGCACCTGGATTCTTCTGGACTTCACCTCTTGCCCTGAAGTATTTAATATTATGAGCTAGGAGCAGCTCAGGAAGAGTGTAGCCTCAGCATGAACACTGATTGATCCCCAAGTTAGTGGTGGGAATGAGTTAACTTACTACAAATCTCACAACAGGTTCTATCTTGAAGAAAAAACTGAATGGCACACCTCTAGGACTACTACAATTCCAAGATCTAAAATTCCAGGATTATGATGATTCCTCCTTTTCATTCCATAGAGAGAGAGGAAGAGAAGAGAGAGAAAGTGAATGAGAGAGAGAAAAAGAGAGAGAGAGAAAATCAGTGTCTCAATTTGAGCACCATAGGCCAGGTTTGCTAGGAAGCTGTGTTGTGAGTGTCCCTGCTTGCTTCAACCTGCTCCCTCCTGTGTGATGTAGATTTATTTTTCTTCTCTCTCATGCTCCTTTTAGCCTGTCACTCTGAAAGTCCGTTTACCACTTTCTTTTCTTCTACTAGTGATATGATAGGGAATCCTGTGAGGGCTGGCAGCATCATTTTATCTTCTCTTTGTAAAGGAGTGCTTCCCAACCTTGGCTATATGTTAGAATCATCTGGGAGCTTAAAAAATGTCCAATGTCCAATGTCCAGGACATGCCCCAGACATAGTAAATCAGAATCCTTCAGGGTGGGACCAGGTATAAATATGTTTTAGGGCTCTGCAGATGATCCAATGGGCAGGCAAGGTTAGCACTGCTTCTGAGGATCATAGCTCAGGGGAAAGGAGATGCACAGGCTAAATTAATAAAAACAAAACAAAACAAAACAAAACAAAAACCAGACCAGCAGCAGTATATTCTTTTCTTTCTTTCTTTTTTAATTTTGTGTTTTTTGAGACAGGGTCTTGCTCTGTTACCCAGGCTGGAGTGCAGTGGTGCAATCTTGGCTCACTGCAACCTCCACCTCCCAGGCTCAGGCAATCCTTCTGCCTCAGCCTCCCGTGTAGCTGGAACCACAGGCGCTTACCACCATGCTCAGCTATTTTTGTATTTTTGGTAGAGATGGGGTTTCACTATGTTGGCCAGGCTGGTCTTGAACTCCTGGGCTCAAGTGACCTGCCCCCCTCAGCCTCCCAAAGTGCTGGGATTGCAGGCATGAGCTAGCGCTCTCAGCCCTTTTCTTTTCTTTCTTTCTTTTTTCTTCTCTCTCTTTTTTTTTTTAAGACACACAGCTATTTCTCTTGCTTTTTGAATTAGAAATAGAGGGCACTACTTTTATTAAATAAGGGCTGCAAATTTAAAGTTCTTACTATCTCCCACTGTTTGTCATTTCTGAGTCTACCATGCAACATATTCATAACTCAATTCTTCTCTTCTTGTCCATTACATTATTATTTCTTACTGTTTTATGTTTAAGGGGAAGTTATTTTTCAATAACAATAAGGTTTTTGATCTTTTTGGGACAGAGTTGATTTCTATAATGCTTTTATGAGGTTGGAACAGTAGTTCTGGCAGAATAGCTGAGTCAAAGTAGCTTTTAAAGCACCTTTGGAGAGTTTTAGATGGGACTTGTTCAGTTTTATGCTATCTAGCACAAGATCACTGCTATCATAAAAACACTTAACATTCATTGATGTTTCTTCAGGTGACAGGTATTTATTGTGGGCCCACTCTGTAGTGGGCACTGTACTTGGGAACATCACAAACATAAATAAAACAGGTTGAGTGTACCAATATGGAGATGGTTGACTAATTTATGGAACATTCTTACAATAGATATGACTCTAACTTCCAAAGAGTACATCAGATACATACTTATGACCCTGGAAATTTTATCATTATAATGCTCTTAGGTATTCGTAGTTTGTTTGTTTTAAAACATATTTTATTTAAAAATGGTGTGTGTTCACCGGGGCCTGTTGTGGGGTGGGGAAAGCGGGGAGGGATAGCATTAGGAGATATACCTAATGTTAAATGACGAGTTAATGGGTGCATCACACCAACATGGCACATGTATACATATGTAACAAACCTTCACGTTGTGCACATGTACCCTAAAACTTAAAGTATAATAAAAAAAACACATAGGTAATATCACATTGCAAATGCTAAAATACTTTAAAATATAGACACACACAAAAAAATGGTGTGTGTTTATAAGCATATTAAAAAATTTTAGAGCATTCACACACAATAGTAGTTATAAATGGAGAGTGGGTTGAAGCAAGCAGGAGGAGTCTTTCACACTTTTATATAACTTTTCTTTTTAAAGAATAGTGCGATAAGTGACTGTAGACATGGAGTTTTCTGGTATTTTTGAAATTAAAAAGATGTAAAAGAAGTAAGTTAATTTAAGGAACTGAGAAATAATTTCAAGATGTTTTAAAAAGTCATTGCCAATAAATTCAAAGATGTCTTCCTGGTTTCCCAGTAGTAAAAGAGGTTGAAAAATATACGTATACACATATAATATTTAATATCTCTTTCCTGGTATCCCTGCTTTGGTTTGAAATAGTGAATCTAAACTTTAAAAAAGTTAACTTCTTGGTCCGGCGTGGTGGTTCACGCCTGTAATCCCAGCACTCTGGGAGGCTGAGGCAGGCGGATCAGGAGGTCAGGAGATTGAGACCATCTTGGTTGGCAAACACGGTGAAACCCCATCTCTACTAAAAATACAAAAAATTAGCCAGGTGTGGTGGCGGGCACCTGTAGTCCTAGCTACTCGGGAGACTGAGGCAGGAGAATGGCTGAACCCGGGAGGCAGAGCTTGCAGTGAGCGGAGATCGCGCCACTGTAACTCCAGCCTGGGGGACAGAGCGAGACTCCATCTCAAAAAGAAAAAAAAAAAAGGTTAACTTCTTTACAATAGAAGCATATAAAACTAATTTGTAGCAACCTAAGAGCAAACATTTCTCTCAGAAAGTAATTGGCTTTGCCATTCTGGGGCTGTTCAAAACTATGGGCAAGTTCAAATCTATAGGGCATGCTGTCAGGAGGGGCAAGCTGGAAACTCCTGGGCAGCAGCTGATGCAGTAGAATTTCTTCTTGCTCAGGGAAATCTCACTTCTATCTTTCAACTGATTGGATCAGGCCCACCCAGATTATCAAAGATAATCTCCTTTACTGGCAGTCAACTGATTTGTAGATGTTAATCACGTCTGCAAAATATCTTCACAGCAACACCTAGATTAGTGTTTGAATAATTGGGACTACAGCCTAGGCAAGTTGATATATAACACTGACATCACAGTCCACCCTTCATCAACTTGGTACCCATCCACATCTCCTTAAACCATACTTAACTTCAAAATAAAGACAACACTTCTTTAAATTCTGTTAGGTGGAAGGTTATACTTCTGTTAGGTTAACCTATACTTCTGGAAGGTTAGCCTTCTGTTAGGTGGAAGTATAACCACCATAGTTTATACTTCCACCTAACGGAAGTATAGGTTATATTTCTACCTAACAGAAGTATAGGTTATATTTCTACCTTACAGGATCTCATGTATCCTATCCTATGTGTAACGTTTTTCAGCTTTATTGAGATATAACTGACAAATAAAAATTACATATAGTCAAGGTATACAACATGATGGCTTGATTTACATATACATTGTTGTAATGTTTACCACAATCAAATTAATCAAGACATCTATCACCACACATAGTTATCCTATTTGTGTGTATTGGGGAGCAGGGTTGAGGATGCTTAAATTCTACTCTTTCTGCAAATTTCAATAAATAATACTGTATTATTAACTGTAGTCATCATGCTGTATCTTAGGTCCCCAGAACTCATTCTTCTTATAACACAAAGCTTACATACTTTGACCAATATCTTCCCATTTCCTCCAGTCCCTGTTCCACATCCTGCTTCTATGAGATGGTGGACTTTTTTAGATTCCATATATAAGTGAGATCATACAGCACTTTTTGTGTGTGGCTTATTTCACTTAGCATAATGTCCTCCAGTTTCATCCACGTTGCTGCAAATGGCAGGATTTTCTTCTTTTTGTGGCTGAATAATATTCCATCACACACACACACACACACACACACACACACACACACATCATTTTCTTTATTCATTCATCCATTGATGGACACTGTATTAGTTTGTTCTCACACTGCTATAAGGAAATACCCAAGACTGGGTAATTTACAAATGAAGAAGGTTTAATTGACTCACAGTTCCACATGGCTGGGGAGGCCTCAGGAAAATTACAATCATGGAGAAAGGGGAAGCAGGCATCTTCATCACAAAGCAGTAGAAGAGAATGTGAGTGCATGTAGGAGGAACTGTCAAACAGTTATAAAACCATCAGATCTCATGGGAACTCACTATCACAAGAACAGCATGAGAGAAACCACCTCCATGATCCAATCACCTTCCACCAGGTCCCTCCCTCCACATGTGAGGATTATGGGGATTACAATCGGGTATGAGATTTGGGTGGGGACACAGAGCCAAACCATATCAGACACCTAGGTTGTTTTCATATCTTGGCTATTGTGAATAATTCTGCAGTGAACATAGGGGTACAGATATCTCTTTGAGATACTTATTTCATTTCCTTTGGATATGTACTCAGAAGTGGGATTGCTGGATTGTACAGTAGTTTTATTTTTAATTTTTAATGGCATCTCCATACTGTTGTGGGTGATGTTCACTCTCCTTCTTGATATCTGTAGCTTAAATACAGTGATGTAAAGTTCACTAGTATTAATGCATGTTGTATTAGATGATGGGGGTTATGAGGGAATGTTTGCTTTATGTATACACAATCAATTACATTCATAACAAAATAAGCAAGAAATACTTGTAACTATTACAGTTCTCATTTCAGCAAGTGGTCACATGGCTGTAGCTGATATATAACTACCTTTTTCTCTACCCGTTTTATATTCTCTTTGCCCTCAGCAAACACCTCAGGTGCTTCAGGATGATGGGGAAACATGGTGAGATCAGTGAATTCCAGGAGAATGGGCCCACTGCCACATTTCATTTGCTGTGAAATGAGTTCCTTAGTTAGAAGCAACGCTAGGTGGAACACCATGATGCTGCTAAGGCATTCTGTAAGTTCATGGACGGTAGTTTTGGCAAAGGCATTGTGTGTAGAGATGGCAAATTTGTATTCAAGGTAAGTATCTGTTCCAGTAAGAACAATTCCCTTCAATGATGGAAGCAGTCCAATGTAATCAATCTGCCACCAGGCAGCTGGCGGATCCCTCCAGGGAATGGTGCCATACTGGGGACTCAGTGTTGTTCTCTGCTGCTGTAGTTGGATACTCAGCAGTGGCTGCAGCCAGGTCAGCCTTGGTGAGTGGAAGTCCATGCTGCTGAGCCCTGTATAATCTCCATCCCTGACAGGATGGCCATTTTGTTCATGAGCCCACTGGACAATGACAGTAGTGGCTAGGGAAAGAAGCTGGCTGGTAGCCATAAAATGGGTCTTAATAGGCTCTGGATTATTAAAATTCTCCTCTGGACCCTCCCAGTGTGAATGAGCGGGTCTTACTTGATAAATCCACTCTGACATCCCAATCCCCTTAAGCCTTTTGATATCTTCCTCTACAATATACCAAGGCAGTTCTGGCATTTCAATTTATTTAGCATAGGACATCTTTTGGTCCATGTTTCAGTCAACCAAACTGTCAGAGCCCTTTCTAACCCCTCAAGCAAACTTGCTGAGTCCAGAATCTCTGCTTGTGAGCCCATATCAATAATTTCAGCCTGCCTTCCTCTTTTTCCTTCTTTCCTTCTTTCTTCCCTTTCTTTTTTATTATAAAGTATTTTGAACAATGAAAAATAAACAGAATAATATAAATTCTCACCATCCAGATTTTTTAAAAAGGATTAACTCAGAGGACTTGTGGTGTTTAAACCCTGCACATTCCAAAGAAAGGCCAGGCCCTTAATTGATTCCTGGGAGATAACCTATAAGCTTGTGGAATATTCTGCCTGATAAAAGTATCTGTATACCAGGGGCTTTGGGCCATGTCAAATAGTTTATGCTAACAACGTGATTTATAGTAAATGCTAGTTTTTGTTCACCTGTGTTATGGCTATATCAGTTTGACTTCCGGGGAGGCAGGCTAGAGACTGAATAGTTAAGGTTGATCATGTGGTTGTTCTGTGCCTATGTGAGTGCCCCTAGGCACCAAGGCTTGGAAGAGTTCCCTTTGTCAACAAAGGGAACTCTGTTACACACAGGTGCTGGGAGAGTTAAGCATTTTCTGTATGACTCCACTGGAAGAGGCCAACTGGAAGCATGTGTCTGGTCTCTCCCAGACTTTGCCCTATAAATTTATTGTTTGATGGTTTGATTAGGTGCCCTATTGCTGTGATATATCATAACCATGAGTATAACAGCTTTTGTGAACCCTCATGAATCATTGAACCTCAGGGTAGCTTTATGGATTCCCAACACAGATGTTAACATTTGCCATATGTTATGCTTCCGATCTTTTTTTGTTTAAAGAAATATATTGGCCAGGTACGGTGGCTCACACCTGTAATCCCAGCACTTTGGGAGGCTGAGGTGGGTGGACCACCGAGGTCAGAAGTTTGAGATCAGCCTGGCCAACATGGCGAAACCCCGTCTCTACTAAAAATACAAAAATTAGCTGGGTGTGGTGGCGTGCACCTGTAATCCCAGCTACTTGGAAGGCTGAGGCAGGAGAATCACTTGAACCTGGGAGGTGGAGGTTGCAGTGAGCTATCACGCCACTGCACTCCAGCCTGGGTGACAGTGAGACTCTGTCTCAGAAAAAAAAAAAAGAAATATATTACAGAAACAGTTTAAGACCGCAATATTTCTCCTCTTTATTTCATTCCCTTCCTCCTTATCCAGAAGTAGCCACAATTCTGAGGTTTGTGAGTGCTTTTGTTTCTGTTTCATATGTGTGTGTATATATAGTTATAAATACGAATGTAATTTTTTTTAGAGATGGGGTCTCACAGTGTTTGCCCAAGCTGGACTCAAACTCCTGGAGTCAAGGGATCCTCCCAGCCTAGCCTCTTGAGTAGCTGGGACTTCAGGCACAAACCACATGCCTGGCTGATTTTTACATTTTTAATTCATATGTGTGCATTTATAAATAATACATAGTATAATTTTTATTTTTTTGAGACACAGTCTTGCTGTGTTGCCCAGGCTGAAGTGCAGTGGTGTGCTCTCAGCTCACTGCAGCCTCCACCTCCCAAGTAGCTGGGACTACAGGCAGGTGCCCCCATGCCCAGCTAATTTTTGTATTTTTAGTGAGGCATGGTTTCGCCATGTTGTCCAGGCTGGTCTTGAACTCCTGACCTCAGGTGATCCACCTGCCTTGGCCTCCCAAAGTGCTGGGATTACAGGCATGAGCCTGGCCAATACATAGTATAATTTTGTATGTGTTTTATTTTTAATATAAATGGGATCATATTATAGCATGTGGCAGCCATAACAGTATACCTCTGGGTCTCTGATTATGAAGAGTATAACTGACTGAGTACCCCAGCTGCTATGCTCTGAAATCCACAACCATATTCATATTGAGGCCACATTTGCTGAGGGCTATGCTTAGCCAGTGATGACCATGGCAGGAATACTGAAGTGGGCCTATTCTTGGGAGACAAGGGACCCCTATGACAGGTGACATTGACTTGAGGATGCCCTGTCTTCTTTGCCAAACTTTCTTAGAATTGCACTGTAGTCTAAGAACCTTCCACCAGAGCTTTCCTCCTTCCCTCTCTGCTTCACAAGAGTCAGATCTACAGCATAGTTTGACAACTCCTGGCCTCCTTGAACTCCAGCCCTACTTTCCCTCACAGGTATTTCCTTTCATTAAACCTTATAAAATTTCTTGCATGTCTAATCCCGTCTTGGCATCTGCTTCTCACAGGCCCTGAATCACCAATTTTATTTTCAGTTTGCTTTTTTTTTTTTAAACTCTACATTGTATTTTTGAGATTTATCCATGTTGTTACACGTATTCCTAGGTCATCTATTTTAACTGCTGCATAGTGTTTCATTATATAAATGTACCACAACTCATTTATCCATTTCCTCATTGCTTCAAATTTTTATTTATTAAAAAAGCCATTGCATAGAATGTCCCTGTGTGCAACTGGTGCACATGTGCAAGGGTTTCTTTGGTGTATATTCCTAAGAGGAATAGATGAGTCAAAATTATATGCATGTTCTCTACTAGGTATTGCAACTTGCTCAACACAGTGGTAGTATCAATTTTCCCTCTCATGAGTCACGTATGAAAGTTTCCATCTCTTTTCCATTTTTGCCAACACTGTTATTTATTGTTAGACTTAAAAATTTTGGAGTGCTAGGCCAAAATGCAAACAACTTAAATGCCTAGGGAATGATAACTGGATAAAGAAAATATGTTATATCCATACAATTGAGTAATATTAAGTTGTAAAAGTACTGATACATGCTACAACATAGATGAAACCTGAAAACAGTATGTGTTCCCAGCTAAATTATAGGCAAGTTAAGTCTAAGGACCATATATTTATACAACTTTGTATCCTGCATAGTTTTAAGCACTGTGCTGAACAGTTAGACATAACGTGTAAGTACTTTTGACTGCTCTTAGTACATCTCCTTAACATCTGCATCATTCCTAATAAATAAGTGGGTAAAAATTTGGTTTATTAAGGATTCTAATTAGTTAAATTATAGTAATTGATATCTTATTATACATTAAACTTCTTTTTAAATTGTTGCCCTATTTTACATTAGGTCTTCTGACTTTTTAACCATTTAATCTTAATGACTGGCTTGGGCTGCTCATAAAAGTAATGGCCCATTCATTTATTTTATCCATCTCAATAACTGATGCAGTCATTGAAACCAGTGGTTCAACTGGTGTGACTGACATGGAAAGTAAATATAGCAGAAAGAAGTACAACAATCATTCCAGAGCCTGGTTTCTATACTGCAGTGTTGTGATCCTCAGAATAAAAGCATTTCTAGGAAGCCCTCTTAGGGGCCAGGGACACCCAAAAAAGGAGGGTCTGGGTCCTCTTTTCTCATTTTAACTAGAGTCATTAGTCTCTTTTACCTACTAAGATTCCTCATAAGGTACTGTTTGAGCAATAGCTTTTCAGACTAAAAACAAATTTTGAAAATTATCTGCCAATTGTATAAACATGACCAAAGTCGTCTTAGTTCTCAAGTGTATCATCATTCATTCATTCATTCGCTCTTTCATTTATTAATTTATTCAACAAAATTTTAGAGCAATATATGTGCTAAGTAATAATTTAGACTCTGTCTCTCTCCTTAACAGCACCAACAGCTGGTTGTTCTGGATGCAATAATTTATGCCTAGTGATAGAAAACAAACATAATTTGCAAGGTTTCTTTCTTATTCTCTTATTCCAGCTTATACAGTTTTCTCTTCCCTTGTTCTTGAGATAACAAAATCAATGAGAATAATTAATGTTTGACAAGTTTGCAGTCACAATAACAGTAAAATAAAATATGGTTAATGTCCAGAATTTGGCTAAGAGATAAGAAAATATCACCCTTCAAAATTAAAATTGACCCCTGTATTAGTTTGCTTTCACACTGCTATAAAGATACTTCCCTGAGACTGAGTAATTTATAAAGGAAAGAGGTTTAATTGACTCACAGTTCCACATAGCTGGGGAAGCCTCAGGGAACTTAGCAATCATGGTGGAAGGGGAAGCAGTCACTTTCTCCACAAGACAGCAGGGAAGAGATGAGCAAAGGAGGAACTTCCAAATACTTATAAAACCATCAGATCTTGTGAGAACTCACTCACAATCATGAGAAAAGCATGGAGGAAACTGCCCCTGATCCAGTCACCTCCCTCCTTTGACACGTGGGGATTACAGGTCCCTCCCTTGAGACATACGGATTACATTTCAAGATGAAATTTGGGTGGGGACACAGAGCCAAACCATATCATTCCACTCCTGGTCCCTCCCAAATCTCATGTCTTTTATACATTTCAAAACCAATCACGCCTTCCCAACAGTCCCCTAAAATCTTAACTCATTCCAGCATTAACTTAAAAGTCCAAGTCCAAAGTTTCAGCTGAGACAAGTCAAATGTGTTCTGCCTATGAGCTTGTAAAACCAAAAGCAAGTTAGTTACTTCCTAGATGCAACGGGGGTAAAGGCATTGCCTAAATGTTCCCAGTTAAGATGGGAGAAATTGGCCAAAACAAAGGGGCTACAGGCCCCATGCAAGTCCAAAATTGAACAGGGCAGTCATTAAATCTTACAGCTCCAAAATGATCTCCTTTGACTCCATGTCACACATCCAGTTCACATTGATGCAACAGATGGGCTCCCACAGTCTTTGACAGCTTCACCCCTCCTGGCTGCTTTCACAGGCTGGTATTGAGTGTCTGTGGCTTTTCCAGGTGCATGGTGCAAGCTGTTGGTGGATCTACCATTCTGGGGTCTGGAGGATGGTGACCCTCTTCTCACAGCTCCACTAGGCAGTGCCCCAGTGGGGACTCTGTGTGGGGGCTCCAACTCCACTACCCTAGCAGAGGTTCTCCATGAGGGTTCCACCCCTGCAGCAGACTTCTGCCTGGACATCCAGGCATTTCCATACCTCCTCTGAAATCTAGGCGGAGGTTCCCAAACCTTGATTCTTGACTTCTGTGCACCTGCAAAACCAACACCACATGGAAACTGCCACGGCTTGGGACTTGCTCCCTCAGAAGCAAGGCTGGAGGTGTACCTTGGCCCCGTTTAGACATGGTTGGAGCTGAAGCAGCTTGGACACAGGGCGCTATGTCCTAAGGCTGCACAGAACAGCAAGGGCCCTGGGCCTGGCCCAAGAAACCACTTTTTCCTCCTAGGCCTCCAGACCTGTGAAGAGGGGGGATGCCGTGAAGATCTCTGACATGCTCTGGAGACACTTTCCCCATCTTCTTGGCGATTAACATTCAGCTCTTCATTACTGTGAACTCCAAATATCTGAGACAAGTATCAGTTAATTTAGAAAGTTTATTTTGCCAAGTTGAGGATGTGTACCCATAACACAGCCTCAGGAGGTCCTGACGACATGTGCTCAATGTGGTTGGGGTATAGCTTGGTTTTATACAATTTAGGGAGACATCAGACTTCAGTTTATATGTGTAAGATATACATTGGTTTTTCCAGAAAGGCGGGACAACTGGAAGCACGGAGAGGGCTTCCAGGTTACCGGTACATGAGAGACAAATGGTTGCATTCTTTTACATTTCTTATTAGCCTTTCCAAAGGAGGCAATCAGATATGCATCTATTTCAGTGAGCAGAGGGATGACTTAAATAGAATCAGAGGCAGGTTTGCCCTAAGCAGTACCCAGTTTCACTTTTCCCTTTAGCTTAGTGATTTTGGGGCCCAAATATTTATTTTCCTTTTACTTTACTTGTGGAAATTTCTGCAGCCAGGTTGAATTCCTCCCCAGAAAATTGATTTTTTTCTACCTCATGGTCAAGCTGAATATTTTCCAAACTTCTATGCTCTGCTTCCTCTTGAATGCTTTGCCGCTTAAAATTTCTTCTGCCAGATACCCTAAATTATCTTTCACAAGTTCAAAGTTTCACAGATCTCTAGGGCAGGGGCACAATACGGTCAGTCTCTTTGCTAAAGCATAGCAAGAATGACCTTTACTCCACTTCCCAATAAGTTCCTCATCTCCATCTGAGACCACTTTCACCTGGACTTCATTGTCTGTACCACTATCAGCATTTTGATCAAAACTATTCAACAAGTCTCTAGGAAATTTCAAATTTTGCCACATCTTCCTGTCTTCTTCTGAGTCTTCCAAACTGTTCCACTTCTGCCTGTTATCCAGTTCCAAAGGCACATCCACATTTTTGGGTACCTTTATAGCAGTACCCCACCCTCTGTAGTAGCAATTTATTGTATTAGTCTGTTTTCACACTGCTATAAAGAACTTCCTGAGACTGGGTAATTTATAAAGGAAAAAGGTTTAATTGACTAACAGTTCTGCCTGGCCGAGGAGGCCTCAGGAAGCTTACAATTACCATGGAAGGGGAAGCAGGCACCTTCTTCACAAGTCAGCAGGAAAGAGATGAGCAAAGGAGGAACTTCCAAACACTTACAAAACCATCAGAACTCACTCACTGTCATGAGAACACATGAAGGAAACCGCATCCATGATCCAATCACCTCCCTCCCTTGACGTGTGGGGATTACATTTTGAGATGAGATTTGGGTGGAAACACAGAGGCAAACCTTAACAACCTCTAACTCTGTCTTATCCAATTCCCTGAGCCTAGCAGCTTCTAGGGCAGGGGTCGTGGGCTCCAGAGGGTTCCAGCTAGAAAATGTTACAGTGCTTTTTAATTTCTGAGGCCAATGAGAGACTTGAGACCAGCATTGCATACTCCATGTTGAGATCCTGGGGACAGTTGGCCTTAAAGGTCCTTGACCTTCAATGGAAAGGTCAACATTGGTCATGGAATTGTGCTTATTCTTTTTGGCCTCCAGGAAATGGAGGAGGAAGTAAATGGTGGGCTGATTCCTCTCTGCATTGTGGTGGAGGGTGAAGAATAGGGAGCAAATGATTTCATGCTTATGCTTTGAAGGAGGACTGAAAACCTGTCTGTTGTTACACAGGTCCTTCCACTTATTGTGATTGTCCTCATTTAAGGTGTCAGCAGTTATACCAAAGTCCCAATGGACAGAGGAAAAAAAAATCACAGCACGTCTAAGCAGGCCTAACAGTGGAAAAAGATAAAGGGGATAATCAATCAGAATAGGTCTCTAATGACATAGAGATGCTGGATGAGATAGACAAGAACTTGACCAAAGCAGTAATTAGAACACTTAAAGGCTTTGAGTAAATCACAAATTAGGTTTCCTAGAAATAAAAAAGCATACTCCAAATAAAAAATCCAATATGTGACTTGTAGGAAGGGAATGGCTACTTACATAATCAGGAAAGAACAATACTCCTATATTTTCATCTTGAAAAAATATGTTGAGAATCTACTATGTGCTTGGCACTGTGCTAAGTACTGAGGATAAGTGGCAACAAGAAAAATCATGATTTTACCTTCCTGGAGCCAAAAGACTTGAGAATGACAAAAGGGGTGGTCAGAGAAGACTGTTCTGAAAAACGACATAATAATTAAATTTTAAAATAGAATGAAGCTCAGAGAAAAAAAAGTGTAATGGATGAGAGTGTTCACTTATTTGAAGTTATCTAAGATAGATGAAATGTAAATATGCCACTTATGTTGTCCAGTGATCATCAAGGAACTAAGGAGTCTTCCAAATTCCATTAAGTAAAGTAAAGTGTAAATAATAGAATAATGGCCACAATACAATTAATTTCATTACAACCAAGGATATTTCATAATATGAGTGCAGTGGATTGACAGCAATGAACATTTTTTAAACATGTGTACCATGCACTGTGCAAAGCACTGCATTTATTGTCTTATTCGGTCTCTTTAAAGTAGCTTCTCTTCTGGAGGCTGAGGTAGGAGTATCACTTGGACCCAGGAGTTGGAGGCTGCAGTGATCTGTGATCATGTTACGGCACTCCAGCCTAGGTGACTGAGAGAGACCCTATCTGAAAAATAAATAAAATAAAATAAAAACATAAAGTAGCTTCTCTACCTCTCCCATTTTATGCATGAAAAATGGAGGGGCAGAATATTTACATGTTTGTCCATTCACAAAGCTAGTAAGTAGCTGAGTCAGGATTCAAATACAAGTATTTCTGACTGCAGTGAATTAGTATCCACTACCCCATACTCCTCTAACCTGGAGTCTTGAGAGTCAAAGAAGTGCGGCCGGGCGGGGTGGCTCATGCCTGTAATCCCAGAACTTTGGGAGCCTGAGACAGGCGGATCACGAGGTCAGGAGATCCAGACCATCCTGGCTAACACAGTGAAACCCCGTCTCTACTAAAAATACAAAAACAAAATTAGCCGGGCGTGGTGGTGGGCGCCTATAGTCCCAGCTACTCGGGAGGCTGAGGCAGGAGAATGGTGTGAACCCGGGAGGCGGAGCTTGCAGTCAGCCGAGATCGTGCCACTGCACTCCAGCCTGGTCAACAGAGCGAGACTCCGTCTCAAAAACAAAACAAAACAAAACAAACAAACAAAAAAACAAAGAAAGTGCACACATTCTTGTGTCTCTGGCATGGTTTTGGGAGAAGCCTGATGTTCTGACAACCAGTGGAAAAAGAAATTACATTTTTTTGAGCCTATTAAACAGTTCACTCGGCAGACTGCTGTACTTTGCTGAAAATACCCCTTTTAAAGGTAATTCAGTTTTCTTGTCTTTAATTCTGGACTCTCAATCAATATATTGTTTTTTTATCTTTAATGTGTTTTTTGAGTGAACTTGGATCCTGTGAATATGATTGCTGGCTTTTCTAACAGATATACTTCCCTTTGTAATTTTTTTTTTTTTTTTTTTTTTTTGAGATAAGTTCTCACCTAGGCTGGAGTACAGTGGCACAAGCACAGCTCACTGCAGCCCCAGCCTCTGGGGCTCAAGCGATCCTCCTACCTCAGCCTCCCAAGTAGCTGGGACTACAGGTGTGTGCCACCATGCCCGGCTAATTCTTTGCATTTTTTTGTAGAAACAAAGGTCCTGCTGATACGGAAGGGAAGCTCTGGGAAGGGAAGGGCTTGGTCCCTTTAAATGAAAGGGGGAGGCGTGGTCCCTGGCTAGGTCTCCATCCGCCCGCCGCCCCACACCTGTGCCTATGGACCTAGGTGAGGACAGGCATTTTTGTTTTCCTGCCCAAATGTTGCATTTCCCAAGACCACCCTGTCCTGCCACGTCCCCATCCTGTGCCTATAAAAACCCCAAGACCCTAGCAGGCAGAGACAAGCAGTTGGATGTCTAGAGGACGTTGAGAGGAGCGCCAGCAGGCAGGCAGGCTATCTACTGGCGGAATGCGGTGGAGTTTGGCTGGGGAAGTTGGACGAGAGCCCAGGGGAAAACCATCTCTCTTCTGGCTCCCCCATCTGCTGAGAGCTACTTGCACTCAATAAAACCTTGCACTCATTCTGCAAGCGCAGGTGTGATCCAATTCTTCCAGTACACCAAGGCAAGAACCCCGGGATACCGAAAGCCCTCTGTCCTTGAGATAAGGCAGGGGTCTATTGAGCTAGTTAACACAAACCACCTACAGACAGCTAAAGTAAAAGAGCACACTGTAACACACGCCCACTGGGGCTTCAGCTGTAAACATTCACCCCTGGACACTGCCGTGGGGTCGGAGCCCCACAGCCTGCCTGTCTGTATGCTCCCATAGAGGGTTGAGCAGCGGGGCCCTGAAGAAGCGAGCCACACGCCCATTGCACGCCCTGCGAGGGGGACAAGGGAACTTTTCCCGTTTCACTGCCATGTTGCCCAGGCTGGCCTTTGTAATTCTTAAATTGGCTTTTTATGAATGTAGTTAGTAGGAATCATTTCTCAGACCTATTCATGGCTTTTAAAATGTAATTTTTAAAATTTTAATTTTTTTTTACTTTTAAAGCAAAAGACAGACACCCTGTAAAACAGTCTCAGTAGTCATCTCTTGTACTTTATTATACATTTATCTTAATGAAGAAATTTTCCATAAGTGGATGTGTTCAGATAAAATAAATATGGCCTATACATTCAGAAGTGATACGATAACTGTCGTTTTAAAATACAAACATAAAATAAGCATGCACAAAAACATAAGTGAATTATGTGGACTCCACAGAGGATTGCACAGAAGAGACAGAAAGAAAGCTTATTTGGGTGTCCTCTCAGCTAATACATTAACAATTTGCCTTCAAAATTTTATTCTCTCAGGCCTCACTTAAGTTTGGCCTCAAAAAGGAGGTTTATGTACAGAGAGGTTTGTATGGTACATATTAAGGTCTTTGTATTTTTTAACTAAACTCATTCTACTAGATAAATTCATTGTTACAGGTAGTTAGGCATGAGCTGGGCAGGAAAAGGCTCTCCTCACACCCATTAGGAATGTCAGGTGATGGTTCAGCGATTATCTCTAAAAATAACTTGGCAGTGCTAGGGAGAGGCCATTTCCTGATGGTCCACACCTGTTAACATCAAAATGTTAATTGAATGCAGGCCTCAGGGAGAAGCAACTTCCTGGGCATGCGTGTTAAGAGACAAACATGGTGAAGTATGATCTTCTGGGTACACTCCACTGGAAAACTAAAGAGAGCCTCAGATGGGCGTGCATATAACTCACCAAACACACTGTGCATGCTCACTTCCCAAGGGTAAGGAGGGCTTTGCATGTACTGGAAGCCCATCGTAAGGAAAGAATCATGAAAAAGAGGTGAGCTCACAGTTAAAAGGGGGCACTTGACAGTCTCTCTTTCACCTTCACATGCCCGTTTAGGTCTCTTCCAAGCTCACTTTCCTTTCTTTCCTGTTCTAAGCCCTTTTTCTTTCTGCTCTGAAACCTCCCTCTTTTTCTGCTTTATGTCCTTCAGTCAAATTTTTTCTGCTGAGGAGGCAAGGACCGAAGTTGCTACGGACCGTAAGGATACGCTGCCAGTAACTTGGGGTTACTTGGATCTCTTCCACTGCTAGCACCATTACTATGAGGAAGCCAAGGCCCAGATGAGGAAGCCAAGGCCCAGAGAAGGTAAGTGGCCCAAGATCACACAGCTAGTAAGAAGCAGAGCTGGGCTTGCACCTCAGACTCTTAAGTGTTCAGTTGTTTAACCATCACAATCTTCTTCCTTTTTATCTTCCGTTTCCCTGAGAATATTCAGATCCTGGGCTTCTGTCTCCTTCCTGTGAATTTTCTCTGGGGAACTTCCCCTTCTCTTTCTCCTGTTATGCAGAGGAGTCTCCTAATTCCCTAAGTGTGCACTTTAGAATCTCACTCCCACTTCAAGCATTAAAATATTTCCCTCTGTGAGAGGAATTTTGGCGAGTTTCACTGTTCTCCACCTTTTTGCCTAGATGAAATGGAAAGCGATATACAGGAAGGTCTCTGCTGCAGGAGAGGGTAGGGACCATCCCTTTGAGGGAGGCTCTTGAATTGCAGGATCTCCTCAGATTACATCTGGGAACCAGCGATTAGTCTGATGTGGTCATTTAAGATGAGACGACTTGTGTTAGGCCAGGTCTCACTAAGGCAGGCCTCCATAACAACTGTTTCAGCACTGACTGAGTGGTTAAGTTAAATGTTAAAAGCTGAGAAAGTCAGTGCCCTTATACAAAGGCTGGAATGTAACAAAAGCCCACCAAGAGTTTTGCCCAGGCCTTAAAGCATGGCAAGATAATGAAGGAATTCTTAACGGGATCTATTTAGGATTAAACAAGTTTTACTGGGGGTCTGAAGAGACTCCCCAGGCCTCCACAAACAAGTTTTATTAGGGGTCTGAAGGAACTCCCCAAACCTCCATGATTTAGCAGGAGACAAGATAAGGGTAATCTCCCCAGCACCTGAACCCATTTAGATTAAGTAAATCTACTGAGGCTCCAGAGGAAGGTCTTCAGGATTCAGATCTTAGTTACAGGTTAAAAGAAGTTAGTGCACACTTACACGTAGACATATGGCTTAGAAGGTGTATAAGCTCTGGAAAACTTTGTAATTTTGGGTTGGTCTGGCAATATTTTTCAGGCCTTCTCCCTGTAACCAGTTACAGAAATAAAAACTCCCTCCTTTCCCAGTTCACCTGCATCTCATTATTGGCCCACAAGAATAAGCAGTCCGACCCTCGGTTTAGTCTGGGAACAGACTGACATCTAGAGAAGTGAGACAACATCCCCCGGATTTCACAACTAGACAAGTGCCTGAGGCAGGACTAGAACCCGTAACTCATTCATAATTCTACAAGTCAAATGGAACCCAGGACCGTGACTTAAGGCTTGGACCTCTGCAGCTTTTCAGCTTTTGGGCTCCCGACCCCCAGAGGTCAAAGCTGTTTTTGTAGTCAAACACTTCAGAAAGGGTCCAATCCATTTCCTGGTATGATAATTAATGGGAAGCAGCTGTCTTCTCTTTTATTTAAAATGGAATTTATAGGAGTGATATGGGGATTAATATTTATAAAGTATTTTTAAGAGGCAGAAGCACTGTGATTATTCAATAGAGTGTAGAGTTATTGGATAGTGACATGAATCAATCTCTTGAAATCTTCTTAAGTAGGCAAAATGAATATGACAAAGGACCTGATCAAAAGCCCAAAATAGACGTCAGGTGCACATCGATGCATCCTGTCAGGCTTGCCAGCATTTTAGAAAAGTCACAGGTATCACTCTTCCTGTGAGTCCCCTTCGAGTGTAGCTTCTTACGGGTATAAAACCTTGAGACTCATGGGCAGCTGTTGCTCATGCTCACCTAATTGTTCTTAGCATGATGTTACTTTAGCAGAAACTGGCCAGCTCCCCAAAGTAATGTCGATTTTTCCTGAAGATTTAATGGGGAATGGAGAAGGGAGTTTAAATTACATATACTGCAGCAATGCTTAGTAAAATATATTACATCTCTGATCTATTCCCAAAGTTGCTTTCTGGTTGACAGATCCTCATGCCCACACCCTTATCTTTCCCACAGCCTTCAAAACCTCATCTATCTTCTGGAGCCCTTCGGCTCTTTCCATACCTCATTTTGCAAAACAAAGCATGATAGCTAGCCAGCCTTATGCCCTTGAGAAATCAATTCAGGTTCAGGGACTATCTATTATTTCTCAAACCTGTCCTTGAAGCTTTAGTACTCCTAGGCTACACACCCATACAGCATGGTACCAGAGTACTATAGGCAATTGTAACAGAATGGTATTTGTGTATCTAAACAGTTCTAAACATAGAAAAAGTACAGTAAAAATATGGTATTATAATCATTATAATCTTTTTTTTTTTGAGACATAGCCTCCCTCTGTCGCCAAGGCTGGAGTGCAGTGGCACGATCTCGGCTCACTGCGACCTCTGCCTCCTGGGTTCAAGCGATTCTCCTGCCTCAGCCTCCTGAGTAGCTGGAATTACAGGCGCGCACCACCACACCGGGCTGATTTTTGTATTTTTAGTAGAGACAGGGTTTCACCATGTTTGTCAGGCTGGTCTCGAACTCCTGACCTTGTGATTGGCCCGCCTCGGCCTCCCAAAGTGCTGGGATTACAGGCGTGAGCCACTGCACCTGGCCTTGGTATTATAATCTTATGAGACCACCATCGTATATGTAGTCTGTCATAACTGAAACATCTCATTACATGGTACATGACTATATTAACATCCAAAAAGATATATGGTGAGGATGGGGGAGGAAAGAGGGAGGCAATTCTACTGTTAAAAGAAATAGGATTTTCTTCTTTTTCTCCATGTGCTAACATCTGGATTTGTCCTCCCATATTTAGATTTAGCTGGTACCCAGAGTCAATCAGTTAAACTTAAGATTTGATTTGGGATAAATAACATAAAGCAATATTATAAAACCAGTGCCTAAATTTCTTCATCTTTTTGTTTTGTTTTGTTTTTTTGGTTTTTTGGTTTTTTTTTTTTGAGACAGAGACTTGCTCTGTCACCCAGGCTGGAGTGCAGTGGTGTGATCTCGGCTCACTGCAAGCTCCGCCTCCCAGGTTCATGCCATTCTCCTGCCTCAGCCTCCTAAGTAGCTGGGACTACAGGCGCCCGCCACCATGCCTGGCTAATTTTTTAAATATATTTTTAGTAGAGACGGGGTTTCACCGTGTTAGCCAGGATGGTCTCAATCTCCTGACCTCGTGATCCATCCGCCTCAGCCTCCCAAAGTGCTGGGATTACAGGCGTGAGAATTTCTTCATCTTTTAAGGCATCCCAATAGATACTTTTACTTTCAAATAATTTGTGAAAAGAGTTTAAGAAACTGCAATTGAATAACTGAA
This sequence comes from Homo sapiens, assembly GCF_000001405.40. Classification (NCBI taxonomy): domain Eukaryota; kingdom Metazoa; phylum Chordata; class Mammalia; order Primates; family Hominidae; genus Homo; species Homo sapiens. The sequence goes on from NC_000002.12 coordinate 152,795,989, forward strand.
ACTGTATTGATAGTAAAGTATTATAAATATATCCAAAAAATGTGATTACATACTAACAAAACAATATAAAGAGTGGTCTAAGAACAAATGAATAGAAATTGAGTGAAAAATAACATTTGAAGGTTGTTTAAAATAAGGAGTAAACTTATCTTTGAGGGCATTTTATTTAGAATTCATAACATTGAGAGATGATGAAGCAGAGAAGACAAGGTTTATAATTTGGATCCATATGTTTTATATGAACTTGGTTTGAAACAAATACAAGCAAAATATAAATTAGAGAGAAAGTATAACATTAAACACTACAAAATAGGCCATAAGGTTAAAATTAAGAAAATGTTTATAAAGTTGACTCATCAAGTGATATTCAATATTCAAAATAGGAACAATGAAACACCCTCTTGTAAGTATTCAAGAGTTTATTTTTAGTAGATAATTATGAAATTGAATAGATCACTGAGCTCACTGGGAAGCCATACTCATTAGGCTCATTATCTTAACAGGACTTATTCAAAGGTAAACATGCTTGATGTGGCCCATCTACATGTGGCTTTTAGAAGGAGATGTAAAGACCAAATTGCCACCAATGACAAGTTGTTAGTGCTTTGGGCAGGATGATCCTTCTAACTGTTTCAAATTTAAAATGCTGGCATATCTGATTCTATGGGAACTATTTTACTACTCTGAAATGCGTACATAACTGATAGCAATGTACAATAGTTGTCTATAGACCTGCAAACTCTATTCTGTAGAGGATTCAATTGACTTTCCTCCCCTCACTGAGGAATTTAGTTAGTTTTGCCTCCACCATTTGCACATTCATTTCAAGATTTCTTATCTATAAATGTCTGTTCTTTGAATTCTTCTTTTACTGGTTATAACATCTTATTAATTCTCTCATTGATGAGTTAAAGGAAGTTTTTAACGTGTTCATTTTTATATCTGTGTGAAAGTCACAGTTTTACTATTTTAAAAAATTGTCCTTTAAGATTACTTAGGAAACAAAATTCCTGTACACTCAATTAGTCAAAATGAGTGAAGAGAACATCTATTTCAATGGCATGCTATATTTTCCCACACTGATTAAACATATTTTCTGCTTAGTGAATATGTTAAAGAAGTTTCTGCTCTAATTAGTTTCTCACTCATCAATCATTTTCAGTCTGATTGTCTTCTCTGCAGGGGATGCAGGGAAGTAGGGTTTACCCAAGTGTAATCTTGGTAACTGCATGCTAACGGTTCATTTTGCACTGCAACTGCTTTTCCTTTTTCATAGGCCAGATCCTATTCTGTGAAGTATAGAACTGAGTCTTCTATTAATCTCATAGCTGCCAACTATGAGATTAATAGAATAAAATATGAAGGCCCTTTTCTTTCCTGAATGATGGGAAGAATTCTGGTGTGTCAAGTGAGTCATCACGCAATAAGCATTTAAGCACCTAGTATACGTTGAGGCCCCTGCAAGATGCTATTGGAGGAAACCAAAATATTCCTCTCTAAAATATGAGGATTCTTGGGCTAAAGAAGGTTGAAACGCAGGAGTGGACACTCTGCCCCTTCTTCTGCTTGCCTGATGGCAGGGCAGTGATTTACAAAGACAAAAGGTCATCCTGTCTCCTTTCTGCCTTTTTCCACCTCAAGACAGGCCCCTTTGCCACACTTGCTTATCAGCTTAGATACAGTAATGCTAGGGAATCTAGGAGCAGACTTTACTCCTTTCATAAGTGTACATTCCCATATTTCCACACATTTGGGAAGCCTGAAGATACTCACTTCTTTGTCTTGTCATTGTAGGATTTATGGGTCATTGTTTAAGCAAGGCCCCTAAGCCACTGCCCTGAGAGAGGAATAATTTTGAACGGAGGCCACTCCTGCATGATGGGTACAGAACATGTCAATAGACCTCTGCTGACTTTTCTCTTGTAAATCTGTCTGTTCTCAGGAGAGTGTCACAACTAACAACCTAGAGGGAAAGAAAAGAAATTGTGTTTTTTCCCCTGTACTATGACGTATAAGACAAGACACCTTTCCTCAACATGTTTACAATCCAGTTGGCAAGAGAAAATTAAGGTGTAAGAAAACAGAAATCAATATGTCAATTTAAGATAATGAAAAGGATCAGAATGTAGTTTAAAGAGAGTTTATTCAAGGGTAAAGTTTGAAGGTGGGCCACCTAGGAAGCATGGATTTCAAGGAATGAAGGTGAGTATTCCCAAGTGTAGAAGTTTGAGATAATTTATATAGACAAAGTTTAGGGAAGTTTAATAGAATTTTAATATCTCTTAATGTAAGGCTTAATGTGTGGTTATAATGATCTGATTAGTCAAGGTGGTCTTTTTCTTTTGGTAAAGGAATATTTAACATTCTATGCTGAAGATGCAATGTCATGGGGTCTTGGGTGCCATTTGGTCTGAGGTAAGTACAGGACAAAAAAGGAGGCAGTTAATCTCTAAGAAAGACTAGTGATTGGAAGGGTGAGGGTCTGTGCTCTGGTTTCTCTTAGTCATTTACAGAACAAGGACAATGAGGAAGAGAACTAAGCTATAATCTAAGCAGCTGAATTGTAAACATGCTATGTGACTCAGTCTCCAGGACTTAACCTCTCCCTTGGCACAATAAGTTTAGAGGACCCTTCAATTTCATTTATGTATTTAAGAAATAAAATACTAAATTGGTGAATATTAAGAATGCAGTAGAAGATCAAACAAAGGAATAATCAGCATGGACTGGAGTATTCAGGGAAGGCTTCCTGAAGGAGGTAATATTTGAGCTGCTATTTAAAGATGTTATGGTCTGAATGTTTGTGTATCATAGAAATTTATGTTAAACCTAGTCTCCAATGTGTCGGTATTAAGAAGTGGGGCCTTGGAAAGATGATTAGGTCATGAGGGCTAATCTTTCATGAATGGAATTAGTGCCTCTATAAAAGAGGTCCCAGAGAGCTGCCTTGTCCCTTCCTGTAACTGCTCAGTGGGTTCTCTCTGCCTGCTGCCTAGACAGAGCCAATTTATCAAGACAGGAGAATTGCAATAGAGAGTTTTATTCATGCAGAGCCAGTTGTATTGGAGACTGGAGTTTTTTTATTACTCAGATCAGTCTCCCTGAAAACTCAGGGATCAGGATTTTTAAGGATAATCTGGTGGTAGGGGGCCAGTGAGTTGGGAGTGCTGAATGGTTGGTTTGGAGATGAAATCATAGGGAGTTAAAGCTGTCCTCTTCCACTGAGTCAGTTCTTTGGTGGGAACCACAAGACCAGATGAGCCAGTTTATTGATCTGGGCAGTGTCAGCTGATCCACTGGGTACTGGATCTGCAAAATATCTGAAGCATTGATCTTAGGTTTTACAATAATGATGTTATCCCTAGGAACAATTTGGGGAGGTTCGGAATCTTACAACCTCCAGCTGCATGACTCCTAAACCATAATTTCTAATCTTTTGGCTAATCTGTTAGTCCTATAAAGGCAGTCTAGTCCCCAGGCAGGAACGGGGCTTGTTTCGGGAAAGGGCTGTTATTGTCTTTGTTTCAAAGTTAAGATAAACTATAAAAGTTAAACTATGGTACAAACTGTAAGTTCTTCCCAAAGTTAATTTGGCCTACACCGAGGAATGAACAAGGACAAGTTGGAAGTTAGAAGCAAGATGTAGTCAGTTAGGTCTGATCTCTTTCACTGATATAATTTTCTCACTTATAATTTTTGCAAAAATGGTTTCAATCCTCCTTGTGAGGATACAATGAGAAGACCACAATCTATGAACCAGGAAGAGGGCCCTCACCAGACACTGAATCAGCCAGTGCCTTGATCTTGGACCTACCAGCATCCAGAAGTATAAGAAATATGTTTATGTTGCATACTTTAAGCCACCCAGTTTATGGTATTTTGTTACAGCAGCCTGAACAAATTGGGTTTGTTATATCCAATTCAGCCTGAGCTGAAATTGGATATAAATGTTAGGGGTGGAGGTTAATCATTTTAAACAGGGATTTTTAGCCCAGGATCCATGTTTGTACTTCAGGAAATCCCTAAAATTGTTTTCAAGATTTTGGGCATATTTGTGCTGGTGCATTTTTTTTTCATGATTGGGTTCATCATCTTTATCAGCTTCTCAAAGGGGTCTGTGACTACTCAAAAGTAAAGACCCAGGAGGTGGCAAGACATTACAGTTAATGTCATCTCAACACTTGTAGTCGTGAACACCAGCTAGTTGTCATGGGTAGCAATCAACTGGGGCAGGCAGCAGGGGCAGTAAAGGAATTTACCAAAAACAGTTGTTGGTAAAGAAAGGCAGATTTAGTAGAGAAGGTAGAAAACTATGAAACTATGTTGCAAGAAAGCAATGGGAAGATCAGCAAGAGAGGAGCTGACTGCAGAGGCAAAGGCTTGCTGGGGATTATATAGACTGATGCTTGTGCTGGGGAGGGCTATGGGCAGTACTGATAACGCCAAGGTTGCAGGGGGCTAACTTGCATTTTTCTATGAGCCAAGGGTCTAGTGATAAGTTGGGCACAGGGAGATTCTGAGTATTTGTGCAGGAAGGCTGTGTGTCCTGGACCATGAAGAAGGGCAGACTTATAGCTTATCTGCTTTTTCTTTTTACTTTCTTCTGCTCCGGCCTGCCTGATGCCTTTTCCCTTATTAGGACTCCACAATAGTGAAGGAGCCTGCCCAGGGAATTTCACCCCAAAATATGGCACCCTAGTATAATAAGTATTTTCAATTAAAGGCCCTTGGAGATGCTAGAGTAAACATTTCTCTTATCTGTGTAAAGATGACCTGCCAAGGAGAACAATTACTTTCCAACCCCTCCCTGAAATCTTGTTATCTATCTCAGAAAAAAAGATCTGGATGGACCTTTTCACAAGATAAGATCTGTATTTTGGGCTCATTCAAATTTCAACGAGAGCCATTTACAGGTTATTTCTGTCTCCCCTCTCCCGTTGATTCTCCCTAATAACCATTTATGGATTCTCAAAACAATTACCTACATTTCCAATCTTCCCCCTCTGCTATAAAGAAAGATATGAGTAATTGGGCCTCATTAGGTTAGTGAGTAAACACTCTTCTGTGATTTCCCCTCAGGCACATTAAAATACATTTGTATAACTTTTTCTCTTATTAATCTGCCTTTTGTCAGTTCATTTTCAGCAAGCCTTCAGGAGGTAATGGGGAAGTTTTTCCTCTTTGCTCCTACAATAGCAGCTTCTAACATGCAATGTGATGAAGCATTGGTAGGTAGAATAAAGGAGCTAAACACATTCCTGTGAGCAGCACCAGGAGAAAAGCCACTTTCTCTACTCTAATCGAACTTCTGGACATGTGTAGGAGTTTTGCATTTGGGTTTCCTAACTTAAATTGAATACAGTTACATGGTTTCTACCTTTACATTAGAAAAGTGTAAGTTTCTTGTAAAACAGATAAATCTTATAAATTAAAACTTGTTAGATTTTATCTTCTCAAACTTGGGCATGCTTATTCTTTACTCCTATGCTCATGATCTCTCCCTCTCTCTCCCCCTGTTAAACTGTTGAACACAAAGGACATAAAGTTGTTGACGTAAAGAAAGAAACTGAGGCAAAACTGATAAAGCAGACAGTTTATTTAGGCCAAATTTGAGGACTGCGACCTGGGAGACACAGATTTTTTTTTGTTTTGTTATTAGAATCTAGCACATCTTGAGAGACACAGAGTCAAGTTGCCTGGAATATATGCTCTGATTAGTATTACTTACAAGTGGGTTTTTTAAGAAAAAAAGAAAAGGTAGTTCCTAAGTTGAACATGAGCTATCGATTGACACGTTGAAATTGTACCACAAATTCAAGGAATACGAAGATAATGGGTGATAGTCACTGTGCAACTTGGGATAGCTTTCAGGTAATTTATCAGCTAGTGTAGAAACTACAGGGAAGAAAAAAAAGAACAAAATGCCTTTAAACAATTAAACCCAGTCACGGGTGTGGCGGTAGGGGAAGAATAATTGAAGACTCTTCTCATGTATCTATGGGTCTCTTAAATTTTTCATACCTCACGTTCTTCAGACTGCTCTGAGCTACTTTTTGGTCTCATTTCTTCCTTTTGCTTGTGATCTTTCTTTTTTGAAAGCATTGATGATCAACATTTCAGATGTAAGTTTTTCCCATGTCTCTGATGAGGCTCATTTTTAGGTAGTCTAGTCTTACATCAGAGGGAAAGAGGAGAGATACCATGGCTTAAAAACTTAATGAGGTCTCCAGGCAAAATTGATTGGCAACACAAAGGGACAGAACAATAGGATCTCAGGCTGTCCTCTTACAAAGGACCTGTTGCATGTTGGATTATTTCTAAGCATCTAGCTATTATTTTAGTCCTTGTTGTTGACATTAGACATCTAGATATGCAAAGCATAATCAATTTAAGGATAAAAAATATGACCCAAGGTCAATTATTAACAAAACAATTTGTATTCTAGAGCTGTAAAGTGTTCTTATTCCCAAAGATAACCAATCAAATAAATCATGTAAGAAGTCTTTCTAACATCTTGCAGCCATTTAGCCTTTCAAGTAATTTTTAACTGATTTTCCCTGTCTTGGCCTCGTCTGAAGGACAAGGTGACTGCTGGCAGGTCAGTTTCAGTTGGAGATCTCTGGTAATAGAAAATGTCCACTCAGGCAGGGCTGTCTTTTAAAAATGGGAAATGTGAATTTATGAGTCAATGCATTTGAGTTTAGCTCCACAAGGATTGGTTAATAATACCTGATAGGGTCCCTTCCAACATGGTTGGAGGAAGTACTTTATTTGGTGGAGTTTCCAAAAAACAAAATCTCCAGGTTGGAAGCCATAATCTTTGATGTTTTCATCTCCTGGGAGCTTGCTGTTAAAAATCTTTACTCGATGTAAAATTTTTTTAGTAAGAAGCTTTATAGGCCTTGACAATAATGAAGAATATCATCTTTAAGGAGAGCTGGTTTGTAGGGCTCCATCTAGGGACATGGGCCTTCCTGTTACTATTTCAAAGACAGAAAGCTGATGTTTTACAAATGGGGTAGATGTAAATTAAGCAATACTACTGGAAGAGTCTTAGGCAAGGGAAGTTTAAAAGTTTCTATAAGCTTTGCCAGTTTATCTGTATTATCTCGTGTGTGTTCTACCAGTCTGGAAGGTTGAGGGTGATATGCACAATGGAAGTGTTGAAAAAATCAGCCATATGTTGCAAATAGACTGAATTATTTGGCCAGTGAAATGGGTTCCTTGATTGTTGTGAAACTTGGAAACATTTCCCTGTATTAAATTTGTTCTCACACTGCCATAAAGAAATACACGAGACTGGATGATTTATAATGGAAAGAGGTTTCATTGACTCAACAGTTCCACACAGCTGGGGAGGCCTCAGGAAACTTACAATCATGACATTAGAGCAAGCAGGTTCCTTCTTCCCCAGGCGTCAGGAGACAAAGAAGAGTGAAGGGGGAAGAGCCCCTTATAAAACCGTCAGATCTCATGAGAACTGAATACTCACTATGACAAGAACAGCATGGGAGAATCTGCTCCCATGATCCAATCAATCACCTCCCTTCCTCGCCATGTGGGGATTACAATTTGAGACGAGATTTGGGTGGGGGCACAGAACCAAACCATAACATTCCCCAAGAAAGAGTGGAAAAAGACTTAAAATGGCCATGATTAAAAATGAAACTGACAAAGAAACTTGGTTAATTTTTGTGTGAACCAAAATTCAACATAGTAATCATAATTGTGACTGAATACATATACCAAGACATATCAGCTTTTTAGGAAATCTCATACAATCTTGGAACACACAGTCAGAACACATTCATACAAATATTAACTCAAAAAAGTTAAATGCCATTTTTTAAAGTTTAGCAAGGCTTCCCATTTTTTACATAGCAAAATAAGCCTAATGCCTAATACGTTCCTTTTGAACTTTCAGGAGTTCTTTATGGAACGTTTGAAAGTTAATTTGAGGTTAAAAAAAAAAAGACTTAATGTAAAAATCTGATAATTCCTTTTGGAAAGTTGATTCAAGTGCCAAAGGGTTAAAACACTTGCTATTAAGATAAAAAAATTTAGAAGACTTGATCAAAATACTGTGCCCGGAATTGGTGGGTTCTTGATCTCACCAACTTCAAGAATGAAGCCATGGACCCTCACAGTGAGTGTTACAGTTCTTAAAGATAGTGTGTCCACAGTTTCTTCCTTCTGATACTCAGATGTTTTTGGAGTTTTTCTTCTCTCCTGGTGAGTTCGTGGTTTCACTGGCTTCAGAAGTGAAGCTACAGACCTTTGTGGTGTTACAGTTCTTAAGGCAGTGTGTCTGAAGTTGTTCGTTCCTCCCATCCGGAGTTGTTCATTCCTCCCAGTGCGTTCGTGGTCTCACTGGCCTCAAGAGTAAAGCTGCAGACCTTCACGGTTAAGTGTTACAGCTCTTAAGAGCAGTGCGGACCCAAAGAGTGAACAGCAGCAAGATTTATTGCAAAGAACAAAACAACAAAGCTTCCTGACCCGAGCACGTTGCCGCTGCTTGACGGGGAGGCCTGCTTTTATTATCTTATCTGGCCCTACCTGCATCCTGCTGATTGGTCCATTTTACAGAGAGCTGATTGGTCTGTTTTACAGAGAGCTGATTGGTCTGTTTTGACAGGGTGCTGATTGGTGCGTTTACAATCCCTGAGCTAGACACAGAGTGCTGACTGGTGCATTTACAATCCTCTAGCTAGACATAAAAGTTCTCCAAGTCCCCACCCAACTCAGGAACCCAGCTGGCTTCATCTAGTGGATCCTGCATTGGGGCCGTGGGTGAAGCTGCCTGCCAGTCCCGTGCCACTGTGTGCCTGCACTCCTAAGCCCCTGGGCGGTCGGTGGGATAGGGTGTTGTGGAGCAGAGGATGGTGTCTGTTGGGGAGGCTCGGGCCATGCGGGAGCACACGGGGGATTCGGGGGGGAGGCTTGGGCATGGCAGGCTGCAGGTCCTGAGCCCTGCCCTGGGGGGAGTCAGCTGAGGCCCGGCGAGAATTTGAGCGTGGCACCAGCAGGCCGGCACTGCTGAGGGACCCAGTGCACCCTCTGCAGCTGCTGGCCCAGGTGCTAAGCCCCTCACTGCCTGGGGCCGGCGGCACCGGCTGACCCCTCGGAGTGTGGGGCCCACTGAGCCCACGCCCACCCGGAACTTGCGCTGGCCCAGGAGCGCGCAGCCCTGGTTCCCACCCGCACCTCTCCCTCCATACCTCCCCGCAAGCAGAGGGAGCCGGCTCCGGCCTTGGCTAGCCCACAGAGGGGTTCCCACAGTGCAGTGGTGGGCTGAAGGGCTCCTCAAGCGTGGCCAGAGTGGATGCCGAGAGCGAGCGAGGGCTGCTATCATGTTGTCACCTCTCAATAGGATCACAGATCACTGTAAAATAATAGTCATTTGTTTAGCCAAAGTGATAATTAAAAGATTTCATAAAGCAAAAACCTTTACTCTCCCCAAATTCCTATATCCATTTCATTTTATCTACCTTTTTTAATTCCTGCAATTTAAAACAACCTTTATATACCTCTAAACTAAGAAAAATTACTTTTCCTGTAACAAAACTGCACTGACATATCTTCTTTAATAACCTTCACCAAAACACATTTTATTTTCTTTATACACTATATAGAATTGTTTCTTTTATATCTAGTCCTTTTAACCACATATGTTAACTATAATATTAACTCTTAGTAACCCTAATTTCTAGTGAAAGATCTAGGAAATAATCTTGAACTGTTTTATAACAGTATTTGTAGATGAAAATCATTTCATAATGTTTTAAAAAGATGTTTCCTCAATTTTTTTGTTAATTGACAGATCTAAACATTTAGATTTTCTCATATAAATATGACAAATTATATGAACTTAAACTCATGTTAAATGTTTCAGTGTTTTAGTTAAAAGTAACAGACATTTTTATAATTATCAATTATTTGACTTCAAGATTTTAAATTACTGAAAATAATTCTGAAACTATTACATAGGTACCCTCCCTACCTAACATCTTCTTAAGTCACATGACACATAGGACAGCAGTGAAAGGCAAGATCTGTCTGGGTCATGAATTTAAACATTAGTTGTAGAGCTCAGGATGGAAGACAGAGCTGTGAGGAGGATTCCTGGGGGATCCTACTCCCTTTCATCATGGCCAGGAGGCACAGGTGCTGAAGACACACATGTGTTTATAGGTCTCACCATGGCTACTTTTCTACACCACAGAATCTAAAGACTCAAAACCAAAGACATAAGTTCCAGAAATATCAAACTATCAAAAATGTCACAGAAGCAACAATTTTATAGCCTTAAAACAACTAGCACAGACAGCACAAACCTGTTTGACCAATAGATCCAGGTAAAAACATACGAACTATATTTAATATTGACAGTTCTGAAGATGTTCAAATTTCATTTTATCAACAATTTAAAAACTAGGGTTTTCTTTTTGTTTTTGTTTTTTACAAATTTTATTTTAAAACTTTTGTTTTAGATTCAGGGACTACATATGCAAGTTCATTACATGGGTATGTTGTGTGATGCTGACACTTGGGGTATGATTGATCCCTTCATCCAGGTAGTTCGCATAGTACCCAATAGGTAGTTTTTCAATATTTACTCGCTTTCTTTCCTCCCCCTTCTGGTAGTCCCCAGTGTCTACTGTTTTCATCTTTATGCCTATGTGTTTCCAGTGTTTAGCTCCCACTTATAAATGAGAACATGTGGTATTTGGTTTTCTGTTTCTGTATTAATTTGCCTAGGATAATGGCCTCTAGCTGCATCCATGTTGTTGTAAAGGCCATGATTTTGTTCCTTTTTATGAATGTGTAGTATTCCATGATGTACATTTACTATAGTTTCATTATCCAGTCCACAGTTGATAGGCACTTAGGTTTACTCCATGTCTTTGCTATTATGAATAGTGCTGCAATGAACATAAAAGTGCATATATCTTTCAAGTGGAGTGATTTATTTCCCTTTTGGTATATATCCAATAATGGAATTACTGGGTTGAATGGTAGTTCCTTTTTTTAGCTCTTTAAGAAATGTCCAAACTGCTTTCCACGGTGGCTGAACTAATTTCATTCCCATCAATAGTTTATATGTGTTCCCTTTTCTCTTCAGGCTTGCCAGCATGTCATCTCTTGAGGTTTTAGTCATAGTCATTCTGACTGGTGTTAGATAGTGTCTCATTGTGGTTTTGATTTGGATTTCTCTGATGATTACTGATATGTAGCATTTTTTTCATTTTTTTTTTGGCCACTTGTATGTATTCTTTTGAGAAATGTCTCTTCATGTCATTTGCCCACTTTTTAATGGGATTGTTTTTTGTTGTTATTGACTTGTAAAACTACTTTTGTTTGCCGAAAATTACAAAACTCACATGAATTTGAAAAGCATTTGAACTTATTTACTCAATTTATGAGCACTTATTTATTTATTAAGTTAATGTAATACTATGTAGGCAGTATACAAACACACATGTACACACATGTGCACATAAAATACAGGCAAACATAAAGACTTTATAGCTGCTGGGCATGGTGGCTCACGCCTGTAATCCTAGCACTTTGGGAGGCCGAGGCAGGAGGACTGCCTGAGCTCAGGAGTCTGAGACCAGCCTGGGCAACGCAGTGAAACCCCATCTCTACTAAAATACAAAAAAAGAATTAGCTGGGCATGGTGGCATGTGCCTCTAGTCCCAGCTGTTAGGGAGGTTGAGGCAGGAGAATTCCTGAACCCAGGAGGTGGAGGTTGCAGTGAGCTGAGATCGCGCCACTGCACTCTAGCCTGGGTGACAGAGCGAGACTCTGTCTCTTAAAAAAAAAAAAAAAGACTTTATAGCTTTGATTTTAAAATTTTAGCCACGAGTCAGGTAAAACTCACTAGTTAGATTAAACTCTGTCTCTGTAAATGGAATAGATTACAGTTTATCTGTTGCATGAGCGCAAAGCACTTGCCAAGTTTTAGAGAAAACAGGATACAAACTTACATCTCGAATTTGGCACAGAGAAAAAATGTAGGCATTTTTAAGGAGTTTAGGTGTTTTGGAGGAAGATGATAATTGGATGCCATCACTTTATTATTTTGAGGTATGTTTCTTCTATGCCTCGTTTTTTTGAGAGTTTTTATTAATAAACGATGTTGAATTTGATCAAATACTCTTTTGTGCACATATTGAGATGATATGTTTTTTGTCCTTCATTCTCTAGATGTGATGTCTCATGTTTATTGACTTGTATATGTTGAACTATCCTTGCATCCTTGGGATTAATCCCACTTGATCACAGTGTATTATCTTTTGATGTGCTGTTGGATTTAGTTAGTCTCTTGTTGAGAATTTTTGTGTCTTTTCATCTGGGATATTTGTCTGTAGTTTTTTTTTTTTTTTTTTTTTTTTTTTTTTTTTTTTTTTTTTTTTTTTTGAGAGGGAATCTTTCTTGCCCAGTTGCCAGGCTGGAGTGCAGTGGCACAAACTCGGCTCACTGCAACCTCCACTTCCCAGGTTCAAGCAATTCTCCCTCCTCAGCCTCCCAAGTAGCTGAGATTACAGGCACCTGCCACCACACCCAGCTAACTTTTGTATTTTTAGTAGAGGTAGAGTTTCACCATGTTGGCTTAGGTGCTCTCGGACTCCTGACCTGAAGTGATATGCCCACCTCAGCCTCCCAAAGTGTGGATTACAGGCATGAGCCACTGTGTCTGGCTAGTTTTCTTTTTTTATTGCATACTTGTCTGGTTTTGGTATCAGGGTAATGTTGCTTTATAAAATAAGTTAGGAAGTATTTCCTCTTTTTCCATTTTTCGGATAGTTTGAAGAGAATTGGTGTTAGTTTTTCTTTGAAAGTTTGGTGGAGTTCAGCAGTGAGGCCATTTAGTCCTGGGCTTTTGTTTAAGTAAGTTGTTGTTAAGAGACTTTTTATTGATTCAGTCTCATTACTTGTTAGTCTGTTCAGGTTTTCTATTTCTTCTTGATTAAATCTTATTGGGTTTTATGTGTCCAGGATTTATTCATTTCTTCTAGATTTTTCAGTTTGTTAGTTTATAGTTCATAATAATCTCTGATCATCTTTTGTATTTCTGTGGTATGAATTGTAATGTCTCCATTTTCATTTGTAATTTTGCTTGTTTTTTTTTCCTTTTTTTTCTTGGTTAGCCTAGCAAGTACTTTTTCAATTTTGTTTATCTTTTCCAAAAAATCAACTTTTTGCTTTGCTGTTCCTTTATATTATCTTTTAGTCTCTTTCATTTAGTTTTGTTCTGATCTTTATTATTTCTTTTCTTCTGCTAATTTTGAGTTTGGCTTATTCTTATTTTTCTAGTTCCTTGACATGCATTGTTAGAGTGTTTAAGGTTTTCTACTTATTTGATGTAGGTTTTTATTGCTATAAATGTTCCTCTTTGCACTGTTTTTGCTGTGTAGGTTTTGGTTTTGGTAACTGTGCTTCAATTTTCATTTGTTTCAATAATTTTTTTTGATTTCCTCCTTAATTTCTTCCTTGATGCAATGCTCATGCAGGAGCAAATTGTTTAATTTCTGTGTATTTGTACAGTTTCCAAAGTCCCTCTTGTTATCAATTTCTAGTTTTATGCCATTGTGGTCTGAGAAGATACCTGATATAATTTTAATGTTTAAAATTTGTTAAGACTTATTTTGTGTCCTAACATACTATCTGTCCTAGAGAATGTTTCATAAACTGATGAGAAGAATGTGTATTCTGTAGCTGTTATATGAAATGTTCTGTAAATGTCTGTTAGGTTCATTTGTTCTACTATGCAATTAAATCCAGTGTTTCTTTGTGGATTTTCTATCTAGATCATCTGTCTAATGCTGAGGGTAGGGTTTATAAAGTCCCTAGCTATTATAATATTGGAGTCTATGTCTCCCTTTAGGTCTTTTAATAATTGCTTTATGTATCTGTGTGCTTTGGTGTTGGGTGCATATATATTTAGAATTGGGTGCGTAGGTGTTACATCTTCTTGCTGAATTAATCCCTTTATCATTAGATAATGACTTTCTTTATCTCTTTTTTTTTTTTTTTGAGATGGAGTCTTGCTCTGTCGCCCAGACTGGAGTGCAGTGGCACGATCTCGGCTCACTGCAAGCTCCACCTCTGGGGTTCAGGCCATTCTCCTGCCTCAGCCTCCTGAGTAGTTGGGACTACAGACACCCGCCACCACGCCCGGCTAATTTTTTGTATTATTAGTAGAGACAGGGTTTCACTGTGTTAGCCAGGATGGTCTCGATCTCCTGACCTCGTGATCCGCCCACCTTGGCCTCCCAAAGTGCTGGGATTATAGGCATGAGCCACCACGCCTGACCCTTTCTTTGTCTCTTTTTACCATTTTGATGTAAAGTCTTTTTCTTCTTGCTGTCTGTATAATTCAAAATAGCCTGTTTTATCTGATACAAGAATAGCTACTCTTGCTCACTTTTGCTTTTTGTTTGCATAAAATATTTGTTTTTCCATCCCTTTACTTTTAGTCAGTATGACTTCACAGGTGAAGTGAGTTTCTTGTAGGCAGCGTGTAATTGGGTCACTTTTTAAAAAATCCATTCAGCCAATGTTTATCTTTTTTTATTCTTTTGAGATGAGTTTCACTCTTGTTGCCCAGGCGGGAGTGCAATGGCATGATCTTGGTTCATTGCAACCTCTGCCTCCCAGGTTCAAGTGATTCTCCTACCTCAGCACCCTGAGTAGCTGGGATTACAGGTGCCTGCCACAATGCCTGGCTAGTTTTTTGTATTTTTAGTAGAGAGAGGGTTTCACCATGTTGGCCAGGCTAGTCTCGAACTCCTGACTTTGGGTGATCCACTCACCTTGGCCTCCCAAAGTGCTGGGATGACAGGTATGAGCCACCATGCCCGACCCAGTCAATATCTTTTAAGTGAAGCATTTAATGTATTTACATTCAAGGTTACTGTTGATACATGAGGTTTTGAGCTTGTCATATTGTTCCTTGTTTTTTCATAGCTTTTAAAAAATCTATTTTTTATTTTTTGAGATAGAATCTTGCTCTGTCACCCAGGCTGGAGTGTAGTGGCACAGTCTTGGCTCACTGCAACCTCTACCTCCCAGGCTCAAGCAATCCTCCTGTATCAGCCTCTTGAGTAGCTGGGACCACATGCACCACCATGCGTGGCTAGTTTTATGTATTTTTGATAGAGACAGGGTTTCACCATGTTGCTCAGGCTGGCCTTGAACTTGTGAGCTCAAGTGATCCATCCACCACCTCGGCCTTCCAAAGTGCTGGGATTGCAGGCATGAGCCACTGTGCCCAGCTGCTTTCTAGTTGTTTTATAAATTCTTTGTTTCTTTATATTTCTCTTACTGTTTGTCACTGTGGTTTGGTGGAATTCTGTAGTGGTACCATTTGATTCATTTCTCTTCCTCCTTAGTGTGATTGCTTTACCAGTGAGTTTTTTTTCTTTTATGTGTTTTCATGATGGTAGATATTATTCTTTTGATTCCAGATGTAGGACTTCTTTAAGCATTTCTTGTAGGGCCTGTCTAGTGGTAATGAATTCCCTGTTTTTGCTTGTGTGGGAAGTGTTTTTTTTTTTATTTTTCTTTCACTTATGAAGCATAATTTTTTGGGGTTATACTGTCCTTGGCTTGCAGTTTTGTTTCTTTCAATACTTTGAACATATCCCGTTTTCTCCTGGCCTGTTTAAGGTTTCTGCTGAGAACTTGCTGTTAATTAAAGAGGGTTCTTTTATAAGTGACTAGATGTTTTTCTTTTGCTGTTTATAAAATTCTCTTTTGTCTTTAACTTTTGGCATTTTGACTGTTGTGTGCCATGGAGAAGAACTTTTTTGAACTGTGTCTATTTGAGGGTCTCTGAGATTGCTGTATCTGAGTGTCTAAATCTTTTGGTAGATTCAAGAATTTTTCATCTACTATTCTTTAAATATGTTTCCTAATCCTTTTGCTTTCTCTTCACCTTCTAAAACCCCAAATGTTTGAGTATTTGGTCACTATATGGTGTCTTATATACCACATAGGCTTTGCTCATTTTTTTCCCTTCTTTTAAAAAGTTTTCGTCTGACTGGGTTATTTCAAAAGAATTAGGTCTTCAAGTTACGAGATTTTTTTTTTCTGCTTGATCTAAGCTATTGTTGAAGCTTTTGAATGTATTTTGTATCTTATTCAGTGAATTCTTTAGTTCCAGAATTTCGGTTTGGTTCTTTTCCTTGATATCTGTCTGTTTGGTGAATTTTTCATTTGTATCCTGAAGTGTTTTTCTGATTTCTTTGTATTATTTATCTGTGTTCTCTTGTATCTCACTGAGCTTCTTTATTATCAATATTTTGAATCCTATTTCTGGGATTCTATGATTTTTTAATGGAATATGTTGCTAGAAAATTATTGTGTTCCTCTGGAGATGTTATATTTCCTCGCTTTTTTAGTGTTTCTTGTGTCTTTATTTCTGTCCATTGGGTGTAACAGTTGCTTCTTTTAATTTTTTTGAATTTGCTTTTGGAGAAGAGGACTTTTTTCTAAAGATGTATCTATGGTATTGGTTGAGCACTTTGGCTTTGATTCTGGGTGTGTGCAGTAGTCTAGCCTCTATGATTTCTTTAACTGTAAACAGAATCAGTGGCATCTGTGATTTCCTCAGTGGCTTAGGGTGTGGTTTTTAGTACAGGTTGTGGTGACATTTTACTGGGGCCTGGGATGACAGATGGGCCAGTCTTTGGATGCCAGTAAGTAGCAGTGTTAGGCCGAGTGTGCCTGTCCTTGGGCCCCAGGGCTGTGTGTGCTGGCACACCAGAGTTAGCGGGTCCTGGGAGGCCAATTCTTGGTTCTCTAGATGGCTTGTTTGGGTGCTAGGAATAGCAGCAGTGGACCAGGGGAATAGGTGGATTCTCAAGCCCCTGGGCAGCAGGTGTGCTGTGGGTGATGGCAGTAGCAGTGGTGGGACAACCTTCTGGGTCCCAAGTGTTCCATGTTGGCATTGGTGGTAGTTGCGATGGGTTGTGTGGACCAGTCCCCAGGCCAATAACTGGTACGTGTGAGTGAGTGTCAGCCATGGTAGTAGTGGCAGGTTGGGTGTTTCTGACCTCAGGCCCACAGGGGATGTCCTCATGTGCCAGTGGTGATGGACTAGTCTGCATGATCTCCAGGCCTCAGTCAGTGTATGTGGGTAATAAGTGGACTAGGAGGACCTATCATCAGGCACCCTGGAGGTGCATGCAGGCACTGGCTGTGGTATGGTTATCCTTAGGCCACTAGCAGAATGCTTAGATTGTGGCTGCAGTGGCTGTACTGTGGCCCTGCTCCTGAGGCGGGTGGGGCTGTTTTCAGTGGGAGCAGCCATTGGCAGGCAGCTGGGGGTATATGCTTCACTTGCATTTTGGTCCTGGGGGCAACAGTATAGCCTGTAGCAACAGGGCTGAAGGCAGTGAGGTTTGTCCTCAGGGGTGGGGGTGGGCTTGTTGCCAGTGGCTCTGGATTCAGCCCTGGCAGCAGCAGCAGTCAGGAGCAGTGGCAGCTGCAGGAGGGAGGTATCCCTTCATTGCAGCTGCCTGTCTGCTGGGTGGAGAAAGTTGCTGCTTGTGGCTTGTGCTACCTCCTCAGTGGTGGCAGCAGCCAGCAGCAGCAGCCAGCACTGGTGGTGGCTGTGTGTGGGTTAGCTTTTCATCACAGCTGCTTCTCTGTGGAGTGGACAAGGTTACTGCCTTCAACTCTGCCTTGGCCCTGGTGGCAGCTGCCAGCAGGGAGGCAGCTGTGGGCAGGGAATGTCAATGGAGCTGTAGATGCAGGGGCTGTTGGGCCCCCAGGGAAGGATGCAGTCTGGTGGGGGCTGTGCTTTCAAAATGGGATTGTGCTGTAGCTGATTAACACTCTGGGGTTTGTGGACTCAGTGTGAGCTTCTTCTCCTGAGCAATACTATTGTATAGTCTCCTGGAAGCTCCCTATGTTAGCTTCAGGACCTGTAAAGGTCAAGGTGAAACCAACTGCGTTTGCAAAATTGTGACTGAGACAGTGAAGGAGATCTAACTTAACCAACTCCATCTTGCTTCTAACCTTTGAGCTGTTCTTGTTCCTTCCTGGACGTAGGATAAACTAACTTTGGAAGGAAATTAGTTTATAGTTTTACAGTTTAAAACAAAGATGATATGCCTATAATCCCAGCCCTTTTGGAGGCCAAGGTGAGGGGATCACTTGAGGTCAGGAATTCCAGACCAGCCTGGCCAACATGGTGAAACCCTGTCTCTACGAAAAATACTAAGAATTAGCTGGGCGTGGTGGTGCATGCCCGTAATCCCAGCTACTCAGGAGGGTGAGG
This sequence comes from Homo sapiens, assembly GCF_000001405.40. NCBI lineage: Eukaryota > Metazoa > Chordata > Mammalia > Primates > Hominidae > Homo > Homo sapiens. The sequence continues at coordinate 152,814,281 of NC_000002.12, forward strand.
CAGGAGAATCTCTTGAACCCGGGAGGTGGAGGTTGCAGTGAGCAGATTGTGCCATTGCACTCCAGCCTAGGGGAGAGTGAGACTCTCAAAACAAAACCAATGACAAGAAAACAAAACTAAAGATGATAACAGCTCTTTCCCAAAACAAACCTCCTTGCCTGGGGACTAGACTGCTTTTGTAGGACTAACAAATTAGCCACAAGATTAGAAATTATGATTTAGGAATCATGCAGCTGGAGGCAACAAGATTCTGACCCTCTCTAAACTACTCCTAAGATCAGTGCTTGAGATATTTTGCAGACCTCGCACAGATCAGCTGGCACCACCCAGATTGATAAACTGGCTCATTTGATCTTGTAGCCGCCACCCAGGAACTGACTCAGTGCAAGAGGACGGCTTTAGTTCCCTATGATTTCATCTTCTACCTGACCAGTCAGCACTCCTGGCTCACTGTCTTTCCCCCACCCACCAAGTTGTCCATAAAAACTCTGATCCCTGAATGCTTGGGGAGACTGGTTTGGGTAATAATAAAACTCCAGTCTCCTGCACATCTGGCTCTGCATGTATTACCCTTTCTCTATCGCAATTCCCCTGTCTTGATAAATGCTCTGTGTAGGCGGGGGGCAAGGTTAACTCATTGGGTGGTTATAAAGGGGCTCTCTTGTGGCTAGGACTGCAGGATGTTGTGGTGGAAATGTGGACTGGGGATATCTCATCTAACTTTTTCCCACACTAAGGATTCTCTCCAGGCTCCTAGCTGATTCCAGCCAAGCAGCTAGCCTTGTTTCCTTCTCCTTCCTTGCATTATGTATGTCCTGTCACTTCTACGTTTAATTCCAGTATTTTCTCTTAGATGATCTATTTGAAGTGTGGTTATCTACTAACTAATTTGTTTTCTTTTTTGGGGGAAGAGGTGAGTACCAGATGTATCTAGTCAGTCATCTTGAAGCACCTCTGGAATTTGATTTTTAAGTCCTGTAAACTATTCTATTGGAATTACATCTAACATATTGATTAACTGGGCAAGAATTGACCACTTTATACTATTAAATTTTAATATTCAGGAACATGATGTATCTTTTTAAAAATTTAGGTCTACTTTTCTGCCCTTCATTAAAGTTTTATAGTTTGCTTTATGTAGGTCTTACATATTTATTTTAGTTTACTCGCAGGCATTTAGGAGTTCATTATCATTATGATGAATGGAATAAATGTTTCTATTACATTTTCTGATTAGAGATTGTTGATAAATAAACTTTTTTTGTGTGTGTTAAGCTTGTATCACCTGGCTTACTTTTCACCTTGGTTTTTAATAGCCTTTCATTTGATTCTTTTGGAGATTCTAGGAGAAAATTGTAGAATTTACAAATACCAACAGTTTTCTGTATAGCCAGAGTCTTACTGGCGAAATTAGAAACTACTTTGAGTATTTACCACAAAGGGAACTTAAAACAGGAAAGTGGTTAAAGAGGTGAAAAGGCCCTTGAAAAACCACACCAGTAACAAATAGATAACCCAGGGGTTAATAATAGCAGACTGAATAGCAGCTTCTAGACTGAAGCAGTAAAGGAAGGAGGCAGTGTTAGTGGAGCCAAAAGCCAGGCACACAAAAGAAGCCAGAAGCATGGTAGACCTGTCCTTTGGGAGAAAGCAGGAGTCATAAAGGAGACTTAGCTTCTGCCACAGAAGGTGTCAGAGGCAAAAAGGAAGTGGGAGAAATACCCTAGATTCTTCCTTCTGCCTCTCTGAATCCTCCACCGGTGCTTTCTACCTGTATGAGTCAGTGATGCCAACTGAAAAGAAAGCATGGTAAATGCGGTCTGTAGGAGCTGGCCAACTCACAATAGAGAGCAAAGGATGGGTGGTTCAGGAATGGATCTGAGGGCAGGTAGACCTAGAATTGGCCCACTTTTTAATATTTAATCCTCTTAATTATTTTTCTCATTTTATTGCATTGGTGAGGACAATATTGTAGTGTGCTGGAGATAGGAAGTCTGTGCTTGTTCATGACTTTAGTAATAATATTTCTAATGTTTCAGTCTTAAATAGGATGTTTGCTATTGCTTGTAATTACTTTTTATCAGATTTTTAAAAATAAAATAATTTTTAGCACTTAGATGCTTTTATACACGCGCGCGCGCGCGCTATATTAATGTAGCGAATTATACTAATAGATTTGTTAATGCTGAATCAGCCTTCCATTGTTGGGAAAAACCTTACTTTATCAGGATATATCTTTTTTTTTTTTTTTTTTTTTTTTTTTTTTATGAGACAGGGCCTTGCTCTACTGCCTAGGCTGGAGTGCAGTGGCATCATCTTGGCTCACTGCAATCTCTGCCTCCTGGGCTCAAGCAGTCCTCCTACCTCACCCCTCAATCCCCAGCCCTGTCAGATAAGTCACTGCATTTCCTCTATTCTCCTACCACTTTTACTTAACAGAATATTCACCCTATGTCTGGTCCCTTCCTGGAATCCCTCCCATCTCTACCCCCATTTCATATGCTGCAGCCACTGGGACCCCAGAATAATTCCCCCCGGTAAACCATATTAGGAAGAAAGAAGTAAGAACAAGGTACTTTGTTCCAGACGTTGTGCTAAGGTGTTTTACATACATTAAATAAAGCCAATTGCCCCCAACAATGGTTCTCAAACTTTAAAGAAGAATCATGTGACTTCATATTTTTAATTTGATTTTTAGTACATAATTTTGAGATCTGCTGATTTAGCTACAAGAGCTCAGCTCCTTTTATTAGGTAAACTCAAATTGAAATATATCTTTTCTGCTTATTACCTAGGTGGCATTGACAAGTGTATTATACATTTTAACATTAGTTTCTTTATCAGAAAATGAGTATATTAATAACTATATTGAGAATAAAGGAGATTAAATGTGCACATTGAGGGCTTATCACAATGCCTGAAACAGTGTCCGTAACCAATCAACAATCAGTTGCCACTACTCAAGTTAGAAGACCTAGATACTTCCCCTAAATAGGGTGTTACTTTGGACAACTTACATTACTTCTTTGTGTTAATATTTAATCAACTGCAAATGCATTTGTTTGGCTTTTTAAAAATAATTTTGAAATATGCTTTTACATCTCTTCCGACAACTTTGTATGGTAAATACTGTTCGTTGTTTAGAGGAGCAACTTGGCTTGAGTGCCTTACCTAAAGTCACAGAGTTAATCAGTGGTAGATGAAGGCTTTGAACTCAAGTTTTCTGATGTTAGGTCCTGATTCTTTTGTGTAAATATCACAATGGTCCTCAAATGAAAGAGTTAAACACATGATCTGTGTAATTCTTTCTGTCACTAAGAAGTCTGTTATCAAATGTACCAATCTTAGGGATAGTGCTAAAGGAATTGGGTGTTAGACTGCCATCACTCCCTGAGATAAGACAAAGAGTAGACAACAAAGCCTCATTTATACCACATCCTTGGTTAGGATACCTCCAGCCTAAATGAGAGAGCTGGGGGACTCAATCACAATGGTGAGGCCAAGAGTGGATTCAAATCTGCTTTCTGGAAAGTATTTTTGAGAGATACAAAGTCTCCATTCCTCTATGGCCATTCCCCCTGGATAGGCACCAAAATCTGGGGATGAAATGAACATGCAATCTACTGAGTTGGAAAGTCTGCTTAAATTTTGGAGGCTATAGGTCTATGCAAGTCAAGTTGGGTTTTTCCGATTTTCTCAGATCCTTCTGCACCCAAGTTTTGTTTTCCAGTCTTCTTGGATGGCACAGAAGAAGCTGGTAGTACCATTAACCTTTTGCCCTGCCCTGGTACCCCAACTCAATGTAAGAGGAGGATGGGGAGGGGAGGTAGAGGGCATGTCCTTTTAGGGGGTTCACAAAGGGTCATTTTACTTTTTCTTTCTTCTTATGGAGCAGCCATCTTTCTTCTCCAAAGCCAAGAGATGGAATCTCCTGGAAAGTTCTTCATAATAGTCTGGGATAGCCTCCAAGCAGGGCGATCTGAATTTTGTTATCTACAAGATACTTGATGAGCAGCAGAACCTACAGGCATAACTTGAATGTCTTCAGAGTTGTAAGAGGAGAGAATTTCTGGAGAATGTACTGTGAACCTAGATGTTCCCTTTTATTATGAGGTGATTACACAGTTTTCACCCAAACTTAGATTGTTTGAGAGTAAAAGGGGACACTATAATTTTCTCTGGATAATAAGTGCAAAATAGGACTCTCCAAGGATAACCAGGTTGTCTGATTACTCGATCTCAAATTTAGTTTAATATACTTTATCACAGAGCGTGTGATATATGCATGTTAATTTTAATCTACAAACTCTATAAGTGGTTAGTTAATATTTGAAGTACCCTAATTGAGAATGCATGCTTTCAAAGGAGTTAACATTTGAATGACTAATCAGAAGCCCACTCTTCTAAGGTGACATTGGCTTCAGTTATCTTTGTTAATTAGCATCACAAAAATATAAGAAATTTTTCATTAGTGAAGTCAGTGTTATTCAAATGCATGCATAGGCCAGAAATATTGTACAGGCATTTCCCCTCTTACATTAACAGTGTATATAAGTATTTAGGGAACTCAAGCGCCTATGCTATTTGGAATAGACTTCTAGGCTTAGGATTCCAAGGAAATTGTGAGACTGTTTTCAGTTTCCCAATGGAATATTTTTTTTCCTGATTCTGACCAGAAGGATAACTGAACATCATTGTGTCTGATTCAAGAGATCCTTTCAAGCACGGATGAGCATAGAGCTAGAATTTTATTAAGCCTACAGGTTGTAAGACTGTTTTAAGCCTGCGAGTTGTAAGACTGCCTGCCTTCTACAATACTTGCTAGTAGGGGAGGCAAATTTATCATAGTACGCTACATGATTGCAAGGATGAGGGGAAGGAGCTATATAGTCCTTACCTACCTCTAACTTCAGAGGGCTATAGATATCTTCCAAAAAGTTCTGAATTGGCTTAGACTAGTATATGAAACATCATTTTCAGGCCATTCCCTACCATGGAGAAGAAGGGATGCTTGATGTTTGTCCTCTATGATTTGAGGGTATGTTTGAACTTAAAGACAGGTGTCCAGCTGGGTCCTGGAGATTTCTGAAAAAGGGAGGCCAGTGGAGTAACAAATGCTTCCAAAGCCTGAAAAAAAAACATGCTATAGTGTCTCAGAAGTGGGGGCAGAGGACGAATTGCTAAGACATCCATTTTCCAAGGTCTTTGGAGGGTAAGGAAAAGGATTCCACATGAAGGAATCCAAAAATTACAGGAGGTGAAGGAGTTCCAGGCTGTATGCTAGAGAAGGGGTGGACATTTTATCACTAGAAGGTCCAAGAGAGGCCTTATTTTGGACACAGCTGCCATTTCTTTTTTCTTTTTCTTTTTTTTTTTTTAACGATGGAGTCTCACTTTGTCACCCAGGCTGGAGTGCAATGGCACGATCTTGGCTCACTGCAACCTCCGCCTCCTGGGTTCAAGCTATTCTCTTGCCTCAGCTCCTGAGTAGCTGGGATTACAGGCACCTGCCACCATGTCCAGCTAATTGTCTGTATTTTTAGTAGAGATGGGGTTTCACCAAGTTGGTCAGGCTGGTCTTGAACCTGACCTCAAGTGATCCACCAACCTTGGCCTCCCAAAGTGCTGGAATTACAGGCATGAGCCACTGCACCTGGCCCATTCAGCTGTCATTTCAAAAGGGGCCTCCATGGTGGAGGGGGCCAGAGTGAAGTTTTATGCCATTCCAATAAAACCATGTACAATGTTTGTTCGGTAGCAACTATATCATCCAAGGCTATCAAGACTACCTGGCAGAACCAGAGCAGGGTAGGGAACTCCTTCTAATTGTCTTCATATGCTCTGGTTATTATAACAAAATATCATAAACTGGATGGCTTGAAAAGCAGACACTTATTTTCTCACAGTTCTGGAGGCTGACAGTCTGAGATCAGGGTGCCAATGTGGTCAGGGGATGTGTGACCTCTTTCGGCTTTGTAGAGCCTACTCTCTCTCTGTGTGCTCACATAGGCTTCCTTGGTGTGCATATATATATATATACATATATATATATATAGCTCTGGTGCCTCTTCCTCTTCCTGTAGGCACACTAATCCCATCATGGGGCTCTACCCTCATGACCTCATTGAAACCTAATTACTTCCCAAAGGCCCCATCTCCAAATACCATTACAGTGGGAGTTAGGGCTTCAACATATGAATTTTGGAAGGGACAGAAACATTCAGTCCATAACACTAATACTTAAAGGAGTCTCCTCATGACCTCTGCCTTCCCATCTGTCCTCCTGTCCTCATACTCTGGATTACAGGTCCTAGAAGAGGAAAGGGAACATATGTATCAGAGCCTATTTCTTCCCTCCCACTCCAAGCTCTCAGAAACAGAAACAAATGTTCCACCAAAGATTTTACAGGCCGGCCAGTGGTTTCATGACATATCAAAAGAAGAAAGTTTTTTTTTTCTTTGAACTCTTCCCTCATTTGTCCTAGAAAACTCTCCCTTTATGTGTGGTTTAAACTAAAAGCTTCAATTAAACTACTACCACCCATTGGGGGAAATCTGTGGCCATGCTCTTTTGATTGTTACCATAGAGGGAGGGTACTGCTGGTTATCATGAGCTGGAGCCAGAGAAGCTAATGTCCTGCAATGTGCAGCAAAGTCCCACATAGCAAGAATTGTGCCACGTTCTCCATGTTTCTTGAATATCCTGCTGGATATTCATGTAAGTGAGAAATTCTGTTTGTAATTATTCTGGGCCTAAAACATACTTACTTATGTGTCTCTGTGTGTTTGGCATGGTTTTAATATACTAGATTTTCCAGGAATTCAGCTGCTATGCAAATTAAGAAGGTGGTGGCTTATTTTGTCTGAAAATTTTCTGAGAATGTTTGTTATATCAGAAAATGGTATCAGAAGTGGCCATACCACTTAATGGTATTTGAGGGGCCAATGAAACCTACCAACATCCATCTGCATTTGTAGCTATTACAATCATGGTGACTCCATTGTAGATATAAGTGTCTGACTACCTCATTATGGGCCATATGGCTGAGCAGTTATACATTCAAATGCCTATTATATGATTGTACATAGCTTTTCTTTTAGTTCTCCTCTATATTTAGGGTTGACAAGGTTCGCAAATAACAAGACAGGAAATCCAGTTAAATTTGCATTTCAGGGCCGGGTGTGATGGCTCACACCTGTAATCCCAGCACTTTGGGAGGCCAAGGTGGGAGGATCACTTGAGGTCAGGAGTTCATGGTTCGTGACCAGCCTGACTAACACGGTGAAACCCCGTCTCTACTAAAAATACAAAAATTAGCTGGGTGTGGTGGCATGCACCTGTAATCCCAGCTACTTGGGAGGCTGAGGCAGGAGAATTGCTTGAACCCGGGAGGCTGACGTTGCAGTGAGCCAAGATCATACCACTGCACTCCAGGCTGGGTGACAGAGCAAGACTGTGTCTCAAAAAAAAAAAAAAAAAAAAAATCAATAAATTTTTAGTGTAAATATGTCCTAAACAATGTCCTTCTATTTTATCTGGCAATTCTATTTATAGTACATTTAGGGAATTTTATTGAATTGTTTGAAATATGTGGGGATAGAAAATATCCAATAATTTAATTTCTTGATGTTAAAGGAGTATTAGTTAATAATTATCCTAAGAAGAAGTTGATGGGGCTAGATAGAATTTAAAACCACTGGTTTAGTGGAAAACAGACGTAGCAAAGGAGGAACTACCTACTGCCTACAAGCATGCTCCTTGGACAGAGGGTCTCACACTTCCCACTCTCATTCCTACTCACACAAATGGTTAAACAAATATTCTCCCAATTAAAAAAAATCTTCTTTGGGAAGAATTACACTGCTAACGAAGAGAATTTCTTTATTTTGTTACAAGTAAATCCAGATTTAATCAAAGTACAGGTTCCCTGGAGACAAAGGGGTGTCTTAGTACATTTGGGTTGCTGTAACAAAGTACTGTAAACCGACTGGTTAAAAGCAACAGAAGTTTATTTCTCATCATTCTTGACCTCACAACTCTGGACACTGGAGAGACCAAGATCAGGGCTCTGGCAGATTTCGTGCCTGGTAAGGGCCTGTTTTTTTCCGGTTCATAGATGGTGTCTTCTTGCTGCGTCCTCACATGGTGGAAGGGATGAGATTAATTTCTGCAACTTTAATATTTGATTAAAAAATTGCTACCAAAAGGAGTAAATAATATTTTAAGGTAATACTCCCTACTGAGAACAATCAGACATTGAATTATGGCTTTTTGATTAGAGTCAGGGAAAATCTGATGAACACAAGTATCAGAATGCCTCCAGCTAAACTTTACAAGGTTCAGGAAGAATCACTCAGTAATTTACAAAGGGCAGAGATATTTTATGGTTCAGAAAACTGCAAAATAAATTACAAATAAAAATCAAATAAAAGTCATTCAGAGAAGGAAAGGCTTACGTGGTTTATTCCAATGTAATTGTAGTTACTAGAGCCAGGAAGCACTATAGTCAAAACACATAATTCCCCTGCTTAGGGACCTTCCATTGAACTCCGAGTAAAGTTCAAAATTGTCTACAGAGCCTTGCAAGACCTACTTCCTGCTTCTTTCTTCAGCCTTATCTCATATGTCTGCTCCAGCCCCACTAGACTCTGTTCTCCGGTATTTTTCCTTAGGCTCCTGCCTTAAGGTCTTTGAACGTGCTGTTCCCTCTGTCTGAGACCTCCAGACCTTCAGCCTTTGCCTGCTAACCGGTTGCTTAGATCTCAGTCTTAATGTCTTTCTCAGGGAAGACTTCCTACCTCCCCAGACTAGGTTTCAGGGCCCTCGTCATATGCTTTCACAACACCCTGTTTAGCCTATTTGAAATTATTTGATTTAATGGATGTAATTATTTATATGAATTGGCTTAGATCAATGTGCAACACTTGTCATTTTCAACCTCCTTCATACTATGGAGAAGAGAGGGATTCTTGACATTGGTCTCCTTTGATTTGAGGATATGTTTAAACTCCAAACCCTTGAATATCTGTCTTGCCCGTTAGACTACAGTCTTTGCTAGGTCTTGGATCCTATCTATCTTCTTTTCCATTGTCTGTTGACTGACAAAATAGGTGCTTAATATATGATTTTCAACAAATGTAATGATGTTGATAACAATGTCATCTTTAGGATTAGATAATGATACACATTCCTTATATACTTTAGAAATGTAAGTATCATGTTTCTCTAGTTTGCTTGGCATTATACTGGCAATCTCAGATATATATGGTTATATTAGGCATATATTCATTTACTTAATACATGTTAATTGAGTTCTTATGTGCAGGGCACAATGCTAGGCACTGGGGATAGTGAACAAGAACAATGAACAAGTCAGGCATGATCCCTGCTCTACAGGAAATTGGAGCAGAAAGTAAAAATAAATTTACACCTTTTGTTATTGAATTGTAATGCTGATGAGAACAGTGAGGTAAGGATTAAGGTGCTAAGTGACTGTGACCCTCTTACTTGTTTGCTTTCAGAAAACTGCAGTCTGATGTATGCTACCTGTGCCAGTTAGATGAATTTAAAGATTATAGCTTCTGGTTTTAACTAAGCAAATCACCACAAAATTGGTATGAATAAAGGGTTAGCAAACTCTTTCTCCTTCTGCATAAAAACTTGACTTTTTGTTAGCTTTCAAGCTCTTTCTTCAGAGTGCCTAGAAAGGTAATGTGTCAAATATGTTGCTAGGCAACATTGCTTACTGTGAAAATGACTGAGTAAAAGGCTACAACTGGACTCAAAGAACTATACGTTCTTAGCTTTTGGTTGAGTGTGGTAACTCTTAGAGCTGAGTATGTCTCCGTGGGAACCTGGAAGCTATGCCTACAGAGTTGTTATATGAGATGTTGGCTACCAGGGCAGATTCTGAAATAAGCCACTGTGGAGGATGTCATATTCTTGAACCTGAGCTATCACACAGGGAGGACAGAGGCCATCCCCGCAACTGAAGCAAGGACTCCAGGAGAGCAAAGCCTAGCTCTGTCCTCTGGCAGGCTGTGACTCCTAGCCTATGTCTATCTGAATAAATCTGAAGCCAAGTGTGGCCTGAGATAGTCCAAGAGTCTGAATATTTCATAGAACCTTAAGATCCTCTGGTAGGCATCATAATGGCTTCCAAAAGATTCCTGCAAAAAACTTGCCAGTTAGAAATAATACTAATAATACAAACACAAGGAGACAAGAAGAAAATGTCAGAGTCAACACCTCTTTGACTCCTAGTACAGGCTCTTCATCGGGCACATTGCAAGGTAAAAACAGTGACAATCTAATCAGATCTAATAAGCAGTCGGCCAAAAAGATTACAATGATCAAGAAGGGTCTTTGAAATATGACTTTATATCCACTATCATTAAAAATACATGTTTTTGGCTAGGCATAGTGGTTCACGCCTGTAATCCCAGCACTTTGGGAGGCCGAGGTGGGCAGATCACAAGGTCAGGAGATCGAGACCATCCTGGCTAACATGGTGAAACCTTGTCTCTACTAAAAATACAAAAGAATTAGCTGGGTGTGGTGGCAGGCGCCTGTAGTCCCAGCTACTCAGGAGGCTGAGGTAGGAGAATGGCATGAGCCCGGGAGGCGGAGCTTGCAGTGAGCCGAGATCATGCCACTCCATTCCAGCTTGGGCAACAGAGCAAGACTCCGTCTCAAAAAAAAAAAAAAAAAAAGTAATAATAATGCATGTTTTCAGATACATAGCTACATATTAAATGTACGGTGCCTTGAACTATTTTGAGATGTAAAGTGCGTGTAGTATGCCATGAGAGTGTAACTAGAGGCGTGATGAAGTCATCTTAACGAGCTTAGCAGACATTTAAGAACTAAGCTTCTGGAATTTCATTAAGAATAATATTTTCACTGACAGAGTTTGATTCCATTTAGAAACAAAAAAATTTTAACAAGTTTATTTTTGTTTTATATTTTAAGAATTTCCATTTTTGTATGTTTTCTAAATCTGTAGTACATAGTATAGTAAAAATGGCTTATATTAGGTTGGTGCAAAAGTAACTGTGGTTTTGCCATTACTTTTAATGGGAAACTGGAAGCTATGCCTACATTACTTTCAATGGCAAACTGCAATTACTTTTTCACCATCCTAATATTTTATAAATATAGGCTGCATAATTAGGCTGTTCTTGCATTGCTGTAAAGAAATACCTGAGACTGGGTAAATCATAAAGAGAGGACATTTAACTGGCTCATGGTTCTGCATGCTGTACAGGAAGTATCTGCTCAGCTTCTAGGGAGGCCTCAGAAAGCTTCCAATCATGGTGGAAGGTGAAGGGGAAGCAGGCATCTCACATGGCGGAAGCAGGAGGAGAGAGGGTGGGGGTGGGGGGAAGTGCTACGCATTTTTAAGTGACCAGATCTCATGAGAAATCACTCTCACAAGGACAGTACCAAGGGGAATGGTGCTAAACCATACATGAGAAATCTGCCCCTATGATCCAATCACCTTCCACCAGGCTGCACCTCCAACACTGGGGATTACAATTCAGCATGAGATTTAGAGGGGACACATGTCCAAACTATATCAAATAGATATTCATATCCTATAGATACGTATGTGCTGAATTTTTTTCTACTATGAAGATGGACAAAAATACTTGAAGACTTTTAAGTAATGATTCACAACTCTGGCTAATATCAAAGTCACTTGTGGAATTTAAAAAACTCTCATTAATTCTTGAGCTCCTTGCCAGACACGCAGTGTTAGAATGTCTGGGAGTAAAGCCTAGAAATTCATAGTCTTAAAAGTGCTGCAGCTAATTGTGATGTAGAGCCAGGACTCGGATGCAATCTCTAGAGACAAGGGTTAAGAATTTCTCAATAGTTACTTAATTCCCAGAGTTCCCAGATCACCTGCAACAGGATTACCAGGGCAAACAGCTCCTGGATTTTAAAATACAGATTGCCAGGCCCAGCACCAGATTCACTGAATCAGAATCTTTTACTTAAGAGTTTCCAAGAGAAAAAAAATGATTCGGAATTTTAGGACTACGTAGGTACTCTAGGTTTGGTATTGTGCTAAGACTTTTGCACTAATTATTTTGTTTTAAACTCTCGACTACCTTTAATGTGGACTGATTTCCCATTTTGTACATGAAAATACTAAGGGTCTGAGAGGATAAGATAAGGATTCATTCAGGATAAGGGTGACACAGGTTCAGGTAAGTATGGGGGATCTGAATTTTTAACAGGCTCCAAAGGCAAGTCTGATACACACCGGAATTTGAGAAGCATTAGAATTTGAGAGGCTTGCCTCCTTACTGGTCACCTTCACATTACGAAATTACAAAGTAGCCACTGGGAGCTATCACGCCAAAGAAAAATACCTTCCCACCCTTAAACATGCACAGCAATTATAGGAGTTTATCAGCATGAAGTAAATTCATATTAAAGAGTCTCTAGTTAGCATTTATGTTATTTTGATCATTCTGTTATTGCAAAGTAGTAGTGATTCACTGGAAAGGCTCAGAACAATAGCTGCCCTCTGTTATTTCACATTATTCATACAAGCAGAATACACATAAGTAAAATGTAATTTTTAAAATGAGTATAATCAAGGTTGACAGAAGCTAATTAAGTAGGATATATGCAGAAAGGTTCTTAATTAGCCTTTAAAAATTATCACTTACCTTGTGACTTCAACTCTTAAGAAAAAAGCCAAAAGAAATGGCAAGACACATGTGTGTTGACAAAGGCCGTGACTCAGACCATCTGGGCACAAAGGCAGTTGTTACAAACACAGGAAAATGGCTAAGGCTGAATGACTTTGACCTTGTGTTGCAGAATTGTTGTCTAACTAAATGGAAGAGAAACTTAATATGATAACATCCCCTGCTGGAATTAAATTCATGTCATCATGTTGGGAAATAATCAGTTTGAAGAAAGAAAATGAAGTAGGTGATTTCTGACAATATGTCCCAAGAACTGTATGCATGCCACAAAGTGTGTATGTTTAGCTATAGAGATGTATTTGTCTACATGTACCAAATTCAGGCTATATTGCTGTTGTTAGCGTATTTTGTCTTTCTCCACAAGTAAAGGCAGCAAACCCGTGGTTTATTGGATGGCACAGGACAGCAGACAAATTTTGTTTGACCTTACAGCATTGGCGAATATAATGTTTTAATAATTTTGACTTCTCTGTCAACATTTAAACATGGAAAGATTCCACATTAAATTCCAGATTTCTGCTTCACCTCTCTCATTAGAAGATATAGTAGTATTGGGTCTATATTCTTAAATGGCATTCTGTACTATCTCTTATTCTCAAGCGATTTTAACTCATTTACCTGCATTTAATTTGTGACACCTACCCTAGAAGGATAAAATGAAGGAGTGGGGTGTGGGAGGGCTGACTTTATCAGGTGCTTATTCTGTGCTGAAACTTTTATACTCCTGATTTATTTAAAACTGTCAGGGCTGGGTGTGGTGGCTTATGGCTGTAATTCCAGCATTTTGGGAGACGAGGTGGGTAGATCACAAAGTCAGGAGTTCAAGACCAGCCTGGCCAACGTGGTGAAGCCTTGTCTCTACTAAAAATACAAAAATTAGCCAGGTGTGGTGGCAGGTGCCTGTAATCCCAGCTACTTGGGAGGCTGAGGCAGGAGAGTTGCTTGAACCGGAGAGGTGGAGGTTGCAGTGAGCCAAGATCGTGCCATTGCACTCCAGCCTGGGCGACAAGAGTGAGACTTCGTCTCAAAAAAAAACAACAAAAAAAACAAAAACAAACAAAAAAAGCTCTCAAAACTGTCAAAGCACATTTACTAGATGGAAATGCTGACGTTCAGAGAGGATGAGTAACCCCAGCAAGGTCACACAGCTCATGGCAGAGGAAGGAGCAAGTCAAGGTCTACTTTGGCCTTTTCTGCTATTCTATGATCATAACAAGATAAAAATTGTGCCCTTGGACTCTTGTACTCATGTATTTGCCTTTCTATACTGACTGTTTTTGGTAGTCAGCTTTATTTTCAGGTATCTGTCTGCTATATCAGGTCTATGAATGTCAGAGGAAACAAAAATAAATGTTTATTAGCAGCTGTTGTATGAAAGGAAATGAATTAGATACGTGCTTTAGACATGGTCTCAGTTTATGCTGGAATAGAAGCATTAAGATAAATATACAAATAACTACAATCTAAATGCAGTATGTGGATGTACGATGAGCATGGTGGAAAGAAAGTACTATAGGAGATACAAGAAAGAAGAGATCTGTTACAATGTGTGGCTCCTACGTGGTCATCAGCTTTTACCTTTATGTTTTTTCTTCCCATATTTTCAGGTCATATATATATAATATGTGGTAAATATATTAATATGTAGTAAATGCTATGTGTTAGCATTATAATAGTTCATTAGATTTTAAAAACTGAACATCAAATACCTAAATTAGTATTTTAAATGACTCTAATGATGTAAACTTTCAAATAGCTTTATTGAGGTAAATTTAACATAATAAAATGTATCACTTTAAAACATACACCTATTTGCATTTAAGATTATATATATTATATATGTATGTAAAGTCAGCCAAAATATACGTATATATTTCCAAATGTGTTTGTGTGTGTATAGACATAGAGATACATTTGTTTATACATACTTAAATACAGGGAATGGGCCCAAACAGTGATCTGAAACTCATCTCAAAATTATCCAAGACAGTAGAACCAAGTACAGTGGCGCACAACTGTAGTGCCAGCTATACAGGAAGACTGCTTGAACCCAGGAGTTCAAGGCCAGCCTAGGCAATACAATGAGAGCTTGTCACTGTTTTTAAAAAAAGTTAAAATTATACAGGTCAGAATCCAGATCCTTGCTTTTAATAGATGTTAAATGCTGGTGTGACAATCACTGGATAGGAAATGTACAGTAGAGGTTAAGGGCTTAGATTTTGGACCACATTATCTGGGTATAAATCTCAGCTATGCTGTTTATCAGCTGTATAACCTTGGGCAAATTACTTAATCTTTGTGTGTCTCAGTTTGCTCATCTCTAAAATGGGGTAAGAAGAGTGTACCTGCCTTCTATGGTTATTAAGAGAATTACTGAGTTAACATACATAAAGTACTTAGAATAATGCCTTCCTCATGAGTTCCATATTAGAATTAGTGATTGTTATTATTAAAACACTTAATCACTATGCTTGATACTTTCAATATTCAAATAAAAAAAGTTTAGTGACCTTCCTTTTTTGGTCGCCTTTACATTTAGTAACATAAATAATGCAAAGTCACTGTTCTTGAGTCAGTGCATAGCTTCCTCACATTGCTGAGCTTGATGTAAGGCTGGCTTATGTCATGGTCAGCACCACTGGGAAGATTCTAAGAAAGTGGAAGAAGGAAAGGATGGGATTTTAAGTGGCATTAGAAGTTTGTGACACATGAACCTAATGGAAACCCATGCTGCCTGCCAGTCCTTCAATTACTCAGAGATCTGAAGTACTGCACCTTCAGGGGAAGACCCCACATATGTCTCACTGCTTGGAACAGAAAGTTACTTCCTCCCCAACTCCTTATTTAGGGTGTGTGCCAAATTTTTTATGTAAAGGAAGAATCAGGGACACAATTAAAGTCTTTCAATTCTTTGTAGATAATTATTTTCCATTTCATTTTATGGGAAAATATAGGCTTTGCACTAAGAAAACAATAGTTTGGACATTGTGAACCTTTATTAATATGTAGTAAATGCTATACTTTAGCATAATAGTTCACTAGGTTTTAAAAATTAAACATCAGATATCTAACATTTTAAATGACTTTAATGATGTACATTTTCAGATAATTTTATTCGGGTAAATTTAACATAAAATGAATCACTTTAAAATGTACACATATTGAATTTAAGATATATAAAATTTTCATCCTCTGCAAAAGTTTACTTACACCATGTTCTAGTTAATTGCCATTATGACTCTACTCCTGGCCCCAGGCAATAACTCATCTGTTTTCTGAAATTATAGATGACTTTTGTTTTTTTTTTTAGAATTTCATATACATGGAATAATACAATATCCTTTGGTAAGCATTGTTTCATGTACTTATTGGTCATTTATATATCTTATTTTGTGTAGTGTTTGTTAAAATCTTTTGCCCATTTTTTACAGTTGATTGCCTTCTTATGGAGTTGTAAGAGTTCTATAAATATTCTGGATACAAGGCCTTTGTCAAAGATATGTATTGTGAATATTTTCTCCCAGTTTGTGGTTTATCTTTTTGTTTGATTTAATGGTATGTTTTGATGAGCAGAGCTTTTAAATTTTGATAGAGTCAGCTTGAAGCTGTTTTTACCTTTTATAATCTTGTTTCTGAAGTTACATAGCGTCACTCCTGTTGTCCTGTAGTGGTAGAAACAGTTGCAAAACCCTGCTGAGTTTCAAGGGTATGAGATACAGACTTCATGTCTTAATGGGGCAGAGGAAGGCTCTGAAACAGCATTTGGTATGCGAATTATTGTTGAAACAATTTTGAAAAATACAGTCTGCCAACATCTTTCCCAAAATGTGTCCATTTCATCTAATAGATTTATTGGCATTAAATTTTTTGTGACAGCCTCTTAGTACTTTAAAAATGTTAGTAGGATCTGTAATAATATCCCTTCTTTCATTCTTAGTTATGGTTATTTGTGTCTTCTCTTTTTTCTTTATTAGACTAGTTAGAGGTTTATAAATTTATTGATTTTTTTCCCCTAAAAAACCAGGTTAAGATTTCACTGATTTTCTCTATTTTTTCACTTTTTACTTTTATTGCTTTCCACTCTTATCTTTGTGATTTCCTTTATTCTCCTTACTCTGGATTTAATATGTTCTTTTTATTTATTATTCTTCTTACTCTTACGTTGCTTATTAAGAAAGAAGCTTAGATCATTGGTTTAGATTCTTATTATTTTAAATATGAGCACTTAAAATGATAAATATTAATCTAAGCAATGTTATAGATGCATCTCATAAATTTTGATGTGTCATACATGTTGATATTACTATCACTCTATTAAAATATCTTCTAATTTTCCTGTTGAATTCTTCTTTGACCCAAGAGTTATTTAGAGGTCTTTTGTTCAGTTACCAAATAACTGGAGATTTTTCTACTTTTTGCTATTGATTTTATTATTGAGGTAAGATTCATGTAACATGAAACTAACCATTTTAAAATGTAAAATTCACTGGCATCTGAAGTCCATGCAGAATTTTGTGCAACTATTACCTCTATTTAGTTCCAAAATATTTTCCTCACCCTGAAAGGAATGCCTGTACTCTTTAAGCAAGCACTCTACATTCTCTCTTCTAACAGCCACTAATATTTTTCTGTTTGTATGGATTTGTCTATTCTGGATATTTCATATGAAAATTGGGTACTAAAATGTGTAACATTTTATGTCTGGCTTCTTTTATTTAGCACAATGTTTTTTGAGGCTTATATATGTTGTAGAATGTATCAGTACATCATTTCTTCTTATGAATGAATCATATTCTATTGTATGAATATACTATATTTTGTTTACTCATTCATCTGTTGATGGACAATTTGTGTTATTTCCAACTTTTGGCTATTGTAAATAAGGCTGCTATGAACATATGTGTACAAGTTTTTGTTTGAAGACCTGTTTTCAATTTGGGCATGTACCTAGGAGTGGAATTGCTGGGTCATATGGTAATTCAATGATTAACTTTGTTAAGAACCACCAAACGGTTTTCCATAATGGCTACACTGTTTTTTTATATTTCCACCAGCAATGTATGAGGGTTCCAATTTCTTCACATCCTTGCTAATCTTTATTTTCTATTTTTAAATAATTATAGCCATCCCAGTGGATTTGAGTGAGTGAGTGGCATCTCACTGTGTTTTGATTTGCATTTTCCCTATTAACTAAAGATGTTGAGCGTCTTTTCATGTGCTGGTTGGCCATTTGTATATCTTCTTAGGAAAAATGTCTATTTGTATTCTTTGCCTATTTAAAAAATGTTTTTGGTCTCTTCGGGTTGAGTTGTAAGAGTCCTTTATGTATTTTGGATACTAGAACCTTGTGAGAGATATGATTTGTAATTGTTTTCTCCCTCTCTGTGGGTTGTCTTTTCACTCTCTTGATAGTATCCCTGGATGCACAAATGTTTTTTAATTTTGTCAAAGTTCAGTGATTTGTTTTCTTTTTTGACCTTTTGGTGACTTATCTAAGAATCCGTTGCCAAATCCACAATCACAAAGATTTACCATATATTTTCTTCTTGTTGAAGAGGCTGTTTTTCCCTATTGTATGGTCTTGACACTGCTGTTGAAAATCTGTTGACAAGGGTATGGGTGTATTTCTAGACCCTTAATTCTATCCTGTTGGTCTATATATCTATCTTTGTACCAGCATCATACTGTTTTGATTATTACTGTAGCTCTGTAATAAGTTTTGAAATACAGAAGTGTGACTTCTCCAAATTTATTATTCTTTTTCAAAATTGTTTTGGCTATTACGAGTCACTTGAAATTCCATATGAATTTTAGGATCTGCTTTTCCATTTCTGCAAAAAGGCCATTAGGATTTCGATAGAGATTACACTGAATTTGTAGATTGCTTTGAGGAGTATTACCATCTTAACAATATTAGGCCTTCCAATACATGAACATGAATGTCTTTCTATTTATTTATTTAGAGATGGAGTCTCGCTCTGTCACCCAGGCTGGAGCGTGGTGTCATGATCTTGGCTCATTGCAGCCTCTGCCTCCCAGGTTCAGGCCGCAATTCTTGTGTCTCAGCCACCCGAGTAGCTGGGACTACAGGCGTGCACCACCACATCGGCTAAATTTTGTATTTTTAGTAGAGATGAGTTTCCACCATGTTGGCCAGGCTGGTCTTGAACTCCTTGGCCTCCCAAAGTGCTGGGATTACAGGTGTGAGCCACTGTGCCCGGCCATGTCTTTCTATTTATTTAGATCTTCTTTAATTACTATATTCTGCAACTTTGATAAATCTGTTTATTAACTCTGATAGGTTTTTTGTAGGGTCTTTAAGATTTTCTACGTATCAGATGTCTTATTCTGTTTGGGTTGCTATAACAAAATACTGTAAGGTAGGTAGCTTATAAACAACAAAAACACAGTTCTGGAAACTTGGACGTCTGAGATCAAGGCACCAGCAGATTTGATGTCTGGTGAAAATCTGCTTTTTGGTTCACAAACAGCACCTTCTTGTCTTTTCTTCTTGCATGGTGGAAGGGATGAAAAGAACTCTGGGGTCTCTTTTATGGTTCACGAGGGCATCATCCTTACGAACAAATTACCTTCCAATGGCCCCACCTTCTAATACCATTACCTTGGGGTTAGAATTTCAACATGAATTTTGGGAGAACACAAACCTTCAGACCATAGCGTAGAGATAATCTTATTTATTCATTTCCAATTTGGATGGTTTTTATTTATTTATTTATTTGGCTAATTTCTCTGGGTAGGACTTTTAGTAGAATATTGAACAGAATTGACAAAAGTGGGAATCCTTCACTAGTTCGTAATCTTAGGAGAAATTTAGTCTTCCATCATTGGGTATAATGTCAGCTGTGAGTTTTTCATACATGCTCTTGATTATGTTGAGAAAATTCCCTTCTATTCCTAGTTTGTTGGGTGTTTTATGTACCATTGTTTTTAGATTTATTTATTTATTTTTGAGACAGAGTCTTGCTCTGTCTTCCAGGCTGAAGTGCAGTGGTACAGTCTCAACTCACTGCAGCCTCAACCTCCTGGGCTCAAGCAATCCTCCAACCTCAGCCTCCTGGGTAGCTGGGACTACAGGCGCGCACCACCGTGCCTGGCTAATTTTTGTATTTTTTGTAGAAACAGGTTTTTGTCATGTTGCCCAGCTGGTCTCAAACTCCTGAGCTCGAGTGATCTGTTCTCCTTGGCCTCCCAAAGTGCTGGGATTACAGGCGTGAGCCACCTCACCCAGTCTGTTTTTACATTTAATTCTGCTATGGTTAGAAAACATACTTTTATTATATCAATCTTTTAAAACTTATTGGGATTTGTATAATGGCCTATATATAGCCATTTGGATGAATGGTGAATTCTGGAAAAAAAAAAAAGAAGTCTTTTTTCCAGTTGTTGAATGTAGTGTTCCATGACTGTCAATTAAGTTAGGCTGATTGATAGTCTTGCTCAAGCTTTCTGTATTCTTGGCTGATTTTCTGCCTACTTGTTTTATCACTTATGGGAGAGGAGTGTTGAGATTTTTCAGCTATAATTATAGATTAGTTTGCTCTTCCTTTCAGTTATGTGAGTTTTGCTCCACGTGTTTTGAAGTTCTGTAATTATGTGCAAAGAAATTTAGGATTATTATGTCTTTTTGACAAATTAACCCTTTTATCATTATGAAACAGCCCTCTTTATTTCTGGTAACATTTTGTGTTTGGAGCCTAATTTTCTAACGTTCATATGATCACTTTAATTCTCTTATGATTAGGAGAAAATGGTATCTGTTTTATGGTCTTTTTATGTTGAACCTATGTCTTTATATTAAAGTAAGTTTATTATAGATAATGTATAATTGGATACTGCTTTACAAAATCCTGCCTGACAATCTGTCTTTTAAGGCAGTGTTTAGCCATTTGCATATATTATACTTATCAATGTAGCTAGGTTTAAACCTGTAATCTTGATACTTTTTTATATTTGCCCTATTTATAGCTAATGTATTAGCTATATTTCTTCTATTGTTTTAAGTGGCAATTAAGATGTATAGTATCCACTTCACCTTGTCACATTTCACCTTCGAATAATATTATGCCACTTAATATATAATGTAAGAATCTTACAAAGGTATAATTCAATTTTCCCTCTCCCATCCTTTCCATTATTGTTTCTTTACATTTTTCTTCCATGTGTTATACATTCGCAAATACCTTGTTATTATTATTGCTACTAAAGTTAATAAATAACCTTTTTAAAAGTGAAAAACTGGGCTGGGGACTGTGGCTCACGCCTGTAATCCTAATACTTTGGGAGGCTGAGGTGGGAGGATCACTTGAGGTCAGGAGTTTCAGACCAGCCTGGCCAACATGGCAAAACCCGTTCTTTACTAAAAATACAAAAATTAGCTGGGCATGGTGGTGCTGGCCTATAATTCCAGCTACTCAGGGGGCTGAGGCATGAGAATCACTTGGGCTTGGGAGGCAGAGGTTGCAGTGAGCCAAGATTGCACCACTGCACTCCAGCCTGGGTGACAGAGGAAGAATCTGTCTCAAAATAAGTAAATAAATAAAAATGAAAAATAAAAGTGAAAAACTGAGAAAACTAAATTTTATATTTATTTATTAATCATTTCCAGCACTCTTTATTGCTCTTTGTACGTCTGTGTTGCCATAGGATATTGTTTTCCTACTACCTGCATACTTCCTATAGTGCAGGTGCTGAGTGAATTTTTTTTCAACATGAAAATAAAATGTCTTTATTTAATGTCCTTTTAAAAAAACTTTTAGAGACAGGGTCTCACTCTGTTGCCCATGTGGGAGCGCACATATTTTCTGGTGAAAAATCTGCTGTCACTCTTATCTTTGTTTCTGTATGTTGTATGCCTATTTTCCTCCCCAGCTACTTTTAATGATCTCTTTTCATCCTTGATTCAGTAATGTAATGATCATGTGCCTTGATGTGGTTTACTGTGTTGTTGCTTATAGTTCATTGAGCTTCTCGGATCTGGGGATTTATAGTTGTCATCAAGATTGGAAAATTTTTGCTTCTTATATCATTAAATATTTCTTTTACTCCTCTCTTTTGCTTCCCCCATTCTGGGATTTTAATTAAATCCCTGTTAGACCCTTTGATTTTGTCACACAGGTAGCAGAGGTTGTGTTCATTTTTTTTTTTTTTTGAGATGGAGTTTTGCTCCTGTTGCCCAGGCTGGAGTGCAATGGCGTGATCTCGGCTCACTGCAACCTCTGCCTCCCGGTTCAATCAATTCTCCTGCCTCAGCCTCCCTAGTAGCAGGGATTACAGGCATGCACCACCATGCCTGGCTAATTTTGTATTTTTAGTCGAGACAGGGTTTCTTCATGTTGGTCAGGCTGGTCTCGAACTCCCGCCCTCAGGTGATCCACCTGCCTCGACCTCCTAAAGTGCTGGGATTACAGGCATGAGCCACCACACACAGCCAGTTTTGTTCATTTAAAAAAAATAGTTTTTACTCTATGCTTCATTTCAAATAGTTTCTATTTTTATGGACTCAAGTTTGCTGATTTTTTTCTTCCACAGTATCTAATCTGTTGTTAAGCTCATTCAGTGAATTTTTCTTTTTGGATATTATATTTTTCATCTTTAAATATTCCATTTACTTTTTAATAACTTCTATTTTTTCTTATTTTCATGTTTTCCTCTAACTCCTTTTGTATATTTATATAGCTGTTTTAATATCTCGGTCTGGCATTCCATCATTTCCACCATTATGAGGCTTGTTATTACCTAATGATTTGTCTCTTTGTTGTAACTTTTATTTTTTTAAATCTGCAGTCATTTTTTATTGGATCCCAGACATTGTAGTGTCAGTACTGAGTGTTTGAATTTTGTGTTCCTTTAAAGAATATTGAATTTTAGCTAGCAGATTCTTTTCTAGTCTTTTTTTTTTTTTTTTTTTTTTTTTTTTTTAAGGGTAAGTCTGAGTAGTTGTTACGTTAGGGCTGGATTTCCTTGGCACTCAGTCATGACTCTCCAGAAACTTCTAACTTATATATCAGGTGTTCAGCAAGGTTTTTCCCACTCTGGCTGATTGTGACTTGATCATCCCTCAGTCCTGTGTAAGTTCTGGGAATGGGTCAGTTTCCTACAATCCTTTCCCTGCAGCCCTTTCCCTGATCTGATGGAGTTTGTATTCAGCGACAGATTATGATTCCTATGGAGATTTCTGGGACACTTTGTTTGCATTCCTCCCCGCTATATGGTGTACTCTGTCCCTAATATTTCAGTTGTGTTGGTCTTCTTAAGTTCAAACTCTGTCTTAGCAATTTGCAATTTAGTATGACCGTCATGATCTGCTTGGGTTTTCCCTTTCTGTGTAATGATTTGAAAGGTTCTTTTAGAAGGCCAAGATGATCCTTACCTATTTGCTTCTTTTTAATCAATGATCTCAGGCCTGTGCTGCCTATCTTAAATATCTGAAACAACTGTTTTTTCTATTTCTGCTCAGTTTTTAAATTCTTTATGGTGGAAGGACAAATCTAGTACCAGTTATTCTAACATGGATAGAATTAAATTTAATTTTAATAATTAAGTCTAATGTTAATTGGAGTAGAATTAGGGTGAGAATTGAGTATTAGTAACTTTTTTCATTTTAAAATAAATGTTTTATTTTGAAATAATTTTATGTCTATAAAAATTATGTCTATAGAAGAGTTGCAAAGATAGTACAGAGTGTTTCTGTATACACTTCACCTAGTTTCCTCTAATGTTAACTTCTTGTATAACCTTGATACACTTATCAAAACTAAGAAATGAACATTGGTTACTATTCACCAAACTATAGCCTTCATTAAGATTTCACAGTTCTGCTTTTACACTGTTGGTGGGAGTGTAAATTAGTTCAACCATTGTGGAAGACAGTGTGGTAGTTCCTCAAGGATCTAGAGCCAGAAATACCATTTTACCCAGCAATCCCATTACTGGTATATACCTAAAAGATTATAAATCATTCTACTATAAAGAGACATGCACATGTATGTTTATTGCAGCACTATTTTAAATAACAAAGACTTGGAACCAACCCAAATGCCCATCAGTGATAGATTGGATAAAGAAAATGTGGCACATATACACCATAGAATACTATGCAGCCATAAAAAGAATGAGTTCATGTCATTTGCAGGGACATGGATGAAGCTGAAAACCATCACTGTCAGCAAACTAACAAGGAACAGAAAACCAAACACCACATGTTCTCATAAGTGGGAGTTGAACAATGAGAACACATGGACACAGGGAGCATCATATACTGGGGCCTGTCGAGGGTTGGGGGACTAGGGGAGGGATAACATTAGGCGAAATACCTAATGTAGCTGATGGGTTGATGGGTGCAGCAAACCACCATGGCACGTGTATACCTATGTAACAAACCTGCACATGTATCCCGGAACTTAAAAAAAAGAGATTTCGGCTAGGCGTGGTGGCTCACGCCTGTAATCCCAGCACTTTGGGAGGCCGAGGCAGGTGGATCACGAGGTCAGGAGATTGAGACCATCCTGGGTAACACGGTGAAACCCCGTCTCTACTAAAATTACAAAAAAAATTAGCCGGGCGTCGTGGCGGGCACCTGTAGTCCTAGCTACTGGGGAGGCTGAGGCAGGAGAATGGCGTGAACCCGGGAGGCGGAGCTTGCAGTGAGCCCAGATAGTGCCACTGCACTCTAGCCTGGGCTACTGAGCAAGACTCTGTCTCAAAAAAAAAAAAAAGAGATTTCACAGTTTTTACGTTGTTTTTTTCCTCCTGTATATCTAGGATACCACACTGCATTTAGTCATCATGTCTCCTTAGCCTTGAGAAGAGTGTGTTCGAAACTTTTTTAAAAAGCACTACCTGCAGTGCTTGAAAAACAGTGGATAGGCTTTCTTTTATTTTTTATTATTTTTTAAAAAGTATGTATTTTTAATTTCCATAGCTTTTGGGGTACAAGCAGTTTTTGGTTATGTGGATTAATTATAGAGTGGTTAAGTCTGAGATTTTAGTGTACCCATCACCCGAGTAGTGTACACTGTACCTAATATGTAGTTTTTTAAATCCCTCATTCCCCTCCCACCGTCCCCACTTCTGAGTCTCCAAAACCCGTTATACCACTCTGTATGCCTTTGCGTTCTCACAGCTTAGCTCCTACTTATAAGTGAGAATACACAGTATTTGGTTTTCCATTCCTGAGTTACTTTATTTAGAATATTGGCTTCCAGCTCCATCCAAGTTGCTGCAAGAGATATTATTTCATTCTTTTTTATGGTTGAGTGTTCCATCGTGTATATATGTACCACATTTTCCTTATCCACTCATTGGTTGATTGGTACTTAGGTTGGTTTCATATCTTTGCAATTGTCAATTGTGCTGTGATAAACATATGTCTGCAGGTGTCTTTTTGATATAATGATTTCTTTTTCTTTGGGTAGATACCCAGCAGTAGGATTTCTGGATTGAATGGTAGATAAATTTTTTGTTCTTTAAGAAATCTCCATACTATTTTCCATGGAGGTTGTACTAACTTGCATCCACCAGCATTGTATAAGCATTCCCTTTTCCCCACATCCACACAAACATCTATTGTTTTTTGATTTTCTAATAATGGCCATTCTGGCTGGGGTAAGGTGGTATCTCATTGGTGGTTTTAATTTACATTTCTCTGATGATTAGTGATATTGAGCACTTTTTCATATGTTTTTGGCCATTTGTGTATCTTCTTTTGAGAAATGTCTATTCATAACATTTGCCCACTTTTTGATGGGATTGTTTGCTTTTTTCTTGCTGATTTGAACTCCTTGTAGATTCTGGATATTAGTCCTTTGTTAGATGCACAGTTTGAAAAACAGTGCACATGCTTTCAGCTGGGCTCAGCTGCATGGGTCGGAGCAGTTTGAAGGGGACTCAGAATCAGAACCAGACTCAGGGACAAGTTGGCCATGGACAAGGGAACAACCCTAGCTCTGGCACTGTGGGAAGTTTAGTCTGCAGCCACAGGCATTACATGGCATCCAATACCATCAGGAAGTTTCAATATGTGGTAATGATGAGATGGACAATTAGAATGAAGTCCTTAATATATCTGTGCATGGTGGTAAGGGCTTTACAAAGTGTAATGGAAATCTTCTTTTTTTTGTTTGACTATTTCTTTCCCTTCTTGGAAACTTTCTTTGGGGAAATGTTCCTCCTGTATACATGCTTTTTTCTCACCTCTCCAAGCCACAGATATGGTCACGTTAAACAATATCCCATGTTGTGAGTGATTCTTAAAAGGTGGACGTGCAATCGCTGAAGGGCCAATTAAACATCTTCACTGGGACTTATTTAGAAATTCTTGAGAAAGATAATCTCTGTTTTTACTGGGGTTGCTGAGTTAAAATGATTTAAGTCTTCAGCTGCCTGTGATTGTGTCTTCTAGGTAGATGAGGACGGCTCTTCTGTATTAAGAGAAAATGATGTTAGTGTCCAGAGAATCAGAGGCAAAAAAAGTGGAAAGAAGACATAATGATGTCATTTACACCTCTAGGTCCAGTAGTTTTTATTGCCCCCCTTTTTATTCCTTGAATGGTGTTTCTAAGATTTTTAACTAACACACACATTATCCCCACATAGTCTCATGATAACCTTGTGAAAGGGTTATACCTTGTTACCCTTGCATTTCAGAAAAAGAAATCTCCACATCCTTGCTAACCCTTGCTAGCACTTGCTATCTCTTGTCTCTTTTTTTAATTTATAATAGTCATTCTAACAGGTTTTAGGTGATATCTCATTGCGGTTTTGATTTGCATTTCCTTAATGATGGATGATGTTAAATGCCTTTTCATATACCTGTTGGCCATTTGTATGTCTTCTTTGGAGAAATGTCTATTCAGATCATTTGCCCATTTTAAAATAGTGTTATATCTTTTTTTTTGCCATTGAGTTGTGTGAGTTCCTTAGATGTTTTGGATTTTGACACCTTATCAGATATACGGTTCACAAATATTTTCTCCCAATCTTTAGGCTGCCTTTTCTTTTTGTTTATTGTTTTCTTTGCTGTGTAGAAATGTTTTAGTTTGATGTTGTCCCATTTGTTTGTTTTTTCTTTTGTTGCCTGTGTTTTTGGTGTCCCATCTAAAATTTTCCCCAATGTTTTCTTTTAGGAGTTTTATGGTTTCAGGTCTTATATTTATGTCTTTAATTCCCTTTGAGTTGATTTTTGTGTGTGATGTAAGATAAGGGTCCAATTTTATTCTTTTGCATGTGGATATTCAGCTTCCCTAATACCATTTGTTAAAGAGAGACTATCCTTTTCTCATTGTGTCTTCTTGGTGCTCTTGTCAAAAATTTTTTGTCTGTATGTGTTTGGATTTATTTTTGAGCTTTTCTGTTCCATATTTCTATGTGTTTTTCTATGACAGTGTCACACTGTTTTGAATACTATAGCTTTGTAATGTAATTTGAAGTCACTAAGTGTGGTACCTATAACTTTGTTTTCCTTTCTCAGGATTACTTTGACTATTTGGGATCTTTTGTGGTTCCATATGAATTTTTGAATTTTTTTCTACTTCAGTGAAAAATACCATTGGAATTTTGGTAAGGATTGTATTGAATCTGTATATTGCTTTGGAAAGTATGGACATTTTAATAATATCAACTCTTCCAATTCATGAACATGGTATATCTTTCCATTTGTTTGTATCTTCAATTTCTTTTGTCATGGTTTATAGCTTTTAGTGTAGAGATCTTTCATCTCCTTGGTTAAATTTATTCCTAAATATTTTATTGTTTTTGATGGCATTGTAAATGGTTTTTTTTTAATTTATGTTTTTGGATAAGGTTATTGGTATAAAGAAAAGTAATTAATTTTGTATGTTAATTTTGTATTCTGCAACTTTACTGAATTCATTTATTAGTTCCAACAGAATTTTTTGAGAAGTCTTTTGGGTTTTCCATGTATAGAATCATGTTGTCTGTAAATGTGGATAGTTTTACTTCTTCCTTTCCAATGTGAATCCCGTTTGTTTCTTTTTCTTGTCTGATTGTCTTTGGTAGTATTTCCAGCATTAAAATGTTGAACGTAAGTGGCAAAAGTGAGCAATCTTGCATTGTACCAGATCTTAAAGAAATATCTTTCAGTTTTTCCCCTTTGATTAGCTGTGAGTTTTGGATAAATGGCCTTTATTTTGTTGAGGAAATTTCTTTCTATACCTACTTTGTTGAGAGTTTTTATCATGAAATTATGCTGAACTTCGCCAATGCTTTTTTTGCATCTATTCAGATGATCATGTGTCTCATTCACATGTCTCATTCAATTTGTCTCATTCATTTTGTTAATGTTGGGTATCACAGTAGTTGATTTGCATGTGTTAAATCAACCTTGCACCCTAGGGATAAATCTTACTTGATCAGGATATATAATCTTTTTGATGTGTTGTTGGCTTCAGTTTGCAAGCATTTTATTGAGGATTTTTGCGTCTATGTTCATCCAAGGTATTGTTCTGTAGTTTTCTTGTGGTGTCTTTGCCTGGCTTTGGTATTATTAGGGTGATGCTGGCCTCATACAATGAGTTTGGAAGCATTCTTTCTAATTCTATTTTTTGTAAGTGTTTAAGAGGGATTGGTATTCATTCTTTTTTGAATGTTTGGTAAAATTCAGCTGTGAAGCCATCTGGTCCTGGGATCTTCTTTTTTTGGAGGCTTTTAAATATGATTTCAATCACTTTATTTGTTATTGGTCTGTTCAGTCTTTCTATTTTATCTTGATTTAATTTTGGCAAGTTGTACGTTTCTAGGAATTTACCCATTTCCTCTAGGTTATCCAATTTGTTGGCATGTAGTTGTTCATAATAGTCCCTTATGATACTTTTTATTTCTGAAGTATTCATTGTAATGTCTCCACTTTTATTTTTTATTTTATTTACTTGAACCTTTTTTTTCTTAGTTTGTCTAGCTAAGGATTTGTCCATTTTGTGTATTAAAAATCTCAATTGTTAATTTTGCAGTATTTTTCTATAATTTTTGTATTCTATATTTCTGCTATGACCTTTATTACTTCCTTTCTTCTGTTAATTTTGGGTTTAGTTTGCTTTTCTTTTCCTAGTTCCTTGCAGTATAAAGTTAGATTGTTTATTTGAGATCTTTTTTTTTTTAATGTAGGCATTTACGGCTATAAACTTCCCTTTTGGAATTCCCTTTGCTACTTCCCAAAGGCTTTAATATGTTGTATCTCCTTTTTTGTTTGTTTCAGTAAGTTTAATGTCACTGTGCTGATATACAAAAGGGTGTTGCTGTTGGTATTTAATATTCTAGTAGCCTCTTAACATTTTTAATTCTTTATCTTTGAATTTGTGTTTTAGTAAGTGAAGTCTGCTGGGACAATAGAGCGTACCCCAGGGGCTTACAGTCTTAGCTCACAGACCCCACCTCTCCTGCCTCCTTACCTCCTCTGGAAGTTTCTTGTCTGCTAGCTCTCTACCACCTGGGGGCTCAGAGGCTGCCCTGCAATGCCTGCCACCCTCTCTCTATAGTGGTAACCTGGTTGTATGGGTTGGGGTGGGATAGGAAGCGGGAGCATGTTCTGCTGTTTCTTTTTACAACTAGCAGGGGCCTGGGTGAATGTGTTGGGTGTGCGGTGGTTGCACTTGGACTTGAGAGTCTCTGCCTTGGGTTAGCAGCATCATTGGCACTTTTGGTGGGCAATTTAGTGAGAGCCTTTCACCCACCCTTGATCTAGGTTGAGTGCCTCTTGACGTAGAGGTTGCAATCCCTTGAGTGTAGCCCATCCACCACCAGTTGGGGCAGTGGGTATATGGGAAAGAGGTACTGACTTCCATATTCCCAGGGCAGGCCTCAGATTTTCATTATGCACTGGGCCCTGCAAATTATTTAGCTGGCTCCAGTCAAGGAAACTGGATATTTTTATTCCAATTCTGGAGACTCATTTTGGAGGGTTGCTTGGTGGTGATGGTGATGTTGCTAATTCCCTGGTACTATGAACCTGTGAGGCATGGTGCTAATGGCCTTTCATAGGTTTGTTATAAAGCTTTCAGGCCCAGGGATTCAGACACTGGCAGCTAGAAATCTACAAGGGCACATGGAATATTCTGAAGGATATAGGGGAAGGGAAGTGCTGACAGTGTCTATGAGACACCTTATTTTATATAATAAACATAAATTATAGCTGCATCAAATACTTAAAATTTTTTTAAAAATAAAAATCTTAGATGAAAATTAGTGAAATCCAGATTGAAGAGGCCCTTTAAGCAAGACATGGAAGTGAAAAACCATAAAAGTAGACATGTATGATTACATTAGGAAATTAGAGGATAAAAATTTCATAAACAAAATTAGGACAAATGAGACACTGGGAAAAATATGCATTCTATAAAACAGACAAAGAATAAATATCAATGATGGGCAAAGAACTGTTATAAATAGAAAACAAATAGCAAACTCTCTTGGAAGTTTTTCTATTAAAGTTGTAGCTAGGTAACTCACAGAAGAGCAAATCCAGAATGAGTAATGAACATATGAAACAGTTTTTAAACGTTAGTACTAATAAGAAAAATGCAAATTAAATATTGAGTTCTCCTTTCTCAACCATCTATTGAATTGGCAAAAACTTAAAAAGATGGATAAACTTACTGCTGGCAGGGATGTGGGAAAGGGCACTGTCATGCACTGTTTCTGGACATGTGTGTTGTGTGTTGTTACAGCCTTTTTGGAAAATAATCTGGCAATATCCACAATAAGCAAATTAAACACACGATTTGACCCAGAAATCCTACTCCAAGAACTCTATTGTAGAGAAATCAAGCTTCAGTGTGTAAGGACGTGTATGTACATACCACCCCCAAGAATGTTTATTGTGGTATTTTTCTGGAAATAAGTTAATGCATATTAATATATTTTGCCAATTCGTAGGATGGAATGGTATGTAACCAATAAAAATAATGTATTAGTTCTATACAGATTTATACTAGTTTTGCTTTGAGAGAGTTCCATAATGCATTTTTTTCTATCTTAAACTTTTAAAAAAAATAGACACGGTGTCTCCGTCTGTTGCCCAGGCTGGTCTTGAACTCATGGACTCAAGCACTCCTCCTGCCTTCGCCTCCCAAAGTGCTGGGATTACAAGTGTGAACCACTGCACCCAGCATATAATGTATTTTTAAGCATGAAATGAAAGATGCCAGAAAGTACATATATATATTAATATCCTATTAAAAAGCCAAAAATTGAGGGAAAACCCTTATGTGTGTATTGAGTGTTCTGTGAACCTAGAAAAGCAATGAAAGATTACACTAGGTTGTTAACAATAGTTTCCTGGCTGGAGGAGAGGGAAGAAGTGGAATTTAGAGGTTGAAGTGATGAAAAACGAAGGACTAGGGGAGTTTTCCACACTAACAAAAACAACACATGTTGCAGAATTTCATTTATGTGAAACTTAATACATGTGTATGTACATACCTGTATAGACATGTATGAAGAGGTGCATTAAGGTTGGTTATAAAATATTAACTGTGGTTATCTGAAGGTGTTGAGATTTCAGGTGATTTTACTGTTTCTCTCATAGTATCTTAGCTAATGTCACATGGCTGGTAAGTGGCAGAGCCAGGATTCAATGTATTTGACCTCAAAGTCGTTCTACTTTTACATACAGTGTACCTCTTCCCATAGGACTACAGCAATGGTCAGTTACCAACACAGGGATATAAGCAGAAACTCATTAACCAGAATAGAGGCACAAACTGGGATGTGGATGGAGGAAGAAGGCAGTAGTCTAGTTATCAGAACTGAGACCCAAAAGTCTGTCTCTAAGAACTCAGTGTAGCTGAGTCCCTGCATGCAGGATAGAGTCACTTACCTATATCTGGCTGAAGGTCAAGCCTCTTTTAGGCAGTGGTTCTACTTCTACTCATGGCTACACCTAGGAATCCACGGGAAGAGTGAGAAAATACTGATGGCTGGGCACAGTGGCTAGTGCCTGGAATCCCAGCCCATTCAGGGCCCGAGGCAGGAGGATTGCCTGAGGTCAGAAGTTTGAGACCAGCCTGGGCAACATAGCGAGAACTTGTCTCTACAAAAGAGAAAAAAAATTAGCCAGGTGTGGTGGCGCACACCTGTAGTTCCAGCTACTTGGGAGGCTGAGGTGGGAGGATCACTTGAACCTGGGAGTTCAAGGTTATATGAGCTATGATTGTGCCACTCCACTCCAGCTTCAGTGACAAAGTGAGCTCTGTCTCTTAAAAAAAAAAAAAAAAGCTAAAAAAATACTGATACTTGTTCCCCTCTCCCCATTTGTATTGTTAGGCCTCATTCTCATCTTGGGAATAGGGATTTTAAATTGCTCCACAGGTGTTTCTAATAGGTAGCCAGAGTGGAAGTTAATAAATGGTAAATGAATCAAGAAACATTATAGTTAAATTGTGTTAACTGTCACACATAAGAAGATGATGTGGCAGAGCAGCAGTTCTCAAACTTCCACGAGCGTCAGAATCACTTACAGGGCTTGTTAAAACAGATTACTGGGATCCAACCCCAGAGTTTGTGACTCTGTGGCTCTGTGGTGGGACCTGAGAATCTGCATTTCTAACAAATTCCTAGATGCAGCTGAGGCTGATCGCTGGGGCCCAGTTTGAAAACCACTGACCTGAATAGAGAAGGGACCTGAGGTCAAGGGTCCAGTGGTGGCAGATTTGAGGAGAGTGGCTGCAGAGACCGGGAACCAGGCAGGGCCTGCTGATGTGATTGACCTTTTGAATTCTCCGCACTTGATCCATTCGTCTACCTGCCACCTCCCTTCAAAGCAAGACCTACTCCAAAAGAGAGATTTAAGGATCATTAGCTGTAATGAGATTTTATACTAATAAGATTTTATTGCTAACCATAAAATATATACTCTGCCAGTTTGCCACAAAGCAGTCTGTCCTAAATGAGAGGAACCCAAGTTTGCCTGACAAAATAAACGGATGTGATACATTTTACCAAGAAGTATCTTTCATTTTTATGTTGTTTGTTGACATTCTCATTTTCTGAATTCAACAGCACATCATTAGTGTGGTTTCTAGGTAATTTTCATAATGTAGCAAGAATATAGCACTTTCCAAAAGCACTGAATTAATTGATCCAGATCAATCTTCTCAGCATCCCTGGTAAGTAATTAGATGTATCTGTTCTACTGATAGAATCTCACTGCCTTGAAAGGAGAAAGCGAGCCGGCATGACTCAGCATGTGCTAGTAGTTAAGGCCTGTGGACTGCTGGAATATTCCTTTTGGAGTTAGTCTTCTTTCATTTGTCATCCTTCCTGAACCCTAGTGCATGCAATTAATGTGATTCAAGCATGCAAAAATTCCTGGCTGTGTGCATTCCCCACCAGCCTGTGACAGTTTAATTCCTGTTGCGTTGAACATTTGCTAAGGTTATTTTAAGTAATGGAAGCTTAATGTAAGGATATGTAGTGAGAAAATCTTATTAACCACAATTTAAAAAAATTATTTATTTTTATTTCAATAGCTTTTGGGGTACCAGTGGTTTTGGTTACATGGATGACTTACACAGTGGTGAATTCTGAGATTTTAGTGTACCCATCACCTGAGTAGTGTACATCATACCTAATGTGTATTTTTTTTTATCCCTGGCCCCCCTGCCATCCTTCCACTTCTGGTCTCTAAAGTCCATTATATCGCTCTATATGCCCATGCATACTCACAGCTTAGCTCCCACTTAAAAGTTTGCACATACACTTTTTGATGTCACCTAGAATAATGGCATCCAGCTCGATCCAGGTTGCCACAAAGGCCATTATTTTGTTCCTTTTAATGGCCCAGTAGTATTCCATGATGGAATGGACGCCCTATTTAATAAATTGTGCTGGGAAAATTGGCAAGCCACCATTTATTAAATAGGGTGTCCATTCCCCATTTTATGTTTTGTTTGCTTTGTTGAAGATCAGTTGGCAGTACATAGTATTTGGCTTTATTTCTCGGTTCTCTATTCTGTTCCATTGGTCTATGTCCCATTTTTATACCAGTATCATACTGTTTTGTTAACTATAGCCTTGCAGTATAATTTGAAGTCCGGTAATGTGATGACTTCAGATTTGTTCTTTTTGCTTAGGACAGCTTTGGCTATTTGGGCTCTTTTTTGGTTCCATATGAATTATAGAATTTTTTTTTCTAATTTTGTGAAAAATGATGTTGATATTTTGAGAGAAATTGCATTCAGTCTGTAGATTTTTTGCACAGTATGGCCTTTTTCACAATATTGACTTTTCCAACCCATGAGCATGGGATGTATTTCCATTTGTTTGTGTCACCTATGATTTCTTTCCGCAGTGTTTTGTAGTTCTCCTTGTAGAGACCTTTCACCTCCTTGGTTAAGTATATTTCTAGGTATTTTATTTTATTTTTTGCAGCTGTTGTAAAAGGGAATGAATTCTTGATTGGATTCTCAGTTTGGTCATTTTGGTGGATAGCAGTGCTACTAATTTGTGTATATTGATTTTGAAACCTGAGACTTTATTGAATTCATTTATCAAATCTAAGAGTCTCTTGGAGGAGTCTTTAGGATTTTCTAGGTATACAATCATATCATCTGCAAACACCAATAGTTTTACTTCGTCTTTTCTGATTTGGATATCCTTTATTTCTTTCTTTGGCCTAATTGCTCTGGCTGGTAATTCCAGAACTCTGTTGAATGGGAGTGTTGATAGTGGACATCCTTGTCTTGCTTCTGTTCTCAGGGGAAATGCTTTCAACTTTTCCCCATTCAGTATAATGTTGGCTGTGAGTTTGTCATATGGCTTTTATTATTTTTAGGTAGGTCCCTTCTATGCCTAGTTTGTTGAGAGTTTTTAATCATAATGGGGTGCTGAATTTGTCAAATGCTTTTTCTGCAGCTATTGAGATGACCATATGGTTTTTGTTTCTAATTCTGTTTATATGATGTATCACATTTATTGACTTGCATATGTTAAACCATCCCTGCATCCCTGGGATGAAATCCACTTGATTGTGGTGAATTATCTTTTTGATGTGCTGTTAGATTGGGTTAGCTAATATTTTGTTGAAGCTTTTTGCATTTATGTTCATCAGGGAAATTGGTCTGTAGTTTTCTTTTTTTGTGTCCTCTCCTGGTTTTGGTATCAGGGTGATACTAGCTTCAAACAATAATTTAGGTAGGATTCCTTCTTTCTCAATCTTTTGGAATAGTTTCAGTAGGATTCATACCAATTCTTTGAATATCTGGTAGAATTCAGCTGTGAATCTATCTGGTCCTGTGCTATTTTTTGAGTGGCAATTTTAAAATTACTGATTCAATCTTGCTGCTTGTTATTGGTTTTTTGAAGGTTTCTATTTCTTCCTGATTTAATCTAGGAGGGTTGTATGTTTCCAGGAATTTGTCCATTTTCTCCAGGTTTTTTCTAGTTTGTGCATATAAGGATCTTCATAGTAGTCTCAAATGATCTTTGTATTTCTATGGCGTCAGTTGTAATGTCTCCAGTTTCATTTCTTTTTTGCTTTTTTTTTTGTCGTTGTTGTTTTTGTTTTTTCATACAGAATCTTACTCTGTCACCCAGGCTGGAGTGCAGTGGTATGATTTCGGGTCACTGAAACAGAATTAAATGAAATTGCTTGGGTTCAAGCAATTCTCATGTGTCAGCCTCCCAAATAGCTGGGATTAGCTGGGATTACAGGCATGCACCACCACACCTGCCTAATTTTTTTATTTTTATTTTTATTTTTTTTTTAGTAGAGACAGGGTTTTGCCATGTTTGCCAGGCTGGTCTCTAACTCCTGACCTCAAATAATCTACCTGCCTTGGCTTCCCAAAGTGCTAGGATTACAAGTGTGAGCCACCAGGCCCGGCCTTTGTAGTTTCATTTCTAAATGAGCTTATTTGGGTCTTTTCTCTTCTCTTCTTGATTAATCTAGCTGCTGGTCTATCAATTTTATTTAGTTTTTCAAAGAACCAGCTTTTTGTTTTATTGAGCTTCTGTATTTTTTTTTCTTGGAATTTCATTTAATTCTGTTCTGATCTTTGTTATGTCTTTCCTTCTTCTAGTGTTAGGTTTAGTTTGTTCTTGTTTCTCCAGGTCCTTGAGGTGTGACATTAGATTGTCAATTTGTGCTTTTTTTTAGACTTTTTGATGTAGACATTTAATGCTATAAACTTTCCTCCTCATACTGCTTTTGTTGTATTCCAGAAATATTTGATAAATTGTCTCATTATTATCATTCAATTCAAAGAATTTTTAAATTTCCATCTTAATTTCATTGTGAACCCAGATATCATTGAAGAGCGGATTACTTAATTTCCATGTATTTGCATAGTTTTGAGGTTTCCTTTTGGAGTTGATTTCTAGTTTTATTCTACTGTAGTCTGAGAAGATACTTGACATGATTTTGATTTTTAAAACAAATTTTTTCGTGTTACAGAAAACTAACTTTAATTTTTGTAACTTTTTTCAAAAGGGAAAACAACACACTCCTCGGAGAAAGGTGAGAGGTTAAGAAGACAGGCTCTGGTTAAAAATTCTTATGACAGCAGCTACAGTTGATAGGCCTGCCTAGGAGAGAACACAGGCACTGCCACACCACCACAGGGGACAGCTGCTGTCTGGGTGAGCAGACCAGTTCACGTGCCACACAAGGTTGCTATAGATTGAAGTCATAAAAATCTTCCAGCTCATCATGAAACAAGTCCTACTCATCTTCAGAGTCTATCAGTTCATCATCCCCACCTGCAGCCAAAAGCATAAGCAACATCTTGCCCAGCTCAAAGGTGACAACCTCTTCTTCATCATTGTCAGTGGGGTTGCTGTTCTCTCTTCATTGAGTTCTCAGAAATGGTTGCTTCGTTGGGCCCAGTATCTGCTTGATGTTCCCACTTTTTGTCTCTGTGGCTTCTCTCTACGGCCATCAGGGTACACATGCTTGTAAAAACAGTTCTCTCCAAATGGGCAGCTCCCACATCCTTCATCAAAATACTTGCACACCTTGTTGCTCATTGCCTCCTTGTATTTCCGAAGGACTTTCTGCTTCTCTTTTTCTCCTCTCCTCTTTCTTTCTCTTTCTCTTCTTTCACCTCCGCCTATGGTGGTGGACAAGGGCTTCTCCAAGGCCCTTCATGTGCACAAGGGCTGACTCTTGGAATAGAGATGAAGACTTTCTCTGCTGAGCCCAGCACTTCAGCTGTGCCTCTGCTGAAGGAAGCTTTCCACCAGTAGAAGGATCTGGTGCTTACGGGGCTGCTGTCTAGATTCTTTAGTCCCACAGGATGCTCCCTTGATGTGATGCACTCCCCTTTCTCCTAGGAATGGGCGTCCCTGGGAGCCAGACTACTGTAAGTGTTGTTGTTCCTCTGGGTCTAGCTGCCCAGTGAAGTTGCCACATTCCACACTGGTGTTGGGGAATGTCTGCAAGGGATCCAGTGATGTGACCTGTCCTCAAGTTTCCTAGCAGTGGGTTAGCAGTACCACCTCTAAATGGGGGTGGCATGGGAGTGACATAGATTCTGTGAAATTCCTTGGTTATTGGTAGCCTTAGCATGTTGGCTTTCTTGAGTGCTGCTTATAGCAGTAATGAACTGATCACGTGGACAGACTCATGACCTCCTGGTTAGTCAGAGTGGTGCAGACAGTGGTGATAGCTGAGGTCATGCAGCCATTTTCTCCTTCCGAGGTATGCAGTGTTATTATACCGGGACATGCTGTAATGGACTGTGTTGGTTGGCCTCCGGTCAGGAGGTGACACTTGTGAGAGAGCACCAGCTGCGGTAGTAGCAGTGGGATTTTTGCTTGCCTTTTGTTGCCCAGGAGGGGTACTCTGGTTTCCCAGGCAATGGGCAGGGCCAGGAAGCTCCCAAGAGATTCTGCCCTTTGTGTTAAGCTACCTGGGTAGGTGGTGGGGCAAAGCAGCATTGGGTCTAGGTCAGGCAGGTTTGTGCTCTGATTCTCCATGTGCAGGGCAAGCAGCAGCCCCTGTGGGTGTTGGGGACAGAAGCAGATCTCAGGCCACTGTGTTGATGTTCCAGAGGATAGCGTGCCTGCCTCTGATGCTCAGAAAGGTTTGTGCAGGGAGTGGGGAATAGCAGGTGATGATAAGCCCCACAGTTCCTGTGTACTTGGCAAGACAGATCCAATCCCACAGTGTTCTACTGGTAGCAGCAAGATGAATTCCAGTCAGCCTGTAATCAGAACTCGCCTCTGCCTGGAGTCATAGACTTTCCTTGTGGAAATGCTAACTTTGGCTTTCAGGCCATGCCCCTCCCTGTCCGCTGCAAAGCCAGCACCTGGCTCCTGCACCCACAGCTCCTGTACCCATGGCTCCTGCACCTGTGGCTCCTGCACTCAGGACTCTTGAAACCACAGCCCGCTTTTTACTCTCCCCTGTCCTGGCCCTAGCCAAGGGACTTCTATTGTGAACCCCCCTTGGGGGCTTCTTTCAACCTGCAACCACTGCCTGAACTTTTTTTCTGTCCTCCACAGGGTGCCCTGTGAGGTATGGTAAGGAACAGCTACCCTTGGTCTGTGCTGGGATCTGGGAGTGCATGCAAGTGTCTTCCCACTGCTGCTCCTACTTTGATATTCCACAATGCTCTCCAAATTGGTTCCTGTGCTGGGTGGGGTTAGGGCCTTACTCTGTGTCCTGGACTTTCAGGGTCCCTGGTGGGGGTGTGTATCCCAGAGGCAAACTCCCTTTCACAGTCTGGGGACTTGCAGCCCTTCTCTGACTCACAGTGTAGGCTGCAGCCCCCTGCTTCCTTCAAACGGTCCATAGATTCATTTGGATTTCCTGTTCAGTATCTGTGTTGTTTCTTGAAAAAAAGTTTACAGTGTGAATCTCTACACACCATTTTGTCCTTTGAAGTGGGAGAGGTATCTAACCACAATTTTTAAAAATTCGACTTAAGTAAAGATTATAGTGAAATCACGAGACACAAATTTCAATGGTATCTAATAAGAAACTTTGATTAAAGATTTTGAGTCATGATTTATCCTCCCACCAAATATAAACCAGACAAAATCTATGAAACAACAGTTTTCAAGATATTGATCATCAGGCAGTGAAGGAAAGTGATTCCCAAGAAATGAAAAACAAACATGGTGAGTCCTATGATTGTCCCAGTTTACCGTTTTGAGAGAATTTCCAGGCCATGGTGCAGAAAGGGTGAAACCACGTGGAGCCTGGCAGATACCTCGAGCTGAGAAAACAAAGCTGAGAGTCTAGGGGTCCAAGGCAATGAGAGTTCTCAGGAGAGGATAGCAGAGAAGAGAACCAGGTATCTGAAGGTCCCCCTCGAGCATTCAACAAAGTACTGATCAGGGTCTTTGCAAAGGAGCTACCTAAGACTCAAAAAAGAATCACTGAAAAGGTTAGGAAACAGTGCCCTAGCTCCTCTCTGTGCTAGTCAGGGCCCACTCCCATATGTCTGTGTCCCCTCCCAACCCTCATCACACATTGAGAGAGAGGATTATTGGGTAGATGGTCTTTCCTCTGTCTTCCCCTCTTCAGAATTTCTTGCCTCCTTTAAGGGGAAGGTGCAGACTTGGAAATTAATCTTATTTACTTGTAGGGTCAGAATAGAACATGTCCAGTGCTCAGCTCCTGTGTTCTGACTTTTCCCAGGCAAAATTTACTTAGCTGAATTTCCAGCATGAGTATAGTTTGCAAGAAATGCTCACGCCATATGAAAAAGGTAGGCAACTTTTCTTTCTTTAAAAAATATTTTAACTTATTTTAGGTTCAGGAGTACATGTGCTGCTTTGTTATATAGGTAAACTCATGATTTGGGGGTTTTGTGCACAGATTATTTTGTCACTTGGGTACTAAGCATAGTACCCAACAATTTTTTTTTCTAAACCTCTCCGTCCTCCCACCCTTCTCCCTCAAGTAGGCTCCAGTGTCTGATGTCTCCCTCATTCTGTCCATGTGTTATCATTATTTAGCTCCTACTTATAAGTGAGAACATACAATATTTGCTTTTCTGTTTCTGTGTTAGTCTGCTAAGGATAATGGCCTCCAGTTCCATCCATGTTCCTGCAAAGGACATGATCTCATTCTTTTTATGGCTGCATAGTATTCCATGGTGTATATGTACTATATTTTCTTTATTCAATCTACCATTGATGGACATTCAGGTTGATTCCATGTCTTTGCTATTGTGAACAGTGCTGCAGTGAACATACATGTGTGTGTGTCTTTATAACAGAATGATTTATATTCCTTTGGGTATGTATCCAGTAATGGGATTGCTGGGTCAAATTGTAGTTCTGTTTTTAGTTCTTTGAGGAATCACCACGCTGCTTTCCACAGTAGTTGAACTAATTTACACTCCCATCAGCAATGTATATGCATTCCCTTTTCTCTGCAACCCTGCCAGCATCTGTTATTTTTTGACTTTGTAATAATGGCCATTCTGAACGGTGTAACATAGTATCTCGTTGTGGTTTTGGTTTGCATTTATCTAATAATTAGTTATATTGAGCATTTTTCATATGTTTGTTGATTGCATGTATGTCTTCTTTAAAAAAGTGTCTGTTCATGTCCTTTGCCCACTTTTTAAGATTAAAAAAAAATATTCATTTTTATTTTAATTTCTGGGGTTGCCCAATTTTAATGGGGTTGTTTATTTTTCTTGTACCTTTAAGTTCATTGTAGATTCTGGATATTAGACCTTTGTTGGATGTATAGTTTGCAAATATTTTATCCCATTATTTAGGTTGCCTGTTTACTCTGTTGCTAGTTTCTTTTGCTGGGCAGAAGCTCTTTAGTTTAATTAGATCCCATTTATCAATTTTTGCTATTGTTGCAATTGCTTTTGGCATTTTCATCATGAAATCTTTGCCAGTTTCTATGTTCAAAATGGTATTTCCTAGGTTATTTTCTAGAGTTTGTATACTTTTAGGGTTTACATTTAGGTCTTTAATCCATCTTGAGTTGATTTTTGTATATGGTGTAAGGAAGGGGTTCAGTATCAATATTCTGCATATAGCTAGCTAGTTATTCCAGCACCATCTGTTGAATAGAGAGTCCTTTCCCTATTGCTTGTTTTTGTCAGCTTTGTCAAAGATCAGATGGTTGTAGGTGTGTGGCTTTTTTTCTAGGCTCTCTATTCTGTTCCACTGGTCTGTGTGTCTGTTTTTGTACCAGTACCATGCCGTGTTCGTTACTGTAGCCTTATAGTACAGTTTGAAGTCAGGCAATGTGATTACTTCAGCTTTGTTCCATTTGCTTAGGATTGTCTTGGCTATTCAGGCTCTTGTTTGGTCCCATATTAATTTTAGAATAGTTTTTTTCTTATTCTGTGAAGAATTTCATTGGTAGTTTGATAGGAAGAGCATTGAATTTGTAAATTGCTTTGGGCAGTATGGCCATTTTAATGATATTGATTCTTTCTATCATGAGCATGGAATGGTTTTGCATTTGTTTGTGTCATCTCTGATTTCTTTCAGCAGTGTTTTGTAATTCTTATTGTAGAGATCTCTCACCTCCCGGTTTAGCAGTATTCCTATGTATTTTTCTTTTTTTTGGCAGTTGTGAAAGGGATTGTTTTCCTGATTTGGCTCTGCTTGGGTACTGTTAGTGTATAGCAATGCTACTGAGTTTTGTACATTGATTCTGTATCCCAAAATTTTGCTGAAGTTGCTTATCAGCTCAAGGAGCTCTTGGGCAGAGACTGTGGGCTTTTCTAGATTTAGTATCATGTTATCTGCAAACAGGGATAGTTTGACTTCCTCTTTCTTATTTGGGTGCCTCTTATTTCTATCTCTTGCACAGGAAACTTCTCTTCCTTGGATTCCAGAGATCTGTCCCTGCTTGAGTTGGGAAGACAGTTCAGCAGAATGTGAAAAGTGTAGGGTCTGCAGGGAGCAGAGATCCATGTCTGACTTTCCCTCTGGAGAACTCACGATTCTGGACATCTCAGTAACCTTTCAAAACCTTGGTTTCTTCGAGGTATGAAATAGAAGCTCTAATCATAGACACTTCCTTATAGGATGGTTTAGATAATTAAATAATAATCTACATGAAGCATAGTCCCCATCATGTGGCCGAGGGAATCCCCAATCTCTGAGTTTCTAGCAGCCTCTAGGTCTTTCCCATATAAACTGCAGTTCACTAGGTATTGGCTCACTTTACAGGTTGATCATAGCTACCCTGTTTGTGGCTGTTGCCCTGTAGAGGTAGCAATTTGGGAGCATGTTTGCCAACCAGGATGCAAGTCTTGTTCTCTAGGATGTTTGCCCCTTCTCCTAGTGCTTGAGTGCCAAGAACTGTCTCAAATAGCTAACGTGACTCTAAATGTTGGTTTCTTCCCCATGGTCTCCCATTAGCGTTACAAATAGGGACAATTAGGGGTGTTCTTAAGAACTTCCAGACAGCCAAGTGTTTCTAGTCTAAATAGCACCAATAAGTTACACCAATTCAGCCTCTATGACTGATTGTTCTGGATAATTATGTTCCTTTCTGCTTTGTTCTTTGCCTCGCCAACCACTTAACCCTTTTTAATGCCATGGACCCCTTTGGTTGCTGGAAAAACCTATAGACTCCTCAGAATAATGCTATAAAATACATAAAATACCTAAGATTACAAAGAAGCCAATTACACTGAAATGCAGTTATCAAAATCAGGTGATTACAATGCATGTCCTTTTAAATTAACACATTAATAACAAAATATAGCATAAATTCTAATATGTACTCTAATTTTAAAGTAGCAACACATAGAATATTTCCAGATAGCTGCAATAAATGTAATATACTATGAAAATATATATGATTTATGTTGTTGACAAAGTCACAGTACTTTTAATTTTACTGTGTTTTGTTGCCTACTTTCAGAGTAAAGCCACATGCTAAATAATCAGATATCCATGCAAATAAAGATTAATTTTTTCCCTATCCAAGTTTGTGGGCCCTGAATTCTTTTTGAAAAATTGTGTTTTAGTTTATTATTTTATTTTTAAAGACAGGGTCTCACTGTGTCACCCAGGCTGGAGTCTGGAGTGCAGTGGCACAATCATACCTGACTGTAACCTCAAACTTCTGGGCTCAAGTGGTCATCCTATGTCAGTCTCTCAAGTAGTTGGTAATACAAGTGTGTGCCCCTATGCCCACCTAATTTTTAAATTTTTTGTAGAGACAGATTCCTGCTACATTGCCCAAGCTAATCTCAAATTCCTGGGGTCAAACAACCTTCCTGCCTCAGACTCCCAAAGTGCTGGGATCACAGGCATGAGCCCCTGCACTGAGGCCCTGTTCTGATCAAAGTACTTATACAGATTTTTTTTTCTTCATATGGATACATGGCTAAAAATCAGACAAACTTTACAACGTCCTGATAATTGCCCCAGTTCCACGTGTGCTGTTAATGTGTATTAAATAGGATTTATAGGATTTATGTGTATTAAATAGGATAAATATGATTTGTACAAGAGCAGTGGGTGTCAAAACAGATGTTAGATACACAGTGAGTAATTTAATGTATTTGAAATACAAAGTGTGTCATGGAGAGTGTCTGGTGTCTTACAGAAATTTTATTTTCTTATTTTAATTGACATGCTTAAAATATGCATGTCAATATGGGGAACCATATCTTCCAACGATTTGGTCACAGGCCTTTCCTCCACTGTCCCTTGTGAGGTGTGCAAACCACAAG
The DNA here is from genome assembly GCF_000001405.40 of Homo sapiens. Classification (NCBI taxonomy): domain Eukaryota; kingdom Metazoa; phylum Chordata; class Mammalia; order Primates; family Hominidae; genus Homo; species Homo sapiens. Next base: position 152,857,654 of record NC_000002.12, read on the forward strand.
GGACCCTTAATCCACATATTGATGGGCTCTATGTGAGAACTGTGACAATGAAATCCAGCCTCTGATATCTGTGTGGAGGGAAAGGAGGGTGAGGATTATTGGCTGCTCCCAGTTGATTTAGAGTAGTGGTTTTCAAAGTTAAAAAAATAAAATCAAGACCAATACTGTGTGTTACCCAATACTGTATACACACACACGTATGCACAGATTACACCCATACATGAATACTTATGACTGAAACAATGTTCTAATACTATGCCCAACACCTTCTGATATTTTCTATTCTATTCTATCCTGTTCAATTCAGTTCTATTCTTTCATTAAAATGTACTTAATTGATTTCATGACCCAATAATGGGTTAGAATCCTCAGTTTGAAAAGCACAGACTCTGAGGCTTTGAAATTAAATGGATTACATTGCAAATATACTATATTCCTTTTTTTTTTGACAACATGAAAATTATTGGTCCCATGTGAGAAAAGGGAGCTGGATGGAAAATTCAGTATTCCTCCTTTCCCATTGACCTCAAGATCTCTTCTTTATAGTTTATTTGTGCTGTTTTTTGTTTGTTTGTTTGTTTTTTTGTTTTTTGTTTTTGACAGCGTCTCACTCTGTGGCCCAGGCTGGAGTGCAGTGGTGTGATCTCAGCTCACTGCAACATCCACCTCCCGGGTTCAAGCGATTGTCCTGCCTCAGCCCCCCAAGTAGCTGGGACTACAGGCACACACCACCACACCTGGCTAATTTTTATATTTTTAGTAGAGATGGGATTTTGCCATGTTTGCCAGGCTGGTCTTGAACTCCTTGCCTCAAGCAATCCACCCTCCTTAGCTTCCCAAAGTGCTGGGACTACAGACGTGAGCCACCGCACCCAACCATCTGTGTCTTAATTAAGCTTTTACAATGTTACCATGACTTCCTACACAAAGAGTCTTTGCTTTTTCTGAAACTGCATTTTGATTAAATAACTAGGTCTTTTGTGCCTCTTGGTGGTGAGAGGCTCTTCAGATGCTTGTATTTGTTTTTGCATTACTGTAGACTCCTTAAATCTTTTGTCCTCCTGCTGTTGTATGCCAGTTTGTCATCTCACAGCTTCCAGAATGTAAGAGCCACTTGTCCTAGGATACCATGACTTGTCTTTTGTGGATTGGGGTCCTATTCCTTTCAGTCACTGCCCTAGACAGTCAAGTCACATCCTGCTCATGGCAACATCGCCCTGCTGGTGCTGCATGACTGTGCCACACAAGAGCTGTGTTGGGCAGGCAGCTGTTGGCATTCGAATTGTGCCTGAAAAGGAGGTTCTCTGTCTTGGGGACAGAAATGAGTAAAGGAACACAAATGAAGGAGTGATGACAGTGCCATGGGAACACATTCTGCCCATTAATGTCAGTAAATTAATTGCCACTGGGGTGTCCCCAGCTGGGCACAGAGGCTGGCTGCCCCTGGGAATTGTGGAGAAGAGCTGATATCTGTGTGGAGGGAAAGGAGTGAGGGTGAGTAGCTTTTACCAGTTGATTTAGAGTAGTGGCTTTCAAACTTAAAAAAAAAACAAATGAAGACCCAGAGAAATGAATACATTTTACGTTGTTACCCAATACTGTATACACACACACTCTCTCTCTCTTTTTCTCACAGATTACATCCAAACATGCATATTTATGATGGAAGCAATGTTTCCCATTTCTTACTTAAAGAATACTTAACACTGTGGCTAGCCTAATGGGTTTTCTGAAAACTTACCAGTGTCAGCTCAGAGGTTCCTGGACATGCAAAGCTGCTATTAATACCTTCATACACAGCACAAAAAAAGAAAGAGTTCCGAGAAGACACAATGTTGTTTACAGGTAATTTAGCCTCTTTTTCTTTTAAAATATTTCTGCTATGAGATTTACTTGTTTGGACCTTGTGATTTATTCAGATCTTTTCTCAATTTAGTGGCAAGAGAACAGTCATAATATGTCAGATAATCAATTTATCTTTAAAGTCGTCACCTATATTATTTGACTTTAATAGAAAAAATGTACTTTCCTTTCTCTATTTAGCTTAGTACCCACTAACTAGATATTTAAAATCTAATCGTCTCCTTGAATGGAGAAAATTATGTTTTCTATGATATTTTATATCTGAGAGGATTCATTAATAGGGATTTAAGTCTCTTACTCCTAGGTAATACTGAACCTGGACTTAAACCTAAACAGAACCTGGCAGAAATCTGTACTGAATGTGTAAGCTCATCCCTTGAGATTTCAGTACCCCAGCATTTTTAGTGGCTGAAATAATGAAAATTCTCATTAGGCCCTTGCCTGCTTGCGCATGTTAACTGCTCACTTTTTGCCAAACATCCCTTGTTCCCACAATATAATTATAAATTGCCAGTGTACTGTTTCTTTGTCAAGCAGGAAGAGACAACTTCAGGGACACAAACAATTTTGGGAGGAGGATTGTATGCCTTTAAAGATGTTGCAACCAGCTGCTGACACCCAGAAGTCTGGTTGTATAAGGTGTTATCTGAGACTGAGGAAACACAGACTTTTCCTCTTAGTTCCCTGAAACTTCTTCCCCCTTTTCTCTAGCTGTATAAAAACTCTCTGTTTCATCTTTCTGTTAAGACAAATTTGAGGCTGGGCGTGGTGGCTCACACCTGTAATCCCAGCACTTTGGGAGGCCAAGGCAGTTGGATCACCTGAGGTCGGGAGTTCGAGACCAGCCTGACCAACATGGATAAACCCCATGTCTACTAAAAAAATACAAAAATTAGCTGGGCCTGGTAGCACATGCCTGTTATGCCGGCTACTCGGGAGGCTGAGGCAGGAGAACTACTTGAACCCAGGAGGCCGAGATTGCAGTGGGCCGAGATCGTGCCACTGCACTCCAGCCTGGGCAACAAGTGCAAAACTCCATCTCAACAACAACAACAACAACAACAAAAAACCCAGACAAATTTGAGAGTTCTTGCTCTCCTGCCTTCTTGCTTTGGCCAACTTGAACACATCTCTGCATCTCCAAGCACCAATATCTTAGTGTTCGGCTCCAGCTATGCACTGGGTACACAGTCGTGAATTTGGGGTTGTACAACATTTGCATACTGTACTCATTCAGTGGTCACTAGTAATTTGCCTCCCAGCTCAGTGTAGCTAACTAGATACGGAAAATGACTAACTGCAGTGTAATAGCATGATGTCTGTGGCATTACTAATGGTTGGAATACATTAGAAAGCCAACGTTTAGTTGCTGTAATTATTGTTATCAATTTTCTATTGTTTATTTGAAGAGTCCTGATCCAGGCTCAGAGGTGTGTTAGCTATAAAGTCATTAGAGTGCCTCTGGGGGCTACGACCTGGAGACGAACACTGTGAATAAAAACAAACGTGTTTCTGTGAAGTGTGGGAACGGAGAAGGAGGATAAATAGCAGCAGAACAAAGATCCCTTATTTCACCGTGGTGGAAAGAAAACTTTGCTAAGAGCCCCCCAAGGCAGGATCCTTGGGGCATGCCAGGCCTCATCTCAGGAATTTGTGCTACATTGAACCATTCTTCAGCCCTGCCCACATATAGATCTGCAGGAGAGTGTGGATGCCCTGAGAGGTTCAAGTTGCTCCTGAGTTGGCTGCTAATTATATGTCATAACCATTCAGAGGCACCTCTAAGATTTGGGGAAGAGGGAAGCTGAGGAAAGTTGAAGTTTTAGTTGATATTGCATATGGGATTCTGGGAACTTAGCTGGTGTTACAGGTTGGTTTTTCCCACGCAATGCTGAGATGGGATTTGGTGTGCAGGATACTTATCAAGGATTAACAACTGTGGAAGAAAAGAGGTAGGAAGCAGGATTGGGCGGATAAAGAAGTTGAAATGTGACACAGGCGCCACTAGCTATAGTCAACACCAGGGGGAGCTCCTGAGTACATTCTGTTGATCAGAATAAATTGTGATGCCCCTGTGTCAATAACGTCTCAATCAGCAACTGGTTGTTGGCTGTCTTTACAGGGTGTGTTCTCAGTAAGGTGACTCTGCAGCTGAGGAAAACCCTGAATGCTGACAGCTGGGGCAACAGGTCACCCCTAGAAGGGAGTCTGGGTGACACATCTCAACATCTAGCACAACTAGTAAGTGACAGAGCTGAAATTGAGCTTGGGTTCTACTCATTCCAAGGCTGACAATATTCCTTCTTTTCTTCAGTTAGCAAATATTTTTGAAGACTTTCTTAGTGCTAGGCATTGTTTTAGGTGTTAACGATTCAGTATTGAGTGGAAAAGAAAAACGGGAAAAAAATCACTATCCTTAGGGAATTACATTGTAGCAGTGTTGGGGGAGATAACACATAAATAAAGAAGTAAAATACACAGTATATTGGATGGTGGTAAGTTCTATGGGGAAAATAAAATAAAATACAAAAGGTGGAAAGGACTGTGTGAGTGTAGGAGGACAGGATAGAGGGTATTGTTATTGAAAACAGAATAGTCACAGCCTGAGCAACATAGTGAGACCCAGTCTCTACAAAAAGTGAAAAAATTAGCTGAGCATGATGGCTCCTGCCTGTAGTCCCAGCTACTCGAGAGGCTGAGGTGGGAGGATCACTTGAGCCTGGAGGTCAAGGCTGCAGTGAGCAATGATCGTACCATTGCACTCCAGCCTGGGCAACAGAGTGAGACCCTGTCTCAAAACAAACAAAACACAACAAAACCAAACAACCAGACTAGTCAGACAAATACTCACAAAGGAGAGGACATTTGAGCTAAGAGCCAAAGAGGAGAGGGAGCATATCTTATGCATGTGGAGGAATCATTCCAAGCTGAGAAAACAGCCAGTGCAAAAGCCTGAGGTTGGAGAACACCTCGTGTATGCTTGTCGTAGCATTCCTGTAAAAGATTTTGTGCATAGCACATCTAGCCTTGCGGAGAATACAGTATTTCCAAACTTCACTCATTTATGTACCATTGTGATAATTTTTGTAATATTCATGTACCATCCATACTATTATGTAATTAGATTTTAAGTAAAATGCCCTTTTCATATTTAAGTACATTTATTTTAGGAGACTTTGTGAAAATAAACAAAGACCACCCAAATGAGAAAACACAAAGGCTATTTATTCAGAGCTTATTACAGTAAAGGAGTCAGCCACTACCACTTGTGTTTGGCTCCAAGGCAGGCAGAGAAGTGGGAAAGCTTTATAGTAGAAAAAAGGGGAGACTTAGGTATGCTGTGATTGGAGGCTGTTGGAGTAGGGAAGCTGAAGGTAGGTTAACTAGAAGCGGAGCATCCTGTATGATTGGTTAGGGGTGCATATTTGGCTTTCTCTGGTTAGTCCTAAGTTGGAAGTGGAGACAAAAAATAGAGAAGTTAGTAACCAAGACTTGATTAATCTGTTATTAATCAAATCTTGGCTATTTAGAGGACATTGTTTACAACAGTTATTTCTTTATTATTTTTTGTGTAGTGCTTTCCTTTAGTTTTTTTAAATTTGCACACAATTCTTACACATACTCAATTATTATTTGATTAAAAAAATTTTTTTTCTGTTAGCTGGGCATGGTGGTGGATGCCTGTAATCCCAACTACCTGAGGCTGAGGCTGGAGAATCGCCTGGGCCTGGGAGGCGGAGATTGTAGTCACGTGAGATCATGCCACTGCACTCCAGCCTGGGCAAGAGAGTGAGCCTCTGTCTCAACAAAATTTTTTTTTTCTAATAGAGATAAGGTCTCACCATGTTGACCAGGGTAGTCTCGAACTCCTGGCCTCAAGCAATCCTGGCCTCCCAAAGTGCTAGGATTACAGGCCTCCCAAAGTGCTAAGATTATAGGTGTGAGCCACCACACCCGGCCATATGCTCAATTATTTTATCTATACAGAGACCTTGGGAGAAAAGGAGAGAAAATATCATAAATCAACTTTTTAAACTTTAAGCTCCAGGGTACATGTGCAAGTTTGTTACATAGGTAAACTTGTGTCATGTGGGTTTGTCGTACAGATTATTTCATCACCCAGGTATTAAGCCTAGCACCCATTAGATACTTTTCCTGATCCTCTCCCTCTTCCCAACTTCCATGCTCTGATAGGCCCCAGTGTGTGTTGTTCCCCTCTATGTGTCCATGTGATCTCATCGTTTAGCTCCCACTTACAAATGAGAGCATGTCATATTTGGTTTTCTGTTTCTGCATTAGTTTGCTGAGGATAATGGCCTCCCACTCCATCCATGTCCCTGCAAAGGAGGTGATACTGTTCCTTTTAATGGCTGCATAGTATTCCATTATGTATATATATCACATTTTCTTTATCCAGTCTCTCATTGATGGGCGTTTAAGTTGATTCCATGTCTCTGCTATTGTGAATAGTGTTTACAGCAGTTGTTGTTTGACTTCCTGGACTGGTTAATAGAGATAGTGGTCTGACTTCCTGCAAGTCTGATTTATAGATAGTAGTTTAACCTCTTGGGCTTGTTCCTGTAGATAATGAGTTGGCTTCTGGGCTGGTTGCTGCAATTTGTGGGTCAGAGTTGTATTTTTATATATGTCTATTTGTATATTCAGTTTTTCAATTTTATTACCCTTAAATGCAAATCTAGTATCATTTGGTATACCACTTTTATTTTCAACATAATTACATGTAAGTAACTACAGAAGCATACACACACACACACACACACACCCCACACACAAAGAGACACACAACTATTAAAAATGTTTTGTAAGTGAAACCTGAAATAATTTTATGCAACATCAAGCATACATCAAGAGAGATGTGTATCACGCTTTTGAAAAAACTAAATTGTTGGTACTCAAGATTTATGTTAAACTCTCAGATTATGGGGTAAACAGTATTTCCTAAATCAAATATTGAGTGTATTTCCATTGATTTTAAAAAATACTTCTGTCTTGGTGCTTCCTCATTTCCTGGGAGGATTAGCGTGCCACATCACTAACTTATTTTTCAGTGAGAATTGTTGTGAGAGGATTTGTTTTAACTGATTGATGTTAGTTTCCCTAAGATCTTGGAGGTTTTGACGCAGTGGTGAAATGGGTTGGATTAATGCTTTGGGAAGCCAGAGAGATGGCCTCGGGGCATTGAGTATTGGAGGAGAGGAAAAAAAGGGGGACCACGAAGATGAATGGGTGTCAAAGACACATTTTTTACAGGCTGTGGGCACTCAAAGCCACATTCTTTGGGCCATATTCTTCAAGCTAGTAAAGAAATTATCACTTTTACCAGCCCTGTTTTGCCTGACATTCACAAACACTCCTTTTGTATATGTACATATAATGTGCTTATTCATTTAGTTTAATGTCATTTTGTGCTTATCTTTCGTGGTTGACTGTGAAATCCTTGAGGGTAGCTATAATTCGTCTTATACATGCTTGAACTCCCACCTATAAGTTCTGAGTTTGCCAAATAGCAGATGCTCAAAAAATGTCAACTAAAAAAAATTAGCAAACAAATCTTCAGGGCCTTTGCATATTTACCCAAAATATTGTGGTTGCAGTTCTTGAGCCTGGTGAAAGTAATGGCTAGCAGTGTCTGTGTCATTCACCCCAGGGAATTTCCCACTCAAGTAGGCCCCTATTACGCGTTTGATGATCAGATGAAAAGAAAGTGAGGAGGGTCAGCTGTTTGACTCCACAGTGTCGAAGCTCATGATTTAACATTATGCTTTGTGGACATTTGGCCAAAGTGTAACACATTCTGTGCTCTCTGCCTGATGAACAGCCCCACTCTGCAGTTGTGAAGTTTGCTTTTGTAAAGATAAGAAACAAGGCATTTGATGGAGGATTTAGGGAAAGATTGCCAGTACCCACAGTAGTATAGCTTGGCCCTTTTTCATCCATCTCACTTTCACTCTTCAGAACAAAAAGGATGCTCCCGTACTTTCATTTTCTCTAGATATTCCTATTTCTGATGGTCAGGATTGTCACATTAACTGTATGTTTTGAGTATCCTAAATATGTATATTTCTCTAAGAATGTGAGATGAATCTAATTTAACAGATAATTTTAAGTGGTTTATATATGCCCATATGAAAATTATTATTTTAAGAGATTCTCTCAAAAAGCACAAATTTAAATGTTCACAAACTTAATAATGTAAGAAAAATTCCACCAAAATGAGCATCTGAATTGTCGAGGGAGACATTTGTGTTATCCTTGCTTATCTTAGCCTATCAAGGTTCAGAAGCAGTAATTAAAAAAATAAATTAGACATAGATATAGGCTGAACCAAATGTGCCAACTTGCTGGTTAGGAATGTGTTTTACAACCTGAAAAATACCAAAAGCAGCATTATAAATTACAGAAAACCTGTTTTTTTTTTCTTCGAAAGATATTTGGTTACAATACTTGTTATGATGTCTGCAATTTACTCCAAAATACTTTAGCATAGTAATGTGATTTTGGGTTTAAGTTAGTTTAGGCTATGTTCTAAGGGCAGGGGAAGTGAGTTAACATTTAATAGAAATGACCACTCCATAAATGGCTACTACAAGCACTGCAACTACCTTTGGTCAACATTAGACATTTTCCTAACAAGTGTTACGAATGCTAGAAATCAGTTTTCGTAGGGGGAATTAATATCTAGTTAATCGGCATAATGGGTTGACCAATTAGTCCCTCATTAGAGAAATTAGTGGTACTTAGGATTGTGTGACTTGGCTAAAATATTTTAGAGACAATTGCCACTATTGCATGAAGAAGGTATAAGAAAACTGCCAAGCCTTATAGCCCTGGGCATGGTACTTGAGGCTGATCTTTACATAGTTTGTGTCCAGCCATTGGGTCAGAGAGTTCTGTAGCCTGATACTGATGATAGGGCTAACCAAATCCTGCCACTGGAATCACATCTGCCTTGAGTGAACTTTCATGCAAGATGATGATGAAGCACCTAAAAAGACAGAGAACTGAACTTCATTAAGTTTACAGCACAGACTGTAAAAAGTTTTGCCCCTATTTTGCTAATCAATGTTGTTTAGTCAAAGCTTATAATATGGCAAAATTTGGCCTGAGGTTTTCTTTCATCAAAACTAGATTAGTGAGGTGGTTGTGATATAACTATACTTTGCCTACCTAGACTTTTTGTAGACTACTCTCACCTATCATGAAGAACCTAAAAGTTGTTCGTGACGAAATAAGTGACCCCTTCGAAACAATTTTTTTTCTTTTATACTCAGTTTTGCTGTGCTGTAATCCCCAAATCCCTTGTATCATCAGGGTTCAATAGGAGAAAGAGACCCACAGGAGATATATATTAAAAGATTTATTGCAAGGAATTGGCTTGAGTGATTTTGGGGTCTGGCTAGGCAAGTCTGAAATCTGTAGGTCAGGTGGTCAGGAATTTGCAGGCTGAAACTTTCTAGCAAGGGGCGAAGCTGCTGTTCACAGGTGCAATTTCTTCTTTTTCAGAGAAGCCTCAGTTCTGCTGTTAGGCCTTTCAAGTGATTGAGTCAGGCCCACTCAGGTATCAAGGATAATCATTCTTGCTTAAAGTCAACTAGTTATGGACTTTAATCATATCCACAAAATACCTTCACAGCAACATCTAGATTGCTGTGGGACCAAAAAACAGGGGACTGTAGCAAAGCAAAGCGACATCTCAAAAGAGCATCATATTCTTTCTTAATTTTAAAGATAGCAAAGGCAAGCTTGGTGCCAATCATTCCTGTCCAAGCAAGATCTAATTACAAAGAGTCATTGATTGTGCTTAGTTTCAAGGGAATCTTTTTAGTCTCTTTCATCATTCTTTGTTCATATTCATGAAAATAAAAAAAATAGTGTTTATAAAGCAATTACGTCACATAGCTTGTCTTAACTTCAGTGCTTTTTTCCTCCTTGAAAAGCTGTTTGGACTTGCAAAATGGGCTTCTGCAACCCAATTCTCTGAGGCAAAAGGGCTTTTGTCTCCAAACACATTTTCCTGAGCAGGTGCCACACTCTTCTATGTTCTCTTCAGAGCAGTGGCAGCATTGCAGAGTGAATAACAATGGGACAGGCATGGGACTTAGAGTCAGAGACACTGAGCTCCAAGTCTTTCCTTATGAGCTCTGGTACCATGGGCAAATTACTCATTCTGCTTGAACCTTGATTTCCGCATCTATGGCATAGAGCTCTGATGGTACTTCCCTTCAGGAATTGTGATGATGATCGGAACAATTCCCTTCAAGAATTGTCATGGTGATAGTATTGGGAAAGTGACTGGTACATGGTAGACTCTTAACACACAACTACAATAATCATCTAACCAAAAACAGTACCCTCTATTCTACTAAATGCTCTAATCAATATTCCCTTCCCACCAAAAAAAAAAAAAAAAAAAAAAAAATCCCGAAGACCAGAGCGCTAAGAGGAAAAAAAGCCTTGTGTTAATACCTTCAATATAAATATTATCCATATAAATGTCCATGTTAAAATATTGATAAAGACCAAAGGATATTTATTATCCAATTAGTGGTAATAAATCCTTCATGACATCACATATTCTTTCTCCCCTCTTTGGAATTGAGGAATTTGCATTTATTACATCTTCTAGTTTTTATTATTGGTCTTAAAAATGTCAGTCATAAAAAAATGTCTCAGAGCCTGGATTTTACCACAGCAAGCCCCTTTTACCACTGTTACAAGTTGTCTTTTATTCACTCAGTATAACCAGATTTCTGCTAATGTTATGTATATACTACACCTTATTTTAATATTAAACATTATAAATGGGAGATAATAAAATAAGCCAGGTCTTTTATAATTGGCAAAATATAATTCCTCTTCCCCTAGAAACAGAGAGTGTCAGTATTTTTAATCTCTGACTTTATTGAGATCTAATATTTTGTGCTTCAGGCTCTTGAGAAATATGTACTTGAGTTCTTTGATTAGTGGCATGAAGACCGACCAATTGACAACACATTAGTGCACGCTGTGTAACAGGAATAATTTTATATCTCAAAACTTTTGAACTTGTACAAAACAAATAATGATTTCAGAAGAGTTGCCATAGTACTGGGTTTGGGAATGATTCTTTCAGACAGGGATAGCTTGGGATAAAGTTGCATATATAAATTAGTTTTGCTGCCTCTACTCTTCCCTAATTTTCTACCTTCCTAATTGTTGTTATTATCACATAGTCCTCAAGTTAGTTATGTCTGGAAATGTCCCAGGCCTCACGTGCAAGCTTGGCTGTGGAAGCTTGGTTAGAGGTGGTTAAAAGTAGAGGTGAAAAGGCCATTTTAGAGGTCTTGGCAGTAATTCAGGTGCAGGATAGAGAAGAGAGATGGGCACTAATTCAACAAAGGGGTGAAGGGGAAGGTTGTAAGCCATGAGTATAGAAGGGGAAGAGACAACACTTTAGGGATAGATAAGGGAAGAGAAACTTGTACTTTATCCTTTTGATGGAGGCTACTGAGTAATTTTAGAGTAATAGTGTTAATCACGTGCAAGCTTGGCTGCGGAAGCTTGGTTAGAGGTGGTCAAGAGTAGAGGTGAAAAGGCCATTTTAGAGGTCTTGGCAGTAATTCAGGTGCAGGATAGAGGAGAGAGATATGCATTAATTAACAAACTCATTCATCCTTCAACAAATCCTTAATTGAGTATTTACAATGTGCCATGTATGGGGGATACTGAAGTGAATGTGGATTGTCCCTTCACTCGTATTGCTTATAGGTCAGCGGGAAATTAGACAGAAGGGGTTCTTTTCATACTGTGTTTCCAAGTTTCTCCTTTGGGGATACAATGAAGTATAGATGAAAGTATCTTTCTTTGGCTCAGCCCTACCAGTGTTCAAATACTGCCGCTGCCACTTTCTGCTTGAGGGGCCTTAGGCAAGTTACTTGCCCTTATTTGTAATATGACTATAATATTAGACCACTATTTATATCTTAGGGATTTTGTAAAAATGAGAGGATATAGAATATGCAGAAGACAATAATGCTGGTTCATGCTAGTGTAATATCTCAGTTCCCAGTCCAGAACTAAAGGAAGAATGAGAAATTAGGCAGGGGCCGAGCAGATGCCGGGATGTGGGTCTACCACATGGTATATGTAGGATTTATAACTTGCTAGGGAGGTCAACCCCCAAAACAGTGTTGCATTAAGAAAGATGTTGCCCTTTCTGCCTTGTTTCTTTCTGAGTCCTGAAATAGTAGCAATCTTGAAGGAGGGGTCAGGTATGTCCAATGTAGAAGCTGCTATAATTTCTCTGCCAGGAAATGAATTGTTCTCTCTTCTTGGTTTCTTCATTTCCAAAATTGGTGACCTTTGACTTTGGCTGTATCCAGTTCCCCTGCTGTATACAACTGCTAGACACAGGAGCCAATGAATGACTATACTTCAATTCGGGTCAGAAAGTTGAGTTCATGGAGACAGGGGTCTAGTATTAGGAAAATATAAAGTGGAAAAAATAATGCAGAAAAGATCAATGGCTAGAGAAGAGGAAATGATGAGAGAATAACATCCATTTGGGGAAAGGGCCTTGGACTGGCCACTATTTCTCAGCATTTTACATATCAAAGGCTCAACAATTGGTGATTGTCAATTCACACTTTTGAGGCAGTAGAATGATCTCAGCATTAGCAGAATGAGAAGCGACTGAACACAAAATGGTCTGCAGGTGAGTAGTGCCCATCTGACAAATGCCTGTGGCCTGAGGACTAGCCATAATTGTTGTCCTTCAAATGTGGGTCTCACATTAAAAAAAATTCTATATAAAACAATATCAGGCCTTCCACCTGAGAGTGGATAATATCTCAAAGACAGTTCTTTTTGGAGACTGCAGTACAGGAAGTCACGAATGTCTATTCCATAGTTGCCACGGCAACATCTACCTCCTATGACATGAAGGAAGATAGAGGTCATGTTGGTGGGCTGTTTAAATGTTGCTCTGATCATATCTTTTATTTCCGTGGGGAAAAAGAGAAGAGGGCAATAGGCAGGAAGAAAAAATAGGAAGAGAAAATACAATAAAAGAGGTAAAGGGATTTCCGTGAGTGATTTTCCAAATAGATTTTGTTATTGAAGAATTCATATGAATTTAATTGGATTTAAAGTCTAATAAGAGAATCCAAAATGAAATCTCTGACACTTGGAGGTATAATGAGTGTTCAAGTACAAGATGACGCGATGGCCTATTTTCTATGTGGAGAGGGACTTAAAAGTAGATGGTGAGGGTGAGAGAAGGAGGCCACAAAAGCAGTCACTTAAGATTTAGACCAAGTATAAGAACAGGTTTTCTTTAAATTAATACAGCTTCTTTTGATGATTTCCACCTGCTTTTTGAACCCACACTTTAGAATTACGTAAGACCTCTGTTAAAGTAGAGAATGGGATGGTATCAGTCAGGCCCAGTAAGGAAAATGGAACCAAAGAGGTAGCTTAAGAGTTACAAGGGAAATTTTACAAAGGTGCTGGAAAAGCTAAAGAATAAAGGGGATATTATGTTACATATATTTTAACACACACACGTGCTCACACATGCTCACACACACTCACATATCCTGTTGTTTCCCTTTCTTCCACTCTCTAATCCTTTGTTTTCCCGTTTTCCACCAGTGCCTCCTATTGACCAAACCTAAGAGGAAGCCAGTTGTCAATGGAGCCTGGGAAATAGTTGCATGGATCAGTTTCCTGTAACGCAGAGTAGAAGAGGGTTTTGAATGGATCTTAGAGACAAATGAAAGAGCATGGGAAGGTGAGAGAAGGCTGGCATTATGGACTAGTGAAAAGTCTCAAGAATTGTAGAATATTTGAAAAGGAATGTGGATTTATTATTTGAAAGTGCATACCATATTAGACATTTTGTTTAGGGTTCTGAGGTTGTCCTAAGAAGAAAGGCCAGGACTTTGGATTTGATGCCCAGAGACTCTAGGTGCTGCTTTCTGTAGTATATAATCGATGGCATCAAAGATATCATTCAAGTTAGGGCAACCTTTTTTAGTATCAAAATGAGATTTGCCAAGATAATAAATTTGGAGAATAGAATGGATTTCTTCCCTAAATAATTAATTGTACATCTAAATTATTTCCCCCAAAAATACAAGTTTCAACTCAATTTTAAGAACCGATCAGACCAGCCTGGCCAACATGGTGAAACCCCGTCTCTACTAAAAATGCAAAAATTAGCTGGGTGTGGTGGCATGTGCCTGTGATCCCAGGTACTCGGGAGGCTGAGGCAGGAGAATCGCTTGAACCCGGGAGGCAGAGGTTGCAGTGAGCCAAGATTGTGCCACTGCACTCCAGCCTGAGTGACAGAGCAAGACTCCTTCTCAAAACAAAAACAAAAACAAAAACAAAAAACAAAAACAAAACAAAAAAACCCCACAACTGATCAGAAAAGTGATCAAAGTTGAACTATGAGAAAAGCTAGCAATGTTAATGCCAGCTCTTTGCCAGAATCTCAGATGTCAGGGTCAGAATATCAACTTGGAGTCTAGAGTAGCATTTTTGGACAACCTATATGATCACCATCTTTATCCAGCCTTTCCTTAAACTGTTCTAGAGGTGGTGTCATCCTGAGGCAACGCATACCATTTTCAAACTGCTCCGTAAGCAAAGATTTCACTCTACTGAACCAAAATCTGCCTTCTGGAGTTTTCCTCCATTGGTCTGAGTTCTGCTATGTTGTGTCACACAGCAAGACTAATCCCTTTGCCCTGTGACATTCCTTCAAGTGTTAAAAGATGGAAGTCCCATCGTCCTGACCTTTTTCAGGTCAAATATCCCTAGAATCTTCACAGATTCCTTCTATATAGAGTTCCATTGATGATTCTGGTTGGTTTTTCTTCTACCTCTACTATTGAGACACTAATAGATACTAGCAGATACTTAATACAAACTTAAAGTTCACCTATTCTGTGAGGCTTTATCATGATCCCCAATTAATTAGAGGCCCAGTCCCTGATCTCTTGGGGCTGATTTGTAACTCTATTATTTCAGCCAGCCTGGTTGTATATTGTTAGCCTTCTCCACTAGATTGTTTATGATGAGCAGGGATTGTGTCTCGACCATTTATTTTATTTTACCTTCCACAATGCTTAGGGCAATGTGTATGAGTATTAATAGTATTGTAGCAGTGTGTTGCATATAGAAGGAACACGAAAAGTAACCTATTGAAGATCCTGAACTGATGCTCTGCCACCAATTCTTGTATCCTTCCACAGCTCTGCATCTTTCCTCATGCAGTTTCCCCTTGCCTAGACTGTTCTGTTCTTTTTATCTTTATGGAGAACTCCTTTCTTTAAGATTCAACTCAAAATCCCAGCACTTTGGGAGGTCAAGGCAGGTGGATCACCTGAGGTCAGGAGTTCAAGACCAGCCTAGCCAACGTGGTGAAACCCTGTCTGTACTAAAAATACAAAAATTAGCCGGGCATAGTAGCAGGTGCCTGTAATCCCAGGTACTCGGGAGGCTGAGGCAGGAGAATCACTTGAACCCGGGAGGCAGAGGTTGCAGTGAGCCGAGATTTCGTCATTGCACTTCGGCCTAAGTGACAGAGTGAGACTCCGTCTCCAAAAAAAAAAAAAAAAAAAAAAAAAAAGATTCAAATATCACTTATCCTCTCTTTCTCTGGGCTTCCCTACCCTAGAAATTTGTTATGTAGAAGGGACCTTTGGTTTTGGAGTTAGGTAGATTTATGCTTGAAGCTAGCTCAATTATCACTTGCCTTGGCCAATTTACTTAGTGTTTTTATGGCTCAGTTTAAAAAAAATATGAAGTTTAGGGTATTTACTTTGCTGACTTCTTGAAGGGTTTAATAAGATAGTAAATATCAAGAACATTCCTGAAAGGCTGGCATATAGTGGACACTTAATATTTTTATCTCTCTATCATTATGGCATTTATATCCTTGTATTTAAGTTTTGTGGCTGTCTACTTTTTAAATTTTAATTGAATCTTACTTTTGTATTCCTGTAATAAAGCACTAAACAGATTTATTGAATTTAATTGTTTTATATTTATTATGCAGCTACTTCTGTGATGCTGAGAAATCTATCTGATGCTATCTACATACTGATGCTGTCCTGTATCGTAGCCAATAGTCACATGTAGCTAGTTATGTTTAAATTAATTAAAATTAAATAAAGCTGGTCATGGTGGTGCACACCTGTAGTCCCAACTAATTGGGAAGCTGAAGCAGGAGGGTTGCTTGAGTCTGGAAGTTCAAGACCAGCCTGGGCAACATAGTGAGAAACTGTCTCTTAAAACAATATAAATACAGTTCCTCGGTCAAACAATATTAGCCACAGGCTAGTGGCTAGTTATTGTATTGTACAGTGCAGACAGAACATATCCATCATTGCAGAAAGTTTTTTTCGGACTGAGCTGCCCTAGATTGTAATAGTACTGCTCCAAACTCAACATAATATTACCAGCTTTGTCAGCTACTTCATCTATCATTCTAGATCTTATATTTCTAGCAATTCAAATTTTACTTTTTGGCAGTCAAATCATAACATTAATTCATATTGAACCTAAGATCAATTAAAACTCCCAGGAGTATTAATTTTTTTCTCTAGGTCCTTTCATAGTGCTTGAAAGTATAATATCAAGGGTTGGCAACTTTTTCTGTCAAGGACCAGATACTAAATATTTTAGGCTTTTCATGTCCTCCAGTCTCTGTTAAAACTACTCAGTGTTGCTGAAAAACAGCCATATGTGTGAAAGCAGCCATAGACACTATGTAAAGAAATTGGCATGGCTGTGTTATTTACAAAACCAGGCTGTGGGCAGTATTTTCTGATCTCTGGTGTCTTAGACCCTTTAGACTGCTATAACAAAATATCATAAACTGGGCCACTTATAAACAGCTGAGGCTTATTTCTCATAGATCTGGATGCTGAGAAGTCCAACATCAAGGTAGATTTGGTGTCTGTTGAGGGCCATTTTTTCCTTAAGTCCTTACATGATGGAAGGGGTAAGGCAGCTCTCTGGGGCCTCTTTTATGAGGGCCCTAATTCCATTCATGAGAGTTCCACTCTCATGACCTAATCACCTCTCGGAGGCTTCACCTCCAAATATTATTAGATTGGTGATTAAGTTTCAGCGTATAAATTCCGGGGGCACACAAATATTCAGACCATAGCACCCGGTCTGTGTTCACAGTCTTCACTGCTTCCTACTGTGGTGACACAGTCAGTCACCCCTGCCTCTTCCCTCTTTTTTTAAGATCAAAGTAAATCTATCTCTAAGCACTCTTTTTGTCAGATTGGAGGGAATCTGATTACAGTTGGTACTGAGGGTCCCTATTCTCAAAGATTTCATAAGAATTCTGAGGCTTACATAGTTCCCAGGAAATAAGGAAATATTAAGAAGTGCTATCACAAAATGCTTATCGTATGCTAGGCATTGTTTAAGACTGTTAGACTGAATAACTCATTTAAACCTCATACCAACCTCGCTTTACTAACGAGGAAACTGAGTTAAGAAGTTTAGCAACCTGACCAAGGTCACATCACTTGTAAGTGGCGAAGCAGTAAATCAAACCTAGACAATATTCCATTATTAGTCACTACATTATTAGTCACTTGAGCTTACTTCAAGGCAGAGCCTGTGTTCTGTCTCCCAACTTCCATTCTCTAAATTCTTTTTTAATGTGAAAACTCTTCCTCTCTTCTCCTATTGCTCCCAAAGACTCCACCTCTCTCCCTTCACCCACACCCACCTCCTAAGCCCAGGATGTTAGCATAAATCTTCAATGCTTTACAAAAGACAGGGAGAGCAGTTGTCTTCTAGCAGCTTCTTCCATGCTGAACAAATCTATTCTTTTTGGCAAACCCACTGGACACAATCTCAGTAGTCTTCTACCTGTCCTCTTGGCAGCATTTGACATGATGGCCACTCATTTCTCCTTGAAACCTTTTTTTCTTCAGATCCCTGTGCCCATATTTGACTTTCCTCCTGCCTCTCAGGCCAATCTTTCTCAAACTCCTTTGAGCTTTCTCTTTTTGACCTTTAAAGACTGGCTCACTCCCAGACTTATTTTTCTTCTTACCCTACACACTTTCTCTGGGTGATCACATCAAGCCAAGGGCTTTCGCTACTCTTTGCATGAAGATTGATCCCACATTCTTATCCTGGAACTTTCTGCACTCCAATCTTACCAACTGCTTAAGCAATTTGTCCACCTGTGTGTCTCATGAGCAAATACAGCTCAGCATTTGTTAAGCGGAAATAATTATTTTCCCTCTGAAGCCTGCTGTTTCTCTTATATTCCCTTCCTCTTTGAATAGGTTTCCAAGCCAGAAATCTGCATGTCATCCGATTCCTCCTCTGACAGCCGTACCAATTACCAAGTCCTGGGAGTTTTGAAATACATTGGAAATCACTTTCAAATCCACCCACTGCTCATGCTCCTGACTGCCACTTGCCTTCTTGCTTATATTTCTGCAACCATCTCATAATTGGCCTTCCTTCAGTCAGACTGGTTCTCCTTCCAGAGACTAGGTCTTACAATACAGCCCAAGTGGTGTTCCTAGTATACAAGTTGAATCATGTTATTCTGCATAAAATCCTTCAGGGGTTCCTTGCTGCTCTTGGAATTAAGCATGAATTTCTTCAGCTAGCCAACAAGACCCTTCATGATCCTGACCACTCAGACCTCTCCAGGCATATCACTGAGTGTTCTTCTCTGCTTTGGGCCCTGGTCATGCTGACTCACCCACTCTGCCTGGCCCTGGAGTCTTTCCACATGCTCTTCCCTTAGCTTGGAACACTTTTTTCTTACCCTTTGTCCTCTTGGCTAACACTTGCCCATTCTACAGGTTTCTGCGGGGATAGAGATTTGTGCTCAGATGTTGTTTCCTTTAAAAGCCTTCTGTGACTTCTGGAAACCTCCCACAGTTCCACAATCCAGGGTTAGGTGCCTCCTGTCTACTCTCATCACATTCTAGTCATAGCAGCATTTATCACACCGTGTTGCAATTGCCAGTAGGCAGCTGGTCTGTCTCAGAGACTCAGCTCTATGAAGGCGGGGAGGGTTGATCTTTTTTTTACCATTATAGCCCCAGTGCCTTGCACAATGCCTGGTATAAACTATAAATATCTGTTGATTAAAAATGATCAAGAACAGAAAGGAACATGGATTCGGGGAGTGAAAAAATACTTTGGGTTTAAATCCTGGCTTTTCAAAGAGGAGGAACCAGGGTGAGCTGGCAGGCAGCATAGCAGCATGGCAGAGCTGAGCAGGGCTGAGATGAAGGCTCCCCATTTGGATCACTGCCAGGACTCCCAAGGACAAGAAGGAAGTTGTGCTGTTTGACCAAATCTTGGTTCAAGGAATACAAAGACAAAATCTCTTGGAGGTTTAAGGCTCAGCAGGATCAGCTGATCCTGATCTTTGCAGACAAGATCCTCAAGGATGGGGACACACTGAACCAGCATGGGATCAAGGACAGGCTCACTGTCTATCTGTTCACCCAGAAGTCTCAGAAGGCTCAAGT
Organism: Homo sapiens; assembly: GCF_000001405.40. NCBI lineage: Eukaryota > Metazoa > Chordata > Mammalia > Primates > Hominidae > Homo > Homo sapiens. The sequence continues at coordinate 152,877,054 of NC_000002.12, forward strand.
TGTGGCTGCTGCTACTGCTTCCTCACCCTCAACTCCAGACCCTGCCTCAGCATCCTCCACCGTGACTACCCACCATCCTGCAAGCCCTCCACCTCTGGCTGTACCACTTTGGATGCTGGTGGTAGAAGCCAGAAGAGCAGTGGGGAGGCAGTTGCCTTTTTAGGGGTTGGGTTGGGGCCTTTTAGTGCTACTGCATCCAAACTCTCTGGTTTTGGGGCATCCTGGGGCTCAGCAGCATGGACTTGGGCTCTACCAACTTTGTAGAGCTACAGCAGATGCAGAGGCAGCCGATGTCCAAACTTGAGATGCTGTTGCAGATCTTAGAGAGCCTTCTGGTCCAGGACATGATGTTTATCCCTGGCCTGATGTGCCACAGATCATGGCCAACACCCAGATGCAGCAGCTGATGGGGAAGAACCCCAAGATGAGCTACTATACTCCCCAACTCAAGTTCACGAGGCAGGTGATAGAGCTTGTTTGGAATCCAGCGTGATGCAGGAGATAATGCAGAACCAGACCAGGGCCTGAGCAACTTAGAGAGCACCCCCAGAGGCTGCAATGCTCTCTACTGCATGTATACAGACATACAGGGGCCCATGTTTAGTGCTGACCAGGAACAATCCCTTCCCTTCCTTGTATAGGGACCTAGCTCATCCTCCCAACTGAGAATTGAGAGCCCCTCCCTAACCTGTGGAATCCCTCACCCCATATCTCCCAGGTTCCTGGGTCTGGTGGGGAGGGCACTGGAGGATTGGGGGCCAGCCAGATGCACTCGACAGTGTCAAACTTCTTTGCAATTAATGCAGTTAGTCTGTGGTCAGGGATGTTCAATAGCCCGGGAATACAGGCCCTCCTCTAGCAGATCTTTGAGAACTCCCAGATGATGCAGAATGTGATCTCAGCTCCCTGCATGGATAGCATGATGCAGATGCTTACCCAAAACCCTAACTTTGATGCTTAGATGCCACTTTTTTGGGGAATCCCTAAGTGCAGGAGCAGCTCTGCCTGCAGCTCTCAGTCTTCTTGTAACAGATGCAGAATGTGGAGTCACTCTCACTTTTTGTCAATTCTTGCAGATGCTGTTGTAGATACAGCAGGGACTGGAGACTTAGTGGACTGAGGCTTCTGGCTGGTACCCAGCCTTGATTTCTTTGGGATGTTTCAGACTCCAGCACCCTTGGCAGACAGCAGCTTCAGGTCTGTGCCCAAGTCTCCCAGCTCTTTCCCAGCCATGCCAGGCACAACTTCCCTAACAGGTCTTCTGATGCCCAGCAGTAGTTCATGAAGTAGATGACCCAGCTTTTGGCTGGATGTGGAAACTCACTGGTGCAGACACTAGAAGTGAAATTTCAGCAGCAACTGCAACTGGAGCAGCTCAACAACATGAGCTCAATGGTGGGGCCAACCTGTAGGCCCTGATTGCCAAAGGAGAAGACAGCAACTCAGCTATTGAGAGACTCCTGAGCTCCCTGCTCTCTTATTCCCTTCGCCTGTGCCTCCTGCCTCTCCCTCACTTGATGCTAGCATTCGGTTCCTCTGTCACATCTTATCCTCTGCAGTTTTCTGTCCCTTCTCTCTTCTCTCTCGTCCTCTCCAAACAGCTGAAGTGACTTTAGAGGCATGAGCCCCAACCCTGTAGGTCTGAGCATTTTGGTTTTACTGTGTGCCTCTAACAGAATCTTCTCTCCTAGTCCTCCCTGAGCAGAGCTATTTAAAAATTTTTCACAATTTTGATTGGTCCTGCTTCCTTGTCCCACACCACCTTTTACAATCTTCAAATCTCTCAGTGGCAGGCACAATCAAAGAAGGAACCAACTATCTAGCTTTCTGAAACAGGGTCTTCCATCTGTACCACTAGGTAGGGTTTTGTTCATCTCATGTTTACTTTTGGTAACTCTCTTCCTCTGTCCGTACCTCCTCTCACTGCCCACCCACTCCTCAGCCTAATTAGTGGTAGAATTCACACTCTGAAGGAAGGGTAAGTGAAACAGGCTCCTCAGCCCCTATTCTGGTCACTTCATCCAGTACTCTTTCATGGGCTCTGTTAGGACTCCCAGGGCAAAGAGGAAGATACCTGTTTCCCTTTCTGAAGGAGGAGATAAGACACAGCTCTCTGGACAGGAATTGAGAAGCTCTGGACCAGCCCAATGGAGATTGATGCAGAAGAAGAGAGAATGAGATTTTTCTGGAGGAAGCAAATGGGGAAAGACAGCCTGAGTATAAGGCTGGGAAGTTGGAAGTGACAGGGAGTGAAAGCATAATAGCTCTCTCAGGCAGCTGAAACCAGGCCTGCGTCTGGTAGAGGAGACTTGGAGATGCTGATGGAACTGGAAGAAAGGGGCTCAGTGAAGCTAAGTGTATGGCCCACAAGTGGTCATATTGGCTCCACTTCCTCAAAGACACATGTTTATGCACATGTGGGTACATGTGCATACACGTGTGTACACACACACACATACACACACAATTCCGTGAACCCAGGACCTGCCTGTGTTTCCACATCTTTAAAATGGGAAAACAGCAGAATATACTTTAAGGTTGTGAGGGTTGAGTGAATGTATATGAAGTGCTTAGAGGGCCATGGGAACAGTAACCATTATTATTGCCTTGCATAACAAGGACATTGTCCCTCCCTGAAGGGGAGAATAATGCTTAATTTTCATTCTTATTTTCTTTTTGGAAGGGTAGAAAAGAGAACGGGAGTTGAAAGTGTTATTCCAGATAAAAAATGAAATACTGCCACTCTTCTATAGCTGAGAATACTATATTAAATACTTGAAATTTGCCAAGAGAGTAGATCTTAAATGTTCTTACCACAAAAAAGGAAGACAATTATGTAAGTTGAGGTGATGAATATGTTAATTACCTTGATAGTGGTAATCACTTTATAATAAATATGTACAACAAAACATCACATTGAACACCATAAATATATACAATTTTTATTTATGAATCCTACCACGATAAAGCTGGTAAAAAAGAAGACAACAGCAACAAACAGCCACTGTCATTCTTTCAGACATTGGGCCCCTTCAGTGCTTAGGAGAAGATGATTGTAAAAATCTAGACTTCTTCTCAAGACAGATTAAATATGGATTTGTGCTAAACCCTCACTTCTTCAGGGATTTTCTGAATATCATGCACACAGAAAAATACTGCTGTGCCTTGTGAAGTTATGGGCTCATATGAGAACAATTATTTACAAAGTTGATGTGGAATCATTTTTAATGTTGTATATGATCAGAGAAGATGCTGGCGGGTTGCTTTTAATATGTGATTTTTCAGATTTATAATAAAGGTTTCTTTTTTCTGAATTTTCACTATTCCTCATTTTACACTGCATGAAGAAATACACATAACTCAGTTCTAATCCTTTAACTCTCAGAGAAAAAATTTCCATGTCAGTTTTGGAAGTTTCCAAGAAATGGTGTTTCTTCTGAGAGGCTAAGAGCACAGCTTGGGGCAATTTAATACACAAATGAACAGATAACGGAAGGGAGTCATGACAATGCCATAGTTCTGTAAGTAGCAAATAACTTTCCTACAATTAGAAGGTGCATGATTTATGGTGACAGTCACTGAGAAAATAAACAGGGAGACTGAAAAACCCTGGGTCCCACAGGGGAGGATGAGTGTGGGAGCAATGGAGGGTAAAAATCCCCAAAGAGCTGGATAATCCCTGTGTTAGGACATTATGTGTTGCTGTTTAATACCTGAGGCTGGGCAATTTATAAAGAAAAGAAGTTTATTCAGCTTACGGTTGTGCAGGTTGTACAAACATGGCACCAGCATTGGCTTGGCTTCTGGTGAGGCCTCAGGAAACTTTTAGTCATGGTGGAAGGAAAGGGGAGCAGGCACATCACAAGATAGAGGCAGCACATGTGGGGAAGGTGCCACTGTCTTTTAAACAATCAGATCTCATGTGAACTCATTACCACTCATTACTGGGGGGAGGGCACCTAGCTATTCATGAGGAGTTTGTCCCCATGACCCAACACCTCCCACTAGGCCCAACCTCCAACACTGGGCATCACATTTCAACGTGAGATTTGGAGGGGACAAACATCCAAACAATATCAAGCTCCAAGCTCTAGCATGCTAGCCTAGAGAAATAACAATCCCTAGAAGGGATTGTCATTTAAACAAGGTTAAATTTGTACAAATATGGTAACGCTATTTTAATCTCCTTGCATTAATGGAAAGCTTTTTTTCCTCTGATAATATTTCTTTTCCACCTTTTTCTAATGGGAGAAGATTGGAAAGTAGAGACCCATGGAGAGTTATCTCCTGACATCATAAGAGTTAATCTTGGAAGATTGTCTGTTTGTCAGGAGATAACTCTCCATGGGTCTCTTGCATTTCTGTGTATCTTGTGAGTAGAGGCACTGGTTGCCTTTGTTTCAGATTTTTTGTTCAAGGATGTTTGTATAGCAAACAGCCTTGAAAGATAGCAATAAAGACAGTATCTCCCTGCAAGGAAAAGAGCAGATATGCTTACAGTTTGGGAAGGTAGAGATGGATTTTTACTTCAGAGCAAAGGCAGGCATTTTACTGCACTGATGATTTATTGCACATTATAAAATATTTGGCTTCCTGAAGCTCAGGGTCCCTCTCCTATAATTCAACTCACTGCATGTGCAGGTGTTCCCTGGCCCCTTTCACATCCCCCTGGGGAAGCTGGGTCAACCAAACTGACACAAGAAAATAAATGATAACCCTCTGGCTACTGTTATCACTGTGACTAATAAAGTCCATTGTCTCTGACCTAGGAGGCTATGTCTTCTGCCAGTATCCATGAAACTGTGCTAGGCCAATTTCCTGTTTGCAAATAGGGTAAAATTTCAGACCCTTCAAGATTCTTCTTTTTCTCACAAAAGTTACATTATGTTTTTCGTTAACTGCCTGATACACCTCTAAAATATGTCTTTTCCTACACACGAGGGGAGTTGATAAAGTCTGTGGAAGAATGGAATTAAGAGCTGCAAATAAAAGTTGTGAACTTTATGTCTCAACATAAGCTCCATCAAGGTCAACACACTTCTGTAAGTGATGATCCCAGCCATTTAGTCCATTTTTTTTCATTTAGTCCATCTATAAAGAACTGAGGGTCCTGAGAATTTAACCATGTCACTGCAGTCTTTTTACATTATTAACTGAAGAAAAATGGATACCCCTTTAAGATTAGGAAACAAAAACCAATCAGAAGGAGCCAAATCAGGACTGTAAGATGAGTGCCTAATGATTTGCTATCAAAACTTTTGCAATATTGGCTATGTTTGATAAGAGAAATGAGCAGAAGCATTGTCATGGTGGAGGACTCTCTGATAAAGTTTTCCTGGGTGTTTTTCCGCTAAAGCGATGGCTATCTCAAACCACTCTCCTAATAGCCAAATATTATCATCCTTTCGTCCTTTAGAGAGTCCACAAGCAAAACATCTTGAGATCTCAAAACATGGTTGCCGTGAAGTTTCCTCTTGATCAATTTGCTTTTGCTTTGATTGGACCACTTCCATTTTTTGGTACCCATTGCTTTGATTGTGCTTTGTCTTCAGGATTGTATTGGCAAAGCCATGCTTTATCTTCTGTCACAATACTTTGAAGAAATTCTTTAGGATCTTGATCCCACTTATTTAAAAATTCCATTGAAAGCTCTACTCTTGTCTGTAGATCTGGGTGCAATGCTGTTGGCACCCGCTGCATGGAAAGTTTGCTTGACTTAATTTTTTCAGTCAGAATTATGTAAGCTGAACCAACTAGGATGTCTATGGTGTTGGCTATTGTTTGTGCTGTTAACCATCGGTCCTCTTCAATTAGGGCGTGAACAATATGAATTTTTTCCTCGAAAATTGATATGGATGGTTGCTGCTTCAGGCTTCATTTTCAACATTGTCTTGTCCCTTCTTAAAATAAGTTATCCACTTGTAAACTTCTGGTTTCTTTCAGGCATGGTTCTCCTAAACTTTTCATAAATCAAAAACTTTTCACCATTCTTCCACCCAAGCTTGACTATAAATTAGATTTTTGTTCTTGCTTCAATTTTAGCAGCATTCATGTTGCTCTGATAGGGACACCTTTCAAACTGATAGCTTATCCTTGGTGTCACAAGCTAGATCCTGTGCAGAGAGGTTATAACAAGTTGTTATGTTTATTTTGATGCAAAAAATTTAAATCCGTGCATGGGTGTTTTCATAATATGCATTTTCTGCAAATGTTTTGAAGACCCCCTCATATTTTTGGTGAAAAATCTTTGATTATTTTTTCTTTTGATTAGGATTTTGTAATATCACTTTCTGTAGAAAGAAAAGAAAATTTCACTTGCTTGTGAAAATTTCTAGCATGGTTGATGGAAATTAATTTTTTCAGTGTTAATAATTGGGATATATAAACTCTGACTCACACACAGATTACTCCTAGTTTGTAAGCCTGCTGTAGGTTTGTGTTTTAAGAGCAGATGAATTCAGAAAATTCTATTTCACAATATTCCCATCAAAAATACATATGAAATATCTAAATATATATGCATGAGAGTTATAATTGTAGGTGCTGTTTATAGTTAGTATATTTCTAACAAGACAGGAATGAAAGTTAAGTCCTCTACTTACAGTTTTACATATCTGATGTTTGGAAGAATTTTCCACAGACTATTTTCTGACTCCCTCCACTTCAAAGTTTATTTCTTCTCCACTACTGCATACATCTAGATGTACAGGCATCTTGGGAACATTTGTAATGAGATTTGATGTGTGATGCGAGGATCTTGCCAAGAGAGCCAGTACAGTGGGCAGGGGGAGAACCCCTGGATATCACTCCTATGCCATCATGGCATGTGGAAATGACTCTCAGCCATGAACACATATCCGCTAAACCCCAACCAAATGGGTCTCTGACTCAATTTCCCCTGAGCTGGATCCCCTGATCACCTTTGTCAACTGCACCCCAGTCCATGTGAGGATAAGTGTGCAGACAAGCAAACCAGAATGGAAAGAGACAGTCAGTGATCTTAACTAACTGTGGTAAGTACTTTCTTTTGCAAATTTTACAAAACTATGCAACCCCGTGACCATATTTGCTACACACCCCTCTGACAGTCTGGAAAGGGACTGATTGTAGGGCTCTGTCAGTGGACTGTGAGAACAGGGCAGGGTGGGACAGTCAAGCCAGTCTTCATCCAGCCCAGCACCAGGTACAAATAGGATCTGAATTCACACCACTCATTTCTTTTGTTTTTTTTTTTTGATGACACAGCAATGTGAAAGCAGACCGTCAGACTCTAAATAGAACACAATCCTTTCCACCCATAATCTCGCCAGCCTGTCTCTTCTATTTATGGCCCTTTCTAGGTCTTGTCTTTCTTAATTCTTTTTCTTTTACTTCTTTTTAAAGTATAAATAATCTGTGCACATGACTCACGATTCTTGACAATGCTTTTCCCACATTTTATTCTCAGAGAGTTGAGTACATTTTCTTTGCTCTGTATTAACAATGTCTTATTTTGAAGTTCCTTTATACCGTTTTTCTCTTATTCCTTGTCTCAGTCACCTATAAACAACACACACACGTTCTCCTACCATTATTAATAATTTCATGCATTGCCTATGAAACTCTCTGTCTTCTTCACTATCCATCCTGAGACACCTCCCTTGGGAATATCTTTCTGTTTCTTTCCCAGACTCCCAGATGCCTCAATTCCAGTGGCCTCTAATTTTTAAAATTGCTCGATTACCTGGTTTGAACTTACACTTTATCAGTCAAAATTGTTTTGCCTGCAAGACCTCAAATTCCGAAGTTTCTTTCACTTTAACTCTCCTATTTTTTTATTTTTAAAATTGATGCATAATAGATGTACATATTTTGGGAGTAAATGTGATAAACTTAATATATTTATATTTATAATTTGTAAAGATCATATCAGTATAATTGGGCTATTCATCATCTTAAATATTTGTGTTATTAAAAATATTTGTGTCTTAAATATTTGTGTTTTATTTATGCTAGAGACATTCAAATTATTATCTTCAAGCTATATTGAAATATATAACAGATTATTGTAACCTATAGTTACCTTACTGATTTATCAAACACCCTCCTGATGTATGAAACACTACTAGGTATTATCTCTTCTATCAAACTTTATGTTTGTACCCATTCCTTTTTTTCTTCTTTTTCTTTTTTTTTTTGAGACGGAATCTCGCTCTTTCGCCCAGGCCGTACTGCAGTGGCGCGATCCTGGCTCACTGCAAGCTCCGCCTCCCGGCTTCACGCCATTCTCCTGCCTCAACTTCCCGAGTAGCTGGGAGTATAGGCGCCCGCCACCGCGCCCGGCTAATTCTTTGTATTTTTAGTAGAGACAGAGTTTCACCGTGTTAGCCAGGGTGGTCTCGATCTCTTTACCTCGTGATCCACCCGCCTCAGCCTCCCAAAGTGCTAGGATTACAGGCGTGAGCCACCGCGCCCGGCCTTTGTACCCATTCTTAACTAGCTTTTTGCCCTCACCTTTTCTTTCAGTCCTTTGATATACTTCTCTCAGTTGTCTTATTACTTGATATTTATTATATATTGTGAACTTGGAATGTGCTAAATACTGTGCTATGTAAAAATTTATTTCTCAAAGCAAATTATGGGAATAGGTGCTGTTATTATCTTGATTAAAAATTTGAAGCTTAGAGATGACATAAAATTCCCAAGGCTACAGAGGTAGCAGGTGCAGAACCAGAGCTTGATGTAAGGCGGGATAATCTTCAGTTCTCTATCCGATCTCTGGCTCCACTACCCGTTTTGTAGTGACGAACTTTTTAACTACTCTAGGCTACTCCCTAGAAAACTGGACTATTGCATATTGCCAAATAAAGCTCATATAGATAAATGTATCTGTAAAATCCATGCAATTTTTTAGATCCATTCTGCTGCTCAACAAGTTTTTGATCACATTTTGTTGATTTTTGATATTTGTCACAATGGTTGTTCTGTACAATCTCAAACCCCCAACCCTATGCTCTTTACATTTGGTTGAAGCCTCTCAGTAGAATCTCTCTCAATTCATTACATTGAGGCTCTCTCTCTCTCTCTCTTCTCTTTCTTTTCTTTTTCTTCTCTTTTTCTTTTTTTAAAATAAACTCCTTTCTCTCAGGATGTGGTATCTTTCCAAGACTGGGACTTGGATCTTTGGTCTTGGCTCTACCACTTCCAGGACGTTACTCCATTACCTGTGCTGCCTCTCTTATTTATTCAATAAGAAATAATCCTGTCTTTCATGACACAGTAAAAATTATACTTACTCCTGTAACTACCAAGGTTTTCATTGCATTTTAATTTCTTGCATTTGGCATTCATTTCTTTCACTCACTAAAATGCTGATCTCAAAAAAATCAGTAGATATTTTTTAAACACTGGGTGTAATCCCTTTCTATTAGTTGTTATCTTCATTAAATCACTGTGTTACTTGACACTCTCCTCCTCCTTACTGGGTAAAAGAAGGTGGTCCGAACTCTGAGCAAGGCCTCTGAATTCAGAACTGGCTTTGAACTTGGGCTCTTCAACTAAACTAGCTCTGAGATTTTAAATTAACTTCTCTGAGCCTCAGTTTCCACATCTCCAAAAAGAGAACTTTTATACATACCTTTAGGCTAACTTGGAGGGTAAAATAAAATTATTTCTGTAAAATTTTCAATGTGTGGGGGGAGGGATAGCATTGGGAGATATACCTAATGCTACATGACGCGTTGGTGGGTGCAGCGCACCAGCATGGCACATGTATACATATGTAACTAACCTGCACATTGTGCACATGTACCCTAAACCTTAAAGTATAATAATAATAAGTAAATTAAAAATAAATAAATAAAAAAGGATAATGTTAGGATGAAAAAAAATTCTCAATGTGTTTCTGATTTATAACAAATCTTCAATAAATGACAGTTATCTCTGTTATGTCAACTACTATATATATATGATTACTAACACAATATCGAGCACATAATAATTTGTTTCTATTTATCTCCCTCCACTAACTTCTCTTTTATTTTATGTATGTTTACATTATTGGCTTTTCATTCACCTTTTAAACAAACGTTTTCCTCTTTCTGTGGTCTTAGCTTCTTCTCATTCTCTAAGAATATGTTGCCAGTTTTAATCCTTAGACCACCTGTTTCACATCTTTATATTTGTGTTTTTGACCAACTATATCCTTTCCTGCATCTGCTACTATCACCTTTATGCCAATGACATCTCCACGTATGTTTCCAGGGCCAAATATTTAAAATCAAAGCTTTTAAAATTACATACCTGAAAAACATGATCATTATAAAAATTCAAACAATATAAATATATACGGAGTAAAATTTAAAAAGTCTTCTCCTCTCTAATACCTAGTTTACAGTATCTGCTATTTCTCTGGAGCAGGGGTGGAAAGCATGCGTTGTACAGCTTTTCCTATGTGTTTGTATCCAACAACAAAAACAACAGCACAGCATACAGGATTAGACTTTTTCAAATAATCTAATCCTAAACTGTTAATCAGTATTTTCATTTTTTTTTCTGTTATAAAACTTCATTTGGTTGTCCCAATAGAAGGTTAAAGTGCGACTTTACAAGAGTACACTCATATTCCTTCCCAATCTAGCATATCCTCCTGACTTCTTCTGCCTGCCATAGATGCTGTCGATAATCCTAGTTCTTGAGGATCAATTGCTTGGTCTCGACCTCTTCTTCTCCTTCATCCCTCACCACATCCAATTGTCTACCAAAATGTATAAATTCCATCTCTGCAGTGTCTCTTTTGTCCTTTCCTTAAAATTCTCTGCCTGAGGATTTTTGGCTCACACTGATAGTGTGATTCAGACCACCAATTTATTTAAGAATTGCTTTGTAGTTCATTTTTTTTTTGGTGGGGGGGAAGATTTTTTTTCTTTCCTAGACCAGTGCCAAGTTTGAGATTCTTGTTCTTTCTTTCCTTCTGTATTTCCCCTATCATATTTTACTTTAATTCTTTGCCACGTTTTCTGCTTCTGTTACTGCAAGAGAAGCTCCTCAAGGGTAGAGACCACATTGCCCACTTTCAGTCTCCTAATACATTCTCTATCTTGGGCATGTAGTTTTCTTTTTCAATTCGAAATCAAACAATGGTGCTTCACAGCACTGACTTTTGAACTTGATTTGGCAAAGTCTGGAAACTTTCCCACCTCTAGCGTCTTAATCCTTTCTACACACCCGTGGGGGAGGGAGGATCTTCCTAAAACTCAGTGCAATCATGTCACTCTCACTCAGACTCTGTGCTGGCTCTCCACTGACTACTGAATATGAGTACAGTTCTTCCCTCTGTATCAAGGCCCTCCCTGATAGGACTCCAAAATATATTTCTGGTTTATCTATTCCATTGTTGAAGCTCTAGAGAGCTAAACCACTGATAGTCCTCACGCTCCTTGCCGTGCAAGTGTTCTCCGTATTCATTTAATGTCTTCACTGTCTTCCTCAGACTGTGTTTACTTTCAGCACCACGGCCTCCATCTCCATTTATTGACAGTCTAATCATTTTCAGTTTCATGTCAAATGACACTTTCCCGTAACTATCGTGGATTTCATAATATTTTCTTCTTTTCTTCAGTTAATTTGGATTTTATCTCATTGTTTACTGAACTATAAGCTCTTTTCAGGGACTCTATCTTTGTATCTCTGTACCTCTTGCAGTGTCTTGTGTAGGGCATGGATATTTGGAAAATTAAACATTAGAAGTTGCTCTTGGAGGGAAACAAGTGACTTTTGGGGAAGGTTACCTGCTTTTGGAGGAAAAAAAGAGAATAATAGCAATTGTTATAAACATTAATTAATGAATTTTGTATTCATCCAATACATATTTATTGGATAGATACTCTGTGTCAGGCATTGTGTTAGGTACTAACATGTGATGGAAATGGAGAACATTACCTTTGTCCTCAAGGAATTTAAAATGTAGCAGCAAAGCAGACAGTGAAAAAAAAAAAAAGCAATTAAAATAGAGAGTCACGGGGAGGACAGGATGCAGTGGGGACATGTAGCCAGGGAGTCTGACCTGTCTGCTGGACACGGAGTGGGTGGCAATCTGAAGAACATGTAGGATCTAGTCAGGTGGCTGGGGTGGGTGTGGCAGTGTTTTCTACAGGGGAAACTGGGTGTAATAGTCTTGTGGGGAGAGTGCACATGGCACATGAGACAAGTTTGATTTAGCTGGTGTATAGGCTAAAAAGAGTGGCAAGCGACATGCTGAAGGGGCCCAAATCACAGAAGGTTTTGTAAACCATGGTAAGGAGTTTGAACTTTTCCCCTGAAGATAATAAGAAACCATTGCAAATTTTTAAAACAGGAGTTATTTGATCAGATTTGTGTTTTGGGAGTTTCCCTTTGGTGTGGAAAATGGAGACAATAAATTTAAGGAGATACATTAAAAGTCTGTTTTAGGAATCCAGGCAAGGTGGAGAAAATGAGAGAAAGAGAATGATGGGGATGATGATGATGATGATGATGATGATGATGGATTAATCTTGGGAAAAGGCTGTGTGATTTTGTTTTTTAAAATTTTTTAAATTTAATTTTATTTATTTATTTATTATACTTAAAGTTTTAGGGTACATGTGCACAACGTGCAGGTTTGTTACATATGTATACATGTGCCATGTTGGTGTGCTGCACCCATTAACTCATCATTTAACATTAGGTATATCTCCTGATGCTATCCCTCCCCCTCCCCGCTCCCCACAACAAGCCCCGGTGTGTGATGTTCCCCTTCCTGTGTCCATGTGTTCTCATTGTTCAGTTCCCACCTATGAGTGAGAACATGTGGTGTTTGGTTTTTTGTCCTTGCGATAGTTTGCTGAGAATGATGGTTTCCAGTTTCATCCATGTCCCTACAAAGGACATGAACTCATCATTTTTTATGGCTGCATAGTATAATGTTCAGGTGAAGATGGAACCTGAACTCTGGATTAGAGAGCAGGGCAGCCCATGAGAACACCCTGGAGTTAAAGATGAAAAATTAGGGATTCTAGCCTGAGGAGCCCAAAATAAGCCCACTATGGCATTTTGGTACACAGTCTTTCAGAAGATAAAAGGGCTTTGGGATAAAGGAAAGCAATTTCTGTGACTGCATTTTACAGTAGATGCTTTCATGAAGTTCAGGGGCTGAAACTCACTATGAGAGAAGATGGACAGAGGAAGCTCTTAGGGAGGCTGTGTTTGTAGTTACAGAAGCAGAGCATTTCTTCAGAAGTAGCAGTAGACAAAGAAGAGACATCAAACATCTGGGGAACCACCTTGCGTGATCATCTAGGAGAATGGTCTTGCACACAATTTTAATGTGAAAAAAATGTTGCATATGAAACAATGTTCAGATGTGAGCCCACTTGGACCTCGAGTAAGTGAGGTCGTAAAGAAACTTCTCGTGAAGAATAATAGGTAGTTGAAGCTGAATAGTGTGAATATACATAGCTTTTATTTTTATTTTTAAAAATTTTATTCACTTATTTAATCTTCATATATAACATATATCAGGAAAAAGCAAATTATTCTGTAAGAATTTTAGGGAAATGCAGTGCATTTACTTTTAAATTAATATGAGAAGACATGGACATTTCTATGTTAATTTCAGGGAACGTTTTATTTTTTAACTGTCACCTCCTCAAAATCTTCTGTCTCCCAACCACGTACTTTCCATATTTTTGACAAATGGGCCTTCTGTGCACAAGCCTCATAATCAAATTGGTTCAAGAATAAATTGCTGCAAGTGAAACTTTCTTATATTCACCCTTGTGACAGCTAATGAAGACGAATGGGGGAAAAACAGGGACTGTGCTTTGCGGAAGGAGCTCTCATTCCCCACTGTGTTGGCTGAAGGCAAATTTGTTTCAAAGGAAAAAAAATAGCATCATCTAATTGCTTAATTCCTGCTGAAAGCCATTGGCAGCCAGCCTGCTCAAATACACAGACTTTTATTTAGAGAACAAGTGTAAAACTCTTTCATACACATCCAACAGAAACCTTATTTTTTTCCTCATTGAACAGTTGCCATTATCAGAAAATGTTTATATTTGATTTGCAGAAAAAAAGAATATTTACCTTTTGTCGATGTTCAAATTAACTATCTGAACAAACATTTCAGATTGCTTTAATTCTGGGAAATATAATAATTAGGGAATGACTAGAAATTTAGAGGTCACAGGTCATTTTTTTTTCTTTTTTTTTTTTTTTTTTGAGACAGGGTCTCCCTCTGTCACCCAGGCTGGAGTGCAGTGGCGCTGTCATAGCTCACTGCAGCCTAGACCTCCTGGGCTCCACTGATCTTCCCACCTCAGCATCCCAAGTATCTGGGACCACAGGCATGTGACACCATATCTGGCTAATTTTTTTACTTTTTATAGAGATGGGAGTCTCACTTTCTTGTCCAGTCTGGTTTTGAACTTCTGGGCTCAAATGATCCTCCTGCCTTGGCCTCCGAAAGTGTTGGGATTACAGGTATGAGCCACTACTCCAGCTGACAGATAAATTTGAGAATGTTTTTTGCCTTCAGCTAATTTAAAAATTAAGATGCCAGTCAAATAAGTGACACAATTGGAACCCTCATACGTTGCTGGTGAGAGTCAAATTGATACAAACAATCTGAAAATCTGTTTGGCAATCTATTAAAGGCAAATATATACCAGCAGTGTGGTCTAGCAATTTCACTGCTGGGCATTACCTAACATAAATGATTTGGAATGTTTATATTGGCATTAGTCAGAGTAGCCCCAGACTAGAAACAACTTAAGTATCCTTATACAGAATGGAATACCTGTATAACAATAAAAAAGAATAAAGCATTGATCCAAGCAACAACATAGAAGACTCTTAAAAACAATGTTAAGTAAAGGAAGTTAGATATGAAAGAATACATACTGTATCTGTATGGTTCCTTTTTTTAAAGTTCAAAGAAATACAAAATTAATCCATTAGGATAAAAGTTTGAATACTGGTTATTCTTGATGGGGATTGACCTGGAAGGGAGGCAGGGGAAACTTCTGTGGTGCTGGAGATGTCCTAGACTCCAGTGTCATTGTAAAGGATGGTCACTATAAGAGGATTAAACATTTGTAAAAATTTATTGAGGTGTATACTTCAGATTTGTACATAATAATGTAAGTTGTACTTTGATTTTAAAAATTGACCATCTTGGGCGGGCGCAGTGGCTCATGCCTGTAATGCCAGCACTTTGAGAGGCTGAGGCGGGCAGATCACGAGGTTAGGAGATTGAAACCATCCTGGCTAACATGGTGAAACCCCGTCTCTACTAAAAATACAAAAAATTAGCCAGGCATAGTGGCACATGCCTGTAGTCCCAGCTACTTGGGAGGCTGAGGCAGGAGAATCGCTTGAACCTGGGAGGCAGAGGTTGCAGTGAGCCGAGATTGCACAACTGTACTCTATCTAGCGTGGGCAACAGAGCGAGACTCCGTCTCAAAAAAAAAAAAAAAAAAAAGGCATCTCTCCGATTTCTTGAAAACCTTTTTTTAGTTACAGAGAAGGAGAAAGCAGGCAATAATCAGAGCTTGCCTCCTTGACCATGACTTTGTTGGCCTTGCATATTTCAGGTAAATCAGACTAAGTGACACACCCTCACTACACTGAGTAATTGATTTTTCAGTTAGGAGATAACAACTGTAATAACTGAATATTTATTGGATTTAAAGTAGTTATTAAAGATAAATTTGATTTACAGAGCTACAGAGGCTTTGAGAGCATTCTGTAAATAATCTTTCTGAATTTGCTGCATAGGCCTTTGACCTTTACCATTTTTATGTCCCTTGATTTGCTCTTTTGGGACCCATGGCCTTATCTAGTCCTACTCTAGGCTTTGCTAGACATCCTTTCATAGGCTTTTTTAATGGCCAGATTTCACCTTCCTTACAGTTTGACCCATGAACTTTGGAAGTACACAAGGAGATAAGACTGTACTTTAGAAAGCACAAGAAATTTAGAATGTCTGGAATTTTAGAAAATGTTAGAGGAAGACCTAATTTTCACAATAGCAGTCAGTTATTTCAATGGACGATGAAGTTTGCATGAGGAACACTCTCTGTTTCCAATGTGGTTGAAGAAATTGAACTTGGTTGTAGCAAAACACACAAGAATGATGAGGAAGATTTGAGAATAGGAAATGACTTTAGAGATCATCTCACCCTTATGTTTCCAAGAGCATGAGCAACATATAATTTAATTAAGGTTACTGTCTTTAGATCTCTTCATTTATTATGCCTGTTGATATTTAACCGATGGAAGAATAGAAGGCATATGCCCTGGCATCGCTAGAAGGACACCAATACTTTTCACCACTACTGGATTTTTTTTTTTTTTTGAGACGGAGTTTTGCTCCTGTTGCCCATGCTGCAGTGCAATGGCACAGTCTTGGCTCACTGCAACCTCCACCTCCTGGGTTCAGGTGATTCTCCTGCCTCAGCCTCCTGAGTAGCTGAGATTACAGGGGCCTGCCACCATGCCTAGCTAATTTCTGTATTTTAGTAGAGATGGTGTTTCACCATGTTGGTCAGGCTGGTCTTGAACTCCTGACCTCAGGTGATCCACCCGCCTTGGCCTCCCAAAGTGCTGGGATTACAGGTGTGAGCCACCGCGCCTGGCCTCTACTGGATTTTAGTGTTTATTTGGGCTATGAAATTGTAACAGTGTACAAGATAGACTCTGGAGTTGGAGTAGAGGGTTCAAGGTCTTCTGTTTACTAGTTCTATGATCACTGACAAGTTACTTAACTTCTCTAAGCTCCAGCTTCTTTATATCTAAAGTGGAGTTTATACTAGTGTCTGACTCATTAGAATGTTAGGATTAAATGAGATGACATGCACAGCACTTACCACTTATCAGAGCAAAGCCTGATACATCTTAGGAGCTCAATAACTATTCCCTAACATCACCATCAAACAATAATACTAATAGAATACTGCTACTAATAATAAATATCTATTTATTAGCTTATATTTATGCAGTTAATCTGGTGAAAATTTCTCCATGCGCAACTGCCAGTGTGTTTAAATGACCAGTACTTCCTATCCTTTTTTTATCCCTGAGTCTGCTAACAGTGTTTATCCTCCATGCAGAATTGAGCCAATTTATATAATGGTTTTAGAAGTGAGGTAAATAGGATGAGATTCATTAGTGTTGGACTGATTTGTGCCTAGAAGCCCCATGGGACATTTCTTGACAGCTAAGCCACCTAGCCCCCATGGCGCCAGTTAATAGAAAAGCTTCATCTACAGTGAATTCATTTGTTATTGCAGTGGGAACATTCAATTTCCTCCTCTTTTTTATTTGCAGTTGCATTAGACTCCGAGTTTCCGAATATTTTTGTTCTAAAGGTATTGTTTAGATTTGAAATTAGTATTCGGAGAAGCAAAGGCTCTTCCTAATTTGGAGGCAGTGTACAGGGTAATACAGACTTTATGTCCCCGTTAGAATGTGACAGTGATGCAGCAGTGGGAGCTGGTGGGGCATAAGCCCCTGTTGAGTTGAACAAAGTACCATGTACCTGAACTTTTGTATATTAAATAGATGGAAGCATCTATCTGTATTAAATTGAGCATTATAATCATCACCAATTGTTCAGTGATATTGGATGAATGAACAAAAGAACCAGCTATAATCAATGCCTGAACCTAGCTCTGTGGTTGCAGCTACATGACACCAACCTAAGTAATATATTTAACAAACATATTAAAAATATATATATATTCATCTCAGATTGTTCCTTGTAGACCAAAATACCTATTTGATTAAAATTTTTATGTCTTTTATATTTTTTTAGATGGGGTTTCACTCTGTCACACAGGTTAGAGTGCAGTGGAATTATCTTGGCTCACTGCAACTTCCACCTCCCAGGCTCAAGTGATCCTTCCACCTCAGCCTCCCTAGTAGCTGGGACTACACAGGTGGTCACCAACACACTGGCTAATTTTGTCTAATTTTGGTAAAGGCAGGGTTTTGCCTTCTTTCCCAGGTTGGTCTGGAACTGCTGAACTCAGGAGGTCCACCCTCTTTGGCCTCCCAAAGTGCTGGGATTACAGGCATAAGCCACCGCACCCAGGCTTTTATATCTTAAATAGTAATGTTGTTATGGAAAAACAATTTAAATATGATTTCCAGCTAAAGTTATAGGTTCAATTTTACAGTTCTAATGTAGAGATAATTCTGTTTTTGGAGAATCATTCTTTGAAATTGAAGAATGGGTTCTTCAATTAGGAAAAATATGAATTACATGGAATAGTTAAAGGAATATTCCTAGTGACTTTCACTTATTTTACTTTCATTTATTTTGTGCCAACAAAAGACATAAGGCTCTGTGGACATGAAACACCTCTGATCATGGATATTAAGATTCTTCAATCTGTGACCTGTTACCTATTCTGTAGCCACTGTTTCCACTAAGACATACTGTATTGTTTGAGTCACTAAGGCATCCATTGACTCAACTGTACTTGTTTTGATACTATACGGATTTTTTAAAAACATCAGAGCTGGAGTGGAGAAAGATGGCCGAGTAGGAAGAGCTCCAGTCTGCAGCTCCCAGCAAGATCAATGCAGAAGGTGGGTGATTTCTGCATTTCTAATAGGGATACCCAGCTCATCTCATTGGGACTGGTTAGACAGTGGGTGCGGCCCACAGAGGGGTAGCCAAAGCAGGGTGGGGCGTTGCCCCACCCAGGAAGCGCAAGAGGTTGGGGAACTCCTTCCCCTAGCCAAAGGAAGCAGTGAAGGACTGTGCCATAAGGAATGGTGCATTCCAGCCCAGATACTATGCTTTTCTCATGGTCTTTGCAACCCACAGACCAGGAGATTCCCTCGGGTGCCTGTATCACCAGGGCCCTGGATTTCAAGCACAAAGCTGGGCAGCCATTTGGGCAGACACCAAACTAGCTGAAGAGTTTTTTTCATACCCCAGTGGCGCCTGGAACACCAGTGAGGCAGAACTGTTTACTCCTCTGGAAAGGGGGCTGAAGTCGGGGAGCCAGGTGGTCTAACTCAGCGGATCCCACCCTCACAAAGCTAAGCAAGCTAAGATCCACTGGCTTGACATTATCACTGCCAGCACAGCAGTCTGAAGTTGACCTGGGATGCTTGAGCTTGGTGCGGGGAGGGGCGTCCACCATTACGGAGGCTTGAGTAGGTGGTTTTCCCCTCACAGTGTAAACAAAGCCATTGGAAAGTTCAAACTGAGCGGGGCCCACTGCAGCTCTGCAAAGCTGCTATAGCCAGACTGCATCTCTAGATTCCTCCTCTCTGGGCAGGGCATCTCTGAATGAAAGCCAGCAGCCCCAGTCAAGGGATTATAGATAAAACTCCGATCTCTCGGGGACAGAGCACCTTGGGGAAGGGGTGGCTATGGGCACAGCTTCAGCAGACTTAAGTGTTCCTGCCTGCTGGCTCTGAAGAGAGCAGCGGATCTCCCAGCACAGCACTTGAGCTCTGCTAAGGTACAGACTGCCTCCTCAAGTGGGTCCGTGACCCCTGTGCCTCCTGACTGGAAGACAATTCCCAGTAGGGGTTGACAGGCATCTCATATAGGAGAGCTCCACTGGCATTTGGCGGGTGCCCCTCTGGGACGAAGCTTCCAGAGGAAGGAACAAGCAGAAATCTTTGCTGTTCTGCAGCCTCTGCTGGTAATACCTAGGCAAACAGGGTCTGGAGTGGACCTCCAGCAAAGTCCAGCAGACCCGCAGCAGAGCGGCTGACTGTTAGAAGGAAAACTAACAAACAGAAAGGAATAGAATCAACATCAACAAAAAGGACGTCCACACAAAAACCCCATCCGAAGGTCACCAACATCAAAGACCAAAGGTAGATAAATCCATGATGATGAGGATAAACCAGTGCAAAAAGGGTGAAAATCCTAAAAACCAGAATGCCTTTTCTCCTCCAAAGGATCACAACTCCTCACCAGCAAGGAAACAGAATTGGATAGAGAATGAGTTTGATGAGTTGACAGAAGTAGGCTTCAGATGCTGGGTAATAACAACTCCTCCGAGCTAAAGGAGCATGTTCTAACCCAATGCAAGGAAGCTAAGAACCTTCAGAAAAGGCTAGAGGAACTGCTAACTAGAATAACCAGTTTAGAGAAGAACGTAAGTGACCTGATGGAGCTGAAAAACACAACATGAGAACTTCATGAAGCATACACAAGTATCAATAGCTGAATCGATCAAACAGAAGAAAGGATATCAGAGATTGAAGACCAACTTAATGAAATAAAGCATGAAGACAGATTAGAGAAAAAAGAATGAAAAGAAATGAACAAAGCCTCCAAAAAATATGGGATTATGTGAAAAGACCAAGCTTACATTTGATTGGTGTACCTGAAAGTGATGGGGAGAATGGAACCAAGTTGGAAAACACTCTTCAGGATATTATCCAGGAGAACTTCCCCAATCTAGCAAGACAGGCCAACATTCAAATTCAGGAAAAACAGAGGACAACACAAATACTCCTCTAGAAGAGCAACCCCAAGACACATAATTGTCAGATTCACCAAGGTTGAAATGAAGGAAAAAATGTTAAGGGCAGCCAGAGAGAAGGGTTGGGTTACCCACAAAGGGAAGCCCATCAGACTAACAGCGAATCTCTCTGCAGAAACCCTACAAGCCAGAAGAGAGTTGGGGGCCAATATTCAACGTTCTTAAAAGAATTTTCAACCCAGAATTTCATATCCAGTCAAAGTAAGCTTCATAAGCGAAGGAGAATTAAAATCCCTTATAGACAAGCAAGTGCTGAGAGATTTTGTCACCACCAGGCCTGCCTTACAAGAGCTCCTGAAGGAAGCAGTAAATATGGAAAGGAAAAACCAATACCAGTCACAGCAAAAACATACCAAAATGTAAAGACCATAGACACTATGAAGAAACTGCATCAACTAATGGGCAAAATAACCTTCGAGCATCATAATGACAGGATCAAATTCACACATAACATTATTAACCTTAAATGTAAATGGGCTAAAAGCCCCAAATAAAAGACACAGACTGACAAATTGTATAAAGAGTCAAGACCCATCAGTGTGCTGTATTCAGGAGACCCATCTCACGTGCAAAGACACACATAGGCTCAAAATAAAGGGATGGAGGATTACTTACCAAACAAATGGAAAGCAAAAAGAAAAGCAGGACGTGTAATCCTAGCCTCTGATAAAACAGACTTTAAACCAACAAAGATCAAAAAAGACAAAGAAGGGCATTACATGAAAGTAAAGGGATCAATGCAATAAAAAGAGCTAACTATCCTAAATATATATGCACCCAATACAGGAGCACCCAGATTCACAAAGCATGTTCTTAGAGACCTACAAAGAGACTTAGACTCCCACATAATAGTGGGAGACTTTAACACCCCACTGTCAATATGAGATCAACGTGACAGAAAATTAACAAGGATATTCAGGACTTGAACTCAGCTCTCAACCAAGCAGGCCTAATAGACATCTGCAGAACTCTCCACCCAAATCAACAGAATATACATTCTTCTCAGCACCACATCGCACTTATTCTAAAATTGACCGCATAATTGGAAGTAAAACACTCCTCAGCAAATGCAAAAGAACAGAAATCATAGCAAACAGTGTCTCAGACCACAGTGCTATCAAATTAGAACTTGGGATTAAGAAACTCACTCAAAACTGCACAACTACATGGAAACTGAACAACCTGCTCCTGAATGACTGCTGGGTAAATAATGAAATGAAGGCAGAAATAAAGATGATCTTTGAAACCAATGAGAACAAAGACACAGCATACCAGAATCTCTGGGACACAGCTAAAGCATTGTTTAAAGGGAAATTTGTAGCACTAAATGCCCACAGAAGAAAGCAGGAAAGATCTAAAATCGACACTCTAACATCACAATGAAAACAACTAGAGAAGCAAGAGCAAACAAATTCAAAAGCTAGCAGAAGACAAGAAAAAAACTAAGACCAGAGCACAACTGAAGGAGATAAAGATAAAAAAAAAATCCTTCAAAAAATCAATGAATCCAGGAGCTGGTCTTTTGAAAAGGCTAACAAAATAGATAGACCACTAGCCAGACTAATAAAGAACAAAAGAGAGAAGAATCAAATAGACACAATAAAAAATGATAAAGGAGATATCAGCACTGATCCCACATAAATACAAACTACCATCAGAGAATAAACACCTTTATGCAAATAAACTAGAAAATCTAGAAGAAATAAATAAATTCCTGGACACATACACCCTCCTAAGACTAAAGCAGGAAGAAGTCGAATCCCTGAATAGGCCAGTAACAAGTTCTGAAATTGAGGTAGTAATTAATAGTTTACTAACCGAAAAAAGCCTGGGTCCAGATGGATTCACAGCCAAATTCTACCAGAGGTAATAAGAGAAGCTGGTACCATTCCTTCTGAAACTATTCCAAACAATAGAAAAAAAAGGGACTCCTCCCTAATTCATTTTATGAGGCCAACATCATCCTGATACCAAAACCTGGCAGAGACACCACAAAAACAGAAAATTTCAGGCCAATATCCCTGATGAACATCGATGCTAAAATCCTCAATAAAATACTGGCAAACTGAATCCAGCAACACATCAAAAAGCTTATCTATCATGATCAAGTTGGCTTCATCCCTGGGATGCAAGGCTGGTTCAACATATGCAAGTCAATAAACGTAATCCTTCACATAAACAGAACCAATGACAAAAACCACATGATTATCTCAATAGATACAGAAAAGGCCCTTGATAAAATTCTACACCCCTTCATTCTAAAAACTCTCAATAAACTAGGTATTGATGGAACGTATCTCAAAATAATAAGAGCTCTTTATGACAAACCCACAGCCAACATCATAATGAATGAGCAAAAGCTGGAAGCATTCCCTTTGAAAAGCAACACAAAGCAAGGATGCCCTTTTTTACCACTCCTATTCAACATAGTATTGGAAGTTCTGGCCAGGGCAATCAAGCAAGAGAAAGAAATAAAGAGTATTCAAATAGGAAGGGAGGAAGTCAAATTGTCTCTGTTTGCAGATGATATGATTGTATATTTAGAAAACCCCATCATCTCAGCCCCAAATCTCCTTAAGCTGATAAGCAACTTCAGCAAAGTCTCAGGATACAAAATCAATGTGCAAAAATCACAAGCATTCCTATACACCAGTAATAGACAAACAGAGATCCAGATGATGAGTGAACTTCCATTCACAATTGCTACAAAGGGAATAAAATACCTAGGAATACTACCCACTTACAAGGGATGTGAAGGACCTCTTCAAGGAGAACTCCAAACCCCTGCTCAAGGTAATAAGAGAGGACACAAACAAATGGAAAATATTCCATGCTCATGGATAGGAAGAATCAATATTGTGAAAATGGCCATACTGCCCAAAGTAATTATAGATTCAATGCTATCCTCATCAAGCTACCATTGACTTTCTTCACAGAATTAGAAAAAACTACTTTAAATTTCATATGGAACCAAAAAAGAGCCCATATAGCCAAGACAATGCTAAGCAAAAAGAACAAAGCTGGAGGCGTCATGCTACCTGACTTCAAACTATACTACAAGGCTGCAGTAACCAAAACAGCATGGTACGTGTACCAAAACAGATATATAGACCAATGGAACAGAACAGGGCCTCAGAAATAACACCACACATCTACAACCATCTGATCTTTGGCAAACCTAACAAAAACAAGCAATGGGGAAAGGATTCCCTATTTAATAAGTGGTGTTGGGAAAACTGGCTAGCCATATGCAGAAAACTGAAACTGGACCCTTTCCTTACACCTTATACAAAAATTAATGAAGATGGATTAAAGACTTAAACATAGGACCTAAAGCCATAAAAACCCTAGAAGAAAACCTAGGTAATACCATTCAGGACATAAGCATGGGCAAAGACTTCATGACTAAAACACCAAAAGCAATGGCAACAAAAGCCAAAATTGACATATGGGATCTAATTAAACTAAAGAGCTTCTGCACAGCAAAAGAAACTATCATCAGAGTGAAGAGGCAACCTACAGAATGGGAGAAAATTTTTGCGATCTATCCATCTGACAAAGGGCTAATATCCAAAATCTACAAAGAACTTAAACAAATTTACAAGAAAAAAACAACCCCATTGAAAAGTGGGCAAAGGATATGAATAGACACTTCTCAAAAGAAGACATTTATGTGGCCAACAAACATGAAAAAAAGCTCATTATCACTGGTCATTAGAGAAATGCAAATCAAAACCACAATGAGATACCATCTCACACCAGTTAGAATGGCGATCATTACAAAGTCAGGAAACAACAGATGCTGACGAGGCTGTGAAGAAATAGGTACACTTTTACAGTGTTGGTGGGAGCGTTAGCTCAACCACTGTGGAAGTTCAACCAGTGTGGCGATTTCTCAAGGATCTGGAACTAGAAATATCATTTGACCCAGCATTTCCATTACTGGGTGTATACCCAAAGGATTATAATTCATTCTACTATAAAGACACATGCACACATATGTTTATTGCAGCACTGTTCACAATAGCAAAGACTTGCAACCAACCCAAATGCCCATCAATGATAGACTGGATAAAGAAAATGTGGTACATATACACCATGGAATACTATGTAGCCCTAAAAAAAGATGAGTTCATGTCCTTTGCAGGGACATGGATGAAGCTGGAAACCATCATTCTCAGCAAACTAACACAGGAACAGAAATCCAAACGCTGCATGTTCTCACTCATAAGTGGGAGTTGAGCAATGAGAAAACATGGACACAGGGAGGGGAACATCACACACTGGGGCCTTTTGGGGAGTTGGGGGCTAGGGGAGGGATAACATTAGGAGAAATACCTAATGTTATTTCTCCTAATATTATTTCAGCCTAATGATGGGTTGATGGGTGCAGCAAACCAGCATGGCCCATGTATACCTATGTAACAAACCTGCATGTTCTACACATGTATCACAGAACTTAAAGTATGTATATATAAAAAAAATCAAAGCCAACAGGGAATACAGCTGAAGAATGTGCTGTAAGAAGACAGAGAAAACAAATAGAACTTGGAACTCTGGGAGCTTTGTTCATCTGTATGTATTGGGAGCCAATTAAATAGTGAGAACAAAAGCACCAGAGAGCACAAAAGTTGAAAGATTCAACTATAAAGTGTTGTTTTAGGTGAGCAGGGAAATAATCTGTTTATTTTTAAATTAGTATTTTTTCTCTTATTGTCATACTTTGGAGAAATGTTTTTGTAGTGGCTCCTAGAAGCAAGGTCCTTTTATAGACATTGGAATGTATCTGTGATCTAGCAGGGGTGTGGTGTGGCCTGAGATCAAGCTAGGAGACTGCTTGTTTCTTCTAGATTTTCAGTCATTGTTAGGACTGTGATGAGAAGCTGTTAGGGAAAACAGTGTTTAAACAAAAGGCAGGAGACACAGGCTAGGCTGTGAACTACAGGTGGTGGGCTCTTTTCCCTGTGTCCCTTCTTCTGGCTATGAGCACCCTGGTCTCTGGTTTTGTCTCTCTAGTTAAAAACACAAGTGTAGTCCAGGTTTTTATGGGGCTGACAAGTTGTAAACAAAAATTACAAAATGTTAAGTGTCAGTAAAGAAATGAAAGAGAGATGTTTGATAGGACATAAGTTTGGGAGAGTACAGTCTTAGGTAAGACGGCCAAGAAAGATCGACCTGGAGTGGGTGACATTTGGTCTGAGACTTGAATGGCAAGACAAAGAATATCTGCAAAGGCTCTCAGGTGGGAATGAACTTGAAATTTTCTATAAGTAGGAAAAAAGTACAAGTAAGAGCAAATGGAAAGGTGAGGAAGAGATTAAAGTCATTCAAACCGCAGCATAGCTAACTGACTAACTCCCAACTCCTTGCCTTTCTCCAATATCCTTGGGGTTAGAGAAACAACAGCCTGCATCAACAAAACATAGTACTCATTCATTCTTTCAAGGGAATAATTTATAACTGCAGCAGCTTTTGGTAGAACATGAAATTTATGTTCCTGGAAAATTTCCTATTTTAGAAAATTATATACTAAACATAACAGGGTTGTGAGAATATAGAATTAGGGCAGACCACTTCAAACCAATGTAATTTTGTAACCACAGCATTAACAAAAATAATGGTATCTGAAGGCATAACAATGGGGGGCTGCCTCATGGAATATTAAAAATGTGTAAGCAAGAGAGAACAGCAGTGAGAGGTTGAGCCCAGAGAGGAAGAACAAAGAACAAAGACAATCGGTAACAGCCTACAACATGGATCGTGAGAAAGCCTATTGAGGAAGACATTCAGCTTCTGGTAAAGGAACTGAACATCTGAAACAATCCATAAGACTATAAAGAGGCTGACTGATCATGGAATCTGAAGAAAGAGGTCATTTATTAAATGTGTCAAAAGTTAAATAGTATTTTCTCAAGTCCAGCTACTCTAGAGAGAGTAAAATCACAGGTGTACATTCTATCAACATGCTCTACTTTCAGCTTTCTAATGAGTAAGGAAGGAGTGAACAGAAAAGGTTCAGGCCTCAAAGTGTCTAGGAATTTCTGGTTTTACTTACCTGGAGCTCTCAGCTGCTGTGTAAGGATTGTAGCTGCCCTGCCGAATAAACCAGTTATAGAGAGCGGCCCAGGCAGGACCACTGTGTTCTGGCTTTCCCAATCATGAGTGACTTTGGATTATCCAGCCCCAGTTGAGCCTGCAGATGACTGCAGCTGCCTGAGTAACCTGAAGATGAGTAGAAGAACCACCCAGCTGAGACCATTCCAGAGTGAAGAACTGATAGAAAGATCAAAATAAAGGCATGTGATTAAAAATGAAAACAAAATGAACTGGTGTAATAGGATCAGCAAAGCTGAAATTACATATGCCTGAGGATTACAGCAAGTTACTCCTCAGGTTAAAGGTAAGGAGAAATGAAATTAGGTAGATTCAAAATGTAATGGATGAGTTCAGCCACATGTACAAATGTACAGCAAACTAAATTATCTTCAAATATTAACTGACAAATTTGAAAATTTTCCAAAATCTAATCAGTGTGGCTTGTATTAACTTCGGGGAGGCGTGTTAGATGTTGCAACTAGGAAAATGTTAGGCAGGGGTCAGAAATTCAAATTCCTAAAGAGATCATGCAGATAATATAAATGCAGATAATATGATCATGCAGATAATATGAAGCTGAGCCTTATAAAAACAATGATAACAACCAATGGAATGGGGGGAATATTTGCAAATCATATACCTGATAAGGGTCTAATATCTAGTGTATATAAAGAACTTCTATAGCCCAACAACAAAAACCAAGTAACCCAATTGAAAAACAGGCAAAGGACTTGACAGACATTTCTTTAAAGAAGATATACAAATGGTCAATACATACACGAAAAGATACTCAACCTCACTTGTTATCAGGGAAATGCAAATCAAACCCACGTTTAGATGCTACTTCACACTGAGGAAGATGGCTATTATCTTAAAAAAATACACAGAATAAGTGTTAGTGAGGATGTGTGGAGAAATTGAAACCTTTGTGCCCTGTTGGTGAGAATATAAAATGGCATAGCTGCTACTGGAAAACAGTATAGGGGTACCTCAAAAAATTAAAAATAGAACTAACTTATATCAACCAGGCACAATGGCTCATGCCTATAATCCCAGTGCTTTGAAAGGCCAAGTGGAGAGGATGGCTTGAGGCCAGGAATTCAAGACCAGCCTGGGTAACATAAGAATAACCCATCTCTACAAAAAAATAAAAAAAAATTTAGCCAGGCATGTTGTTGCACACCTGTCGTCCCAGCTACTTGTGAGGCTGACGTAGGAGGATCGCTTGAGTCCATGAGTTCAAGGTTACAGTGAGCTGTGATCATGCCACTGCACTCCAGCCTGGGTGACAGAGTGAGACCCCATTTCTTTAAAAGAAAAAAAAAAAACACTGTATGATCCAGAAATTCCACTTCTAGATATATGCCTCAAAGAATTGAAGAAGGGACTTGAATGTATTTGTAGATCTGCTCAGGCTGCTATAACAAAATACCGTGGACTGGATAATTTATAAACAACAAAAAGTTATTGCTCACAGTTATTGAGGCTGGGAAGTCAAAAATCAAGATGCAGGCAGATTTAATGTCTGGTGAGGGCCTATGTCCTCACAGTTGGTGCCCTCTATGGGGCCTCACATGACTAAAGGGGCTAACAAGCTCCCGTGGGTCCTTTTTAAATGGCACTAATCCCAATCATGAGGATGGAACTCTCATGATCCAATCACCTCCTAAAGGCCCTACCTCTTAATACTATCACATTGTGGAATAGATTTCAACATACAGATTTTGAGGGGACACACACATTCAGATCATAGCAGGTAGGAAGAATTATTTTGTCATTGAATTCTTTCAAGAAGACCACATCAATTACCATTTTTCAGAATGAACTGCATATAAGTTAACTAATCAGAACAAACAGAAAGTTTATTAGTTCATTGGAAATGTCTAAGGGAAAACTTTAAAAGGTTATAATTCTATGGTGAGTGGCCATGAAAACTAAATAATAATTACATTATCTGTTTTGTTCAGTGGGAATATCTGCTTAAATCAGAAATACACTTTTCAGGCTAGCTCTATGGTTTTCTCTGGCGAAGTATTTTCTATCATGTATTCTGAAAAATAGTCACTTTCAGTGTTGCTAATAAGCATTAAGTAAGTAGAGTCCATAACCAACTAAGTCTGGGAAGTACTGATTAAGCAGAGTCAAACACATATCTTTACTATTACGCCTCTAAGAATTTTAATATTTTAACGTGACTTGTGAATTTCCCAGAAAAGGATATGGTGTGCATCATTTACCAAAGTCATTTGTCCAGAATTCTAGGTGAGATGGCATTCTAAAAACATATTGTGTGAAATTCCAATCTATTTTGCATGACTTGGAAGTAAATAAACCATCCTGTCTCCCTCGTTTCTTCCCTTCCTTCCTTCCTTCCTTTCCCTTCCTCTCTACCTCCCTTGACCTTGAGAACAAGTGGAAACAAGCCTATATGTTGACATCCTAACTTCAACATGTCATTATCTAAATATTCGTAAAACTCACCATGTTTATAGGATATATTATGATGTACAAATCAAGTAGTATGAACAAACTGCAATTTTTAAAAAATTGTGGACGTAACTAAGGCTGAGGTGTCCAGTACAGAGATTAAGGGTGAATTATGCCAGAGCATAGGTGAAATTTAGCAGTTTTGTATTCAGTATCATAGTGTTTGGAAAATGGTTACTTGAATGTAATATTGTACTTTCGATTTCCGTCAATGGTCAGTTAACATTTGTGCTCATCCCAAAATTCCATTTTGCCTACTTATTTACTAGTTTCAGTTTTGTGTGTAAAGGTTTTTGCCAGTGGCACACTCAATGATGAGAACATTTTTGACAACATGTCACATTATTTTATGCATTTTTGCCAGTCAGATTGTATGAGAAAATTGAATCCCAAACTAAGCATGAAATCACCTATCTTAAAAGATCTAAGAGTGAGCTTATTTTAAATTTGAAATACTTATTTGATTTCATTAGATTTTTCTCTACTGTTGCTTCCTCTGGGAATACACTCCAAACGAAGTTAGCAGTTGGCTAAGGGAATAGCATGTGAGACCAGCAAATTTGTATGTTCTAAAGAAGCTTAAAATATTCTGTAGCTTGCCTTAAAATATAATATACATAATTTATGTCTATGGCCCTGTATGCTAATTCTTATTTTTGCCAGAGATTGAGAGCCACTGAGCTATATTAAAGGAAAAAAAAACAGTAGGACAGTCTACAATGCAGATATCTAGGCATTCAAATGAATTGTCTTTAAACTAACTCTTCAGTCCCTAGCAGGTGAATAGAAGCTAGGTGGATAATTTTAAAGCACTAATTTATCTTTAGTTTCTTTCTTCTCATATTACTGTTAAGCTTCTGTAAATTTTATATGAATTAACGCATTCATATGTTATAGTAGTACCTCATCTTTAGAGATGGTAGTTTCTATAGCTCAATAGATAAACGCTGAAACTCCTACTTCAGTGTCCCATAGTACTTTGTACATATCTTTATTATAGCACTTCTCGCAATATATTACAATTACGTAATTATATCCTCACCCTGTAGGTAAGATATAGGTGTAATTTACTTTGTACTACCAGTACCTTGGACAGTGCCTCAGACAGTGCCTCCAATGTGGTTGATTCTCTTGTTGTTGTTGTTGTTGAATTAACAGATCTGTATTTCAAACTTTGTGGATGATGCATGCTTGCCCAATAGATTTTAATTGTTTTTGCATGATTGTTCGTATCTTAACATTAATACACTATTTTTAAAGCGGTTTTAGTTTCACAGCAATATTGAACAGAAACAAAGTATTCCCTTAAACCTTCTTCCTTTCCCCACAAACTCCCCCACTAACATCCCTCACCACAGTGGTACATTTATTACAACTGATGAACCTTATATTGACGCAATGTTACCACCTAGAGTCCATAATTTACATCAGGGTTCACTCATGGTTTTTCACATTCTATGGATTTGGATAAATGAATGATGACATGTGTTCATCATTGTAATATCGTGAAGAATAATTTCACTGATCTAAATATCCCCCGTGCTCTGCCTATTCATTTCTCCCTCTATGCTAACTCCTGGCAGACACCAATATTTTTACTATCTTCATAGTTTTGTCATTTCCAGAATGTATAATAATTGGATTATACAGTGTGTAGCATTTTTTTCAGGTTGGCTTCTTTCACTTAGCAATATGCATTTAAGTTTTCTTCATGGCTTTCCATGGCTTTATAGTTCTTTTATTTTAATAGCGCTGAATAATATTCCATTGTCTGGATGTATGGCAGTTTATCCATTCATCTACTGAAGAACATCTTGGTTGCTTCCAAGTTTTGGCAATTTATCAATAAGGATGCTATAAACATTCATGTGCAGGTTTTTGTGTGAGCATAATTTTTAAATTTATTTGGGTAAATGTTAAGGACTTCAATTGCTGGATTGAATGGAAAGATTGTGTTTAGTTTTATAAGAATCTGCCAAACTGTCTTCCAAAATGGTTATAGCATTTTGCATTCTCACCAGCAGTGAATGAGAGTTTGCTCTATATCCTTATCAGCATTTGGTGTTGTCAATGTTTTGAATTGTGTTCCTTCTAATAGGTGTGTGCTAGCATTTTATTGTTATTTTAAATTGCCATTTTTTTTTTGGATGGAGTTTCACTCTTATTTCCCAGGGTGGAGTACAGTGCACAATCTCAGCTTACTGCAACCTCCACCTCCCGGGTTCAAGGGATTCTCCTGCCTCAGCCTCTTGAGTAGTTGGGATTATAGGCATGTGCCACCACATTCAGCTAATTTTTTTCTACTTTTACTAGAGATGGGGTTTCACCGTATTGGCCAGGCTGGTCTCAAACTCCTGACCTCAAGTGATCCACTCATCTTGCCCTCCCTTAAATTGCAATTTCTTATCAACATATACATATTTTCATACACTTAATCCTCATCTGTATATCTTCTTTGGTAAGGTTTCTGTTTAGGTCTTTTGACAATTTTTAAATTGGGTCATTTATTTTCTTATTGTTGAGTTTTGAGAGTTCTTTGTGTATTTTGGATAACTGTCTTTTATTGGCTGTGCCTCTAGCAACTATTTTCTCCCAGTCTCCAGCTTGTTTTCTCATTCTCTTGGCATTATCTTTTATAGATCAGAAGACGTAAACATAAGCTAGGATGCAATCTAGCTTATCAATCTTTTTTTCATTGGTTATGACTTTTGTTCTATATTTAAAAAGTCTTTGCCATACCCTAGGTCATCTGAATTTTCTTCTATGTTATCTTCTAGGAGTGTGACAGTCTTGCATTTTACATTTATTCTGTTATCTATTTTGAGTTGTTTTTTTTTTGAATGATGTAAAATCTGTATTTACATTCAAATTTTTTGCATGTGTACATCCACTTGTTCCAGCACCATTCATTGAAATGATTGTCTTTGCTCCTTTGTATTGCCTTTGATCCTTTGTCAAAGATCAGTTGACTATATTTATGTGTATCTACTCTCAATTCTCCATTCTGTTCTATTGATTAATTTATTCTTTCACCAATATCACACTATCTTGATTACTGTAACTATACTAAGTCTTGGGGTTGGATAGTTTCAGTCATCCACTTTGTTCTTCTCCTTTAATATTATATTGGCTATTCTGGCTCTTTTCCCCTCCACGTGATATAGTTTGAATATTTGTTCCCACTAAAATCTCATGTTGAATTTTAATCTCCAGTGTTGGAGGTGGGCCTGGTGGGAGGTGTTTAGATCACGAGGGCAGATCCTGCATGGCTTGGTGCTGCCATCATGATAGCGAATTCTTGTGAGATCTGGTCACTAAAATGTGTGTGGCTCTTCTCCCCCCAATCTCTGGCTTGCTCCTGCTTTCACCATGTGATGTGCTTGCTCCCGCTTTGCCTTCTGCCATGATTATAAGCTTCCTGAGGCCTCCCTAGAAGCTGAGAAAGTGCCAGCGCCATGCTTCCTGTAAATCCTGCAGTACCATAAGCAAATTAAACCTGTTTTATTTATAAATTACCCAATCTCAGGCATTTCTTCATAGCAATGAGAGAATGGCCTAACACACCACATAAACCTTAGAATCAATTTGTCTATATCCACAAAGTAACTTGCTGGAACTTTGATTGGTACTTCATCAAATTTATAGATCAAATTGGGAAGACCTGATACCTTGACCATATTGTGTCTTTTTATTCATCATAATGGAATATCTCTTGATTTATTGAACTCTTGATTTCATTCATTGGAATTTTGCAGTTTTCCTTGTATAGATCTTATGTACATTTTGTTATACTTATAGTTAAGTATTTAATTTTTAAGTGCTAATGTAATTTTAGTATGTTTTAAATTTTAAATTCCACTTGTTTATTGCTAGTATACAGGAAAGCAATGTATTTTTGCATATTAACCTTGTATCCTGCGATTTTCCTGTGATAGCTTATTGTTATAAGGGTTTTTGTCTTGATTCTTTTGAATTTCCTACATAGGCAATCATCATTGGTAAACAAAAAGTTTAATTTATTCCTTCTAATTTGTATACCTTTTATTTATTTATTTCTCCCCCCGCTCAGTTTCATTTGCTAGGACTTACAGTATGATAAGCCGTGGTTAGAGAGGACATCCTTGCCTTGTTCCTGATCTTAGGGGAAAGCTTCCATTTTCTTACTATTAAATATGATGTTGGCTGTAGGCTTTTATAGGTGTTCTTTATGAAGTAGAGGAAGATTCCCTCTATACCTAATATGCTGAAAGTTTTAAATCAGTAATGGGTGTTAGAGTACGTTAAATGCTTTTTTCTGTGTCTATTGATATAATCATGTGATTTTTCTTCTTTAGCCTGTTGATTGGATTACATTAATTGATTTTCAAATGTTGAACCAGTCTTCTCACATACCTGAGATAAATCCCACTTGATAGTGATGTGCAATTTTTTTTTACTTTTTTTGATTCAATTTGCTAATATTTTGTTGAATATTTTGTTTTTATATTTGCAGAATATATTGGTTTCTAGTTTTCTTGTATAATAGTTGTCTGGTTTTGGTATTGGGTTAATGCTAAACTTAGGAATTAGGGAGTATTCCCTCTATTTCTATCTTATGGAAGAGATTGTAGAAAATTGGTATAATTTCTTTTTTAAGTGTTTGGCAGAATTCATAAGTGAGCCCACCTGGGCCTAGTGCCTTCCATTTTAGTAGGTTATTAATTATTTATTTAATTTATTTAATAGGTATAAACCTATTCAGATTGTTTATTTCTCCTTATGTAAAGATTACATACAGATTGTGTTTTTCAAGGAATTAATCCATTTTATCTAGTTTATCAAATTTGTGAGCATAGAATTATTCCTAATATTCTTTTTTTGTTTTTTTTTTAATATCAATGGGATATGTAGTGGTGTTCCTTTTAATCATTTCTAATACTAGTCATTTGTGTCATCTCTTTCTCTCTTAAAGTAGCCTGGCTAGAGGCTTATCAATTTTCTTTCCTTTTTAAAAAATAAACCTTGAATTTGCTGACATACAGTCTTTTCAATTTTGTTGATCTTTTTCACAATAGCCACAAAAAGAATAAAATAGCTAGGAATACAGCTAACCAGGGAGGTGAAAAATCTTTACAACAAGAATTTCAAAACACTGCTCAATGAAATTAGAGATGATACAAACAAAGGAAAAAACATTCCATGTTCATGGATAGAAAGAATCAAAATTGTTAAAATGGACATACTGCCCAAAGAATTTTAAATATTCAGTGCTATTCCTATCAAACTACCAATGACATTCTTCACAGAATTAGAAAAAAAAAACTATTTTAAAATTCACATTAACAAAAAAAAAGAGTTCAAATAGCCAAAGCAATTCTAAGCAAAAAAAAAAAAAAATAAAATAAAATAAAGCCAGAGACATCACATTGCCTGACTTCAAAGTATACAAGGCTGCAGTAACCAAAACAGTACCATATGGTACTGCTCAAAAAACAGACATATAGACCAATGAAACAGAATAGAGAGCCCAGACATAAGGCCACACTCCTACAACCATCTAATCTTCAACAAAGTCAACAAAAACAAACAATGGGGAAAGGACTACCCATTCAATAAATGCTGCTGGGATAACTGGCTAGCCATATGCAAAAGTTTGAAATGGGACCCCTTCCTTACATCATATACAAAAATCAACTCAAGGTGGATTAAAGACCTAAATTTAAAACCTAAAACTATACAAACCCTGGAAGTTAACCTAGGAAATACCATTCTGGACATAGGATCTGGTGACGATTTCATGACAGAGATGCCAAAAGCAATTGCAACAATAGTTTTTTTTTTTTTTTTTTTGAGATGGAGTCTCAGACTGTCACCTGGGCTGAAGTGCAATGGCACGATCTTGGCTCACTGCAACCTCCACCTTCCAGGTTCACACAATTCTGCTGCCTCAGCCTCTGGAGTAGCTAGGATTACAGGCACATACCACCAAACCCGGCTAATTTTTTGTATTTTTAGTAGAGACTGGGTTTCACTGTGTTGGCCAGACTGGTCTTGAACTCCTGACCTTGTGACCCACCCACCTCAGCCTCCCAAAGTGCTGGGATTACAGGCATGAGCCACTGTGCCCATCTGCAACAACAGCAAATATTGACAAACGGGATCTAAGTAAACTAAAGAGCCTCTGCACAGCAAAAGAAACTATCAACAAAGTAAACAGACAACCTACAGAACGGGAGAAAATATTTGCATCCTATGCAGCTGACCAAGGTCTAATGTTTAGCATCTATAAGGAACTTAATAAGCAAAAAAAAGCAACCCCATTAAAAAGTGGGCAAAGGACATGAACAGACATTTTTCAAAAGACATACGTAGCCAATAAGTATGTAAAAAAATGCTCAACATCACTAATTATTAGAGAAATGCAAATTGAAACCACAATCACATACCATCTTATACCAGTCAGAATGGCTATCATAATAAAGTCAAAATATAGCAGATGCTTGTGAGGTTGCACAGAAAAGGGTATGCTTATACACTGCAGGTGGGAATGTAAATTAGTTCAGCCATTATGGAAAGCAGTTTGGTGATTTCACAAAGAACTCAAAGCAGAATTACCATTTGGCTCAGCAATCCCATTATTGGATTTATACCCAAAGGAAAATAAATTGTTCTACCATAAAGACACATGCATGCATATGTTCCTTACAGCACTATTCACAATAGCAAAGACGTGGAATCAACCTAAATGCCCATCAATGATAGACTGGATAAAGAAAATGTGGTACATATACACCATGGAATACTATGTAGCCATAAAAAAAAACAAGATCATGTCCTTTGCAGCAACATGTATGGAGCTATAGGCCATTATCCTAAGTGAACTAACTTAGGTATGGAAAACCAATACTGCATGTGGGAGGATGCAGTATTTTTTTCCTTTGTGTCCATATGTACTGAATGTTTAGCTTCCACTTTTGGGAGGTAAAGGAACAACATACACTGGGGCCTACTAGAGGGTGGAGGGAGGGAGGAAGCTGAAGATAAAAAAACTAACTATTGGGTACTGTGCTTATTACTTGGATGGTGAAATAATCTGTACACCAACCTCACACGACATATAATTTACCTATATAACAAACCTGCACATGTACCCCTGAGCCTAAAATAAAGGTTTTTTTTAAAAAAGAACCAGGTTTTGGTCTCAGTGTTTTTCTCTATTGATTTGTTTGCAGTTTTTTTTTTTTGCTCTAATTTTTGTTATTTCTTTTCTTCAGCTTACTTTGGATTTATTTTCTTTTCTTGCTTTTAGATTTCTAAAATAGGAGGTTAGATTATTGACCTTAGGTCTTTCTTCTTTTCAAATACATGCCTTCGATACTATGAATTTCCTTCTAAGCACTGTATTCACTGCATCCCCCAGATTTTAAGTTTTATTTTTATTTTTACTTAATTCAAAATATTTTTAAATTTGTCTTGATATTTCTTTTTTCATACATTTGTGATTTAGAAGTGCATTGCTTAATCTCTAAGCATTTTAGGATTTTCCAGCCATCTTTCTGTTATTAATTTCTAGTTTAATTCCATTGTAGTCTAAGAGCAGAAATTCTATAATTTCTTCTCTTTAAGCTTGTTAGGATGTGTTTTATGACTTAGAATGTTATCTGTATTGGTGAATGTTCCAAATGAGTTTGAGAAGAGTGTGAATTCTGCTGTTATTAGGTGTAATCTATAGATGTCCATTATATACAGTTAATTGATAGTGTTGTTGAATTCAACTGTGTCCTTACTGATATTCTGCCTACTGGATCGATCCATTTCTAATAGAGGAATATTGAAGTCTCCAACTATAATAGTGGATTACTCTATTTCTCCTTAAAGTTCTAACCATTTTTGTCTCATGTATTTGGATGCTTTTTTGTTAGGCAAATACATGATAATGATTACTACATCTTCTTGGAAAATTGACCCCTTTATTATTATGTAATGTATCTCTTGATTCCTGATAATTTATTTGCTTTGAAGTCTTCTCTGTCTCAAATTAATATAGCAATCCCAGTTTATTTTGATTTTTGTTCACATGATATATCGCACTCTGTTTATTTACCTTTGATGTATATGTGTCTTTATAGTAAATTTCTTGTAGACAACATATAATTGGGCCTCACTTTTTGATCACTCTGACAATCTTTGTGTCAAACTTTTGGCCTCAAATGATCCTCTTGCCTCAGCCTCCCAATGTGCTATAATTACAGGTCACTGTGCCCAGATATTTGTCTTTGAATTGATGCATTTAGACCATTCATATTCAAAGTGATTACTGATATAATTGGATTAATATCTACCATTTTTTTTTTACTGTTTTCTATCTGTTGCCCTTGTTCTTGGCCCTATTTTTGTCCTCTACTCTTTTTCTGCCTTTTATGGTTTTAATTGAGCATTTAATATACTTTTCTCTCCTTTGTTAGCATATCAATTATATTTCTTGTTTTATTTTCTTTATGGGTTGCCCTAGAGTTTGCAATATACCTTTACAACTAATTTAAGCTAACTTTTAAATAACTCTATACAACTTCACAGGTAGTGAAAGTGCTTTGTAATAACAAGATAATCCTAATTCCTTCTTCCTGTCCCTTGCATTATTGCTGTCACTCATTTTACTTATACATGTAGATTTGAATAAGTTGTTGATACTATTTTGAACAAAATGTTATCTGTCAGATCAATTGAGAATAAGAAATATAAAAGTTTCTATTTTACCTTTACTTTTCCTTCTCTGATGCTCTTCCCTTCTTTTCATAGACCTGAATTTCTGACCAACATTATTTTACTTTTCTCTAAATAACTTCTCTTAACATTTCTCACAAGGCATGTCCACAGGCAATAAAGTCCGTCAATATTTGTTTGCCTGAAAAAGACTATTTCTTCTTTATTTTTGAAGGATAATTTTTCGGGCACAGAATTCAAAGTTGTTGTTAGTTTTTTTTCTCAACATTTAAGTCACTTAAATATTTCACTCCACTCTCTTCTTGCTTGCATGGTTTCTGAGGAGAAGTTGGATGTAATTCTTACCTTTGCCCTTCTATAGATGAGGTATTTTTTTCCTCTCTAGCTTCCTTCATGATTTTTTTTCCCTTATTTTGATTTTTTGTATTTTGAAAATGTTATGCCTAGGTGTAGTTTTTCTGGCTTGTAGCCTGCTTGGTGTTCTCTGAACTTCCTGAATCTGTGTTTTGGTATCTCATATTAATTTGGGTAAATTCTCAGTCATAATTGCTTCAAATGTTACCTCTATTCCTTTCTCTCTTTCTGTCATTCCCATTACATGTTACATCTTTTTTAGCTGTCCCACAGTTCATATATATATATATATACACACACACACACACACAGACACACACACATACATTTTTTAAGTCTGTTTTTTCTCTTTGTTTTTTTTTGTTTTTTTTTTTTTTTTTTTTTTTTTTTTAGTTTTGGAGGTTTCTACTGAGATATTCACAAGCTTGGAGATTCTTTCCTCAGCTGTGTCCAGCCTACTGAAAGCCCCTCAAAGGCATTTTTCATTCTGTTGCAGTGCTTTTGATCTCTACCATTTTTTTTTGTTTCCTTTTTAGAATTTTTGTCTCTCTCCTTACATTGTCCATCAGTTCTCACATGCTGTGTACTCTATCCATTAGAGCCCTTAGCATATTAATCATGGTTGTTTTAAATTACTGGTCTGATAAATCCAACATCCATACCATGTCAGGTCTGGTTCTGATGCTTGCTCTGTCTCTTCGAAGTGTGTGTGTTTTTTATTTTAGTATGTATTGTAATTTTTTCTTAATAGCTAGACATGATTTATTGGGTAAAAGGAAGTGTAAATAAGCCTTTAGTAAGATGATTATAAGGTGTAGAGGAGGGAAAGAATTCTATAGTCCTATGATTAGGTCTTTATTAATTCTGTACATCTGGACTGTGAACTTCACACACGGTTCTCAGTATTTCCCCTTCTTCCCCACTTAGGTGGGACAGGATCGAGTGGACTGGTGTTGAGTATTCCCTTCCTCTATGTGGAGGGCGAGAGTCAGCTAGTCTACCTTATTTTCTTTTCCCCAGCTCAGTTAGGCTCAGATAAAATCCCAGCAAGTTAGGCTTTGGTTAAAAATTTCTCCTGAGGGGCAGACCTTGTAAAGAACAGAATGCTCTGAGGTATTCAAAATGGTTCTTTTCCTCTCCCCCTGCTAGAGGAATGAGGGAATTTTAATCTGATATTCACTGGGAGGACCTGGTAGAACTCCTTGAGGTAAATCTCAGAGTAGTATGGGGTTCCCACTATGACTAGGTCACCCCTTCCTCCCCTACTCCAGAGTTTTTAACTCTCAGTTTGTCTACTCCAAGTCTCCAGCAATATACCAATTATAGTTAAGGCTTTCCTAGCCCTGCACTGGTTCCTGCCAAGCTCTGGTATGGTAAGTTGTGATTCTCTGTATCCACCTGTCTGTCTCTTCAATTTTGAGGGCGCTGGTTTGCCCTGTGACCTCACTTCTCTGATGCATCTAAGAAGAATTGTTCATTTTTCAGTTCAGCTTTTTGATTCTTGTGAGGATGAAGTGGTGACTTCTAAGCTCCTTACATGCTAGGCTGGCGCTCTTTTATTTCTTATTGTTTATTTTTAAAGGCATATGTAATCCCCAGTTTCTATTCCTTCTGAGCTCCTAATTATTGCCGTGGAACAATTGTTGAGGAATTGTGAATGACTTTGCTATGGTCTGAAATTCACATGCTGGAACTTAATTCCCAATGTGATCTATTAAGAAGCGGGGCCTTTGGGAAGTGATTAAGTCACGGAGGCAGAGCCCTCACGAATGGGATTAATGCTCTTATAAAAAGGGTTGAGGGAACTTGCTGGCCTTTGGTGCCATGTGAGGACACCGTGTTCCTCCTTTTTGCCATGTGACTGTGCAGCAACAAGGTGCCATTTTGGAAGCAGAGACTGGACTCTTACCAGACACCAAATATGCTGGCTCTTTGATCTTGGACCTTCCAGCCCCTATTACTGTAAGCAATAAATTTCTATTACTTATGAGTTACCCTGTATTGGGTATTTTTTTGTTATAGCAGCCTGAATGGACTGAGACAGAAATTGATACATAGAAGTGGGGTGCTGATGTCACAAATACCAGGAAGGGCTTTTCTAATGAGAGCTCAGAAGAAGAGGAGAGCTATAGAGAAAGCTTCTGTCTCCCTAGAGATTACCAAAGTGTTTGTGACCAGAATGTTGGTAGAAATATGAATATTAATGGCCATTCTGATGAGGTTTCAGATGGAAGAGAGGAATATGTAATTAGATAACGGAGGAAAGGCCATTCTTGTCATAAAGTGGCAAAGAACTGGGCTGAAATTGTGTTCATTTCCTAGTGCTTTGTAAAAAGTAGAATTTGCAAGTGATGCAATAGGATATTTGGTCAAATAAATTTCTAAGCAAAGTGTTGGTGGTGTGGCATGGCTTCTCTTGGCTGCTTAAAGTGCAAGAAGAGACATGTAAATTAATTTAATTTATAAAAATTAATATAATAATTTAATTAACAAATATGATCAAAAGGGAAGCAGAGTTTAAAGATTTGGAAAATTTTCAGCCTACCCATGTTGTAAAGATAAAAAAAGCATGTATGGGAGAAAGCAATAAGGGTTTGGCCAAGCAAACATTTGATAAGATTAGTATGGATATAAGGAAGACAGATGCTATTAATCAAGACAATGGAAGAATGACCCCAAAGGCATTTTGGAGAATGTTGGGGCTACATTCCCATCATAGGTCCAGAGTTCCAGGGCCTTGAGGGCAGAATAGTTTCAAAGCAGATGCCCAGGGGACATCATGACTCACTGTCCAGTGCCATCTCAAGTCTCTGCTCTCTATCCAGATGCAGTGCTCTTTGGCTGCCCCACATGTGGCTCCAGTGGGCCCAGATGCAATGCGGGCTTTAGTAGTCTTCCTTCTGGAGGCCACAAGTGGTAAACCACAGCAGCATTCACATGGTGGTGCATTGTCTGCAGGTGCACAGAATGTAAGGTCTGTGGGTGGATGTAGACCTCCACCTAAATGTCAAAGGATACCATAGAGAGCCCCAGAGCCCAGACAGAGAGCTGAAACATGGGTGAGGGCACCAAGAGATCTCTCACCTGGGCAATGCCTAGTGGAGCCATGGGGTTGAGGCCACAGCAGTGAGTCCCAATTAGGGCAATGCTCAATGGAGTTGTCAGGGGAAGGTTGCTTCTGAGACTCCAGCCTGGTAGGGCCATTAGCGTGCAACTTCAGCCTGGGAGAGCTGCAGGTATTTGACTCCAGTGCATGAGAGCTGAAGCATGGGCTGTGCCCAGCAAAGCCATGGGGGCAGGGCTGTTTGAGTCCTTGGGGGCCCAATCTCCCTCCTCACTGTTTCTGGAAAATAGGACATAAAGTCAAGGAAGGTTATTCTTAAACCTTAGGATTTAATGTTTGCCTTTTTGGGCTTTGGATTTACTTGGGACCAGTTACACCTTTCTTTCTATTTCTCACTTTTGGAATGGAAATATCTATGCTATCCCTGCCCATCATTGTATTTTGGAAGCACATAATTTGTTTGATTTCACAAGTTCACAGGTGGAGAGAAGTTTGCCTACAGATAAATTGTACCTTGAGCGTCACCCATATCCGATTTAGATGATATTTAGATGAGATGCTGGACTTCAGATTTTAAGTTGTGACACTTGGAGCTATTCAGATGGAATAAATATATTTTGCATGTGAAAAGAACTTGCAATTTGGGGGACCAGGGCAGAATGCTATAGTCTGAATGTTTGTTTCCCCCCACCCCAAATTTATATGTTTGAAATTAATCCCCAACATGATGTATTAAGAGGTGGGGCCTTTGAAAGGTGATTAGGTCATGAGGGTGGAGCCCCCATGAATGACATTAGTGCCCTTATTAAAGGATTTGAGAAGCTTGCTTCCCCCTTCTGCCCCTTCTGCCATGTGAGGACACAGCTACAAGGTGTCATCCAGGAAGCAGAGACTGGGTGCCCTGCAGAATTGTGAGCCAAAAATTTCTGTTGTTTCTAAATTACCCAGCCTAAGGTGTTTTTTTTCTTCCACATCAACAAAGCAAAGGCAAATAGTCTAAGGTATTTTTGTTATAGCAGCCCAAATGAATGGAGACAAAGTTTATACATATATCTTATAACACATTGCTTTTCACTAAGTTTATTTCCATATTTTCACAATGTTAAGCTTAACCTATAAAATTTTAGATGATTTGGACTTCATTTATTTTAGTATCTGCCCATGATAAAGACAGCAGATGGCTGACAAACTTCAAATCTGACCTTTTAAAGCCAAAATCAGAAAATGAACTGATCAGAATGTTTTGCACTGCTACTTTTATTTTCCGAAGTCTGAAACTCACATTTCTTCTTAATGTCTTTTTCAGAAACTAAAAAAAAAAATTAACTTTTTCTTTAAATTTGAAAAGTAGTTGGATTGCCTATAATAAAATCAATCCTTTGACAAAGCACGTTCCTTTTCTCCTTACAACAGGGTAACCTTTTAAAGAAATGAGTGTGTAGGAGCTAGAGGTGGTCAGTTCCTATAAGCACATTATAGTTCCTGTCTTAGCTTGGACTAGAAAGTTGAGCATAAAATTCTCACAAACGTTCTTTAGGAAAAGGGCTTTACAATAACTGCTTTATAGCCATATCCTCATGGAATACTGAGGCATTTCTGTTTTCCTGGGTTCTGTGATCACATATCCAAGCTTTCCAGAACAATTCTGTTTTTGTATAGTTTTGTTCTTTCTCAAAGCAGTGCATTAAGGGTTAACAAAAGTGGTCTAAAACTATACCTTTGCATATTGTAAATAAAAATGAATTCAAACATCAGGATAACATATACTGATATTTGGTTTTTCCTTTAGAAAGTAAAAGTGGTAAAGTATTTTACTGTGCAATATGAGGAATATTGTGTTTCTTGTATTCCCTCCCCTCCCCTCCCCTCCCTTCCGCTCCCTCTCTTCCTTTCTTCCTCTCTCTCTCTTTCTCCTTCTTGCTTTTGTTATTCCTATCAATACCTATTTATTAAATACATATGCCAGGTGCCTACAAAATGTGGGTCTTGTTTGTTTATTTTTCAAATTCACTTTCGTTGTATATTAAGGAAATATGGGGGAGGATTAAGAAGCAGAAGCAGTGAAGCACAAAGCAGGCAATAAATTCAGGTGAGGAGACCATGTCTGGTTGATTCTCTCCAAGCCTTTCTAAGGAGTGAACTATGAACTCTAACTCCAGCACACATTTCCACCCCATACAGATCTTTCTGGTGCTCCTTGGGAGGGCTTTGAATCTCTGGTCATTGGAGTGTCTCAGTTAATCTCTACCAAGTTAAGGATCTGGATTCTGCAACTTTCCCTATCAAATTATCTGATCTAGCTCTGGTTTGGGTTCCTGTTCTTGAATTTTTCTTTTCATAGACTCTCGGTTTCTAATTGCAATAATAAATGGTATTTCTCTGCCCCCAGACATCTGCTGTATGAGTCTTGCTTGTAAAGTCTCCCAGGTGAATTCTGACAATAAATGACTCGGTAGCATTACATTTCTCCAGAACGCTTTCAGGTTGAGAAGGAGAGCTCTGGGAAGCTGTTTCTGGTTTGCTTCAGCTGGCTTTGCTTGGATAGAAAAGAAAGTAAGTGGGTCTCTAATTTCTGCTCCTTATCTGCCACTTTTTCTCAAAAGGACAATGTGCCTTTTAGGTGAGGGCTTCTCTAATTTGTGTTTTGGAGACTTTAATATGCTCAGAGCAGGAGTGGTACCTCTGTCTTCTGCACAGTGTCTGGCTGCCAAGGTGATGCTGAAGCTCCTTTCACCACTGCTCCTTATTTAGTGCTGTGCTGCTAGCTTTTCCACTCATCCCATATGACTCATGGGTGAGCCATAGCACCATGCCTTCCACGGTGTACCAGCCTTTGCTTTGATTCATTCTGTGCAGGTTACATAGGGTGTTCTAAGCTCTCCTTGTCCTTTGAGTCTGAGCCTTATTTTTCCTTGCCTGATGAACATTTGGACTATAACACTCACGCTGAGGAAATTGGCCACATTAAGCTAAGTTACTGTCTTTGTTTGTTTGGGCTGCTAGAACAAAATGTCATAGACTGGGTGGCTTATAAACAACAGAAATTGGAAGTCCAAGATCAGAGTGCTGGCAAGACTTGCTGTCTGGTGGGGGCCTACTTCCTGGTTTACAGACAGCTGTCTTTTCCCTGCAACCTCACATGGTAGAAGGGGCAAGGGATCTCTCTCGAGCCTCTTTTATAGGATACTAATCCCATTCATGAGGGCACCACTGTCATGATCTGATCACCTCCCAAAGCCCCCACCTCCTAATACCATCACACTGGCGATTAGATTTCAACATAATTTTGAGGGGACACAAACATCATATCGTAGCAGTTGGAGAAGGAGAGTAAGATATAGAGATACAGAAATAAAGCTGATAATCTGGACTGGGGCTG
This sequence comes from Homo sapiens, assembly GCF_000001405.40. Lineage (NCBI taxonomy): Eukaryota > Metazoa > Chordata > Mammalia > Primates > Hominidae > Homo > Homo sapiens. The sequence continues at coordinate 152,921,653 of NC_000002.12, forward strand.
TGGACCTAAATAGAAGAAAAATGTACTCGACTAAAATTAACAAAAACAGCAAAATAATAATAATAATAACAACAAAAAAAAAGCCTTATCACGGCAAAATGCAATCTGGCATTTCTTATGATCAATCAAGGATGCCTCATATAGTTAAGGTAAGAATACTTTAGAAAGCAGTCAGAAGCATTCGTGTTTTATGATGAGACAAGGGAAGAAACCTGAGACGGCCTTCTGTCAAAATATTACAACTCCAAAGACATCTTTCACGTACAGATGGGAGTCCTTTTGCTATCAGTCAGTGCTTAGCAGAGTTCCTGGCTAGGTCCAAGCTGCGGTTCATGTGTCTGGGAATGTTTAGTCACCTGGTAAGAGAATGGAGGGTGGGTGTGCTTGAATGAACTGACTTCAAGGGTTTTGCTCCATGAAGAAAGGAGAAAATTTTCCTTAAGGGATTAGGGTAGGAGTGGAGGACAGTATAGTATTTGCCTCAGCTGTGTCCTCATACTGGTTTGAAGGACTTGAGTTTGAACCCTGTGGAGAGATGGGCTATAGGCAGAAGCGGAAATATTATTTTCCAGAGAGACTTGAGAGTCAAGGGGCACTTCCATCACTGCATCAGAGGGGAGAGGAGTGTGCACTGAGACTCCAGGGACATCCTGGATGCTTGCTACAGATTTGGAAATCCAAGAGGCAGTTTCTTTAACCCTGCCATTTGTAATATAACAGCCAGTATCGACAGGCCGCTGAGATCTGGGAAGCTTCCCTTAAACTGTATGCCATTATTGGTGCGTAGAGAGATGCTGCGGGTAGAAGTCATGGTGTGCAAAAGAAGCACAGGCCACTCAGCGACTTCGCCATGAAAACAGAAACATCCCAGAAATTCATAGAAATCTTAGAACAGGTATTGGGATTTTTACAATTTGAGGCATGGAGCTTAGAGTCTATTTTATTTAGATCTAAAGATGGTGCTTGGGTTCCTTCCTTCCTCCTTCCCTCCATGTGTCGCTCCTTTCCTCCATCTCTCCTCTAATTCCATCCTCCCTCCATCCCTTTCTTCTTTCCATGATATTAAAAATAAAGTAGACTACAGTTATTTTTTTCTTTACCTCATCTTCAATTTATTTTTTGCTACATTTTTTGTGTTATTGAATGGGCCTTAGGGATTGACTAGACAGTGCCTGAGAACTCTGTCGGCTACATCCTTAAATCAGCCATCCAAGAACTAGGCATATATTGAATTTTTTTGCTTATATTTACCTTCCCTTCCCCTTCCCCTTCCCCTCCCTGCCCCTGCCCCTTCTCTTCTTCTTTCCCTTCCCCTTCCTTTCCCCTTCCCTTCCCCTTCCCTTTGTTTCCCTTCCCTTCCTTCCTTCTGTCCATCTTTCCATCTTTTCTTTTCTCTCTCCTTCCTTCCTTCCTTCGTTCCCTCTCTCCCTTCCTCCCTCCCTCCCTTTCTCTCTCCCTTCCCTTCCCTTCCCTTCCTTTCCCTTCCCCTTCCTTTCCCCTTCCCTTCCTTTCCTTCCTTCTGTCCATCTTTTCTTTTCTCTCCTTCCTTCCTTCTTTCCTTCCTTCCTTCCCTGCCTCACTTTCTCTCTCCCTTCCCTTCCCTTCCCTTCCCTTCCCTTCCCTTCCCTTCCCTTCCCTTCCCTTCCCATTCCATTCCTTTCCATTCCTCTCTTTCCTTCCTCTCTACAGGGTCTTTTTCTGTCACCCAGGCTGGAGTGCCGTGGTGTGATCATGGCTCGCTGCAGCATCTGCCTCTTGGGCTCAAGCGATCCTCCCACCTCAGCCTCCGGAGTAGCTGGAATTCCAGGTGCATGCCATCATACCTGGCAATTTTTTTTTTTTTTTTTTTTTTTTTTTTTTAGTGGAGATAGGGTCTCAGTATGTTGCTCAGGCTGGTCTCGAACTCTTGGGCTCAAGAAATACTCCCTCCTCAACCTCCCAAAGTGCTGGGATTACAGGCATGAGCCACCGTGCCTGGCCCATTCCCTGGGTTTTCTTTGTGCAGCTACCCTGTCATCACTCTAAGTCCAAGTCATGGGGGTGAGGCTGACCCTGACCTTGGCTCCCAGGATTCTCATATGGCACAGGATTTGGCCATGAGAAACTTATTGCTTTGTACTTTTGATGAAGGTGAGAAATAGGTATGCTCTCTTCTGCTGGGACTCCTAACTGGGCAGAATGGAGCTGGAGCTGCTAGTAGCTAATTTTGCCACCACACTGGAAGAAACTGCCTGAAAAGGAAGCCAAGCAGAGGAGAGCAGACCTGAGAGGTGAAGAGCCAGATTCCTGACTACAGTGTTGGACTTTTGGACCCAGCTGTGCCAGATGCGCTTCAGATTTGTAAGTCCACATGGACCTTTTCTTCATAACGAGTTTGAACTAAGTTTCTGCTGCTTGCAGTTCCCTGCCAAACATAGCACCTAAGTCACAGCTCCTGGTGGTGTATTGGGAAGATGATTAGTTGAAGAGCTAATGCCAAGGGATTAATGTCTATAAAATGGGCATCCTAAAATAAACCTAAGAACTAAGGCGGTCTGGCCTTATTACATTTGGGGTTGATGCCAGGAAATACCAGGGTGCCTCTGGTCATTAACATCCCTCCCCTCATGCATCAAGTCCTCTCTCTCTCTCTGTCCCTCTCTTTTAAGTTTACATATTGGTTCAGGACAGAAATTGGGGGGTTTAACACTTTGAACTTGTGAGAGGGCCACTTCAAGATGGTTTAGCACACCATGAGTGCCTGGTTGCTCATTGGCAGGTCCTGTGCTAATAAGCACACCTGCCTGAAGTGTGCTTACACCTTGGCTCAGCCAGATTGTCTTATTATTTAGATGATGGCTAAAAAGTAGGAGGGGGTGAAACGGTAGCTCCCATGATAGGAAAATGAAAGCCTTTCTATATTTTTCTGTCTCTTCCAAGACACCTATTTTTAGGAAGTATGAAATTGGCAGGTATGTGCTGTCTTCCATTCTTTATACCTGACGGCTTCAAGGATACAGGCCAAACTGCAAAGTGTTTAGAGAAGAAAAATGCAAATGTATGCCTTAAAAAATTAGTCAGATAGGGGAGAGATTTGGAGATTCAAATGTGTGACTCTTGCCTTGTTAAACGTAAATGTGAAACATGATTACTAGCTATAACCAATTGGAAAGGTGTGGCTTCCCAGAGGTTCAAGAAGCAACTCCTGGCCACAGTTGCAGGAAATGAGGTCGGAGTGTTGTGTAAGGAGGCTGGCTGGCACACCACCTGGCAACCACTGCCAAACATTAGAAATTGGCTCTTGAAACTAAACCTGTTTGAATCACTGGCCTGAGTCAGCCTTGTTCACTGCAGCCCTGTCAAGGGGGCCAATACTGGGGCTCAGATTTTCCATGTTTAGGATCATCCTCCTTGCGTTGTCATATTGTTCTCTTTCAGGTGCTAAAAGCATCTTTCAAGTTATCAACATGTTCTTCTTTTAGTGCTTCAGTTTGGGGAACAAGATTTTTAAAGGTAATGTTGCAGACCTGCAATCTGGTTCATTAACCTCTCTTGGAGACTGGGTGTGTCTCGCTGTGGCTCCTATGGCACACTTATGTTTAGCATGCCAAAATGTTAAAGAGGATAGATATATATACAGTATGTATATGTCTATGAGTGTGTGTGTGTATATATATATAAATATATATATAAATATATATAAATATATATATAAATATATATAAATATATATATAAATATATAAATATATATAAATATATATAAATATATATAAATATATATATAAAAATATATATATATAAATATATATATATAAATATATATATATAAATATATATATATATTTAGGTTCCCAGAATTGGATTATAGTTCTTTGTTTATGATACATTCTCGATATTAGTTCATGCATGGACCATTTTTATTTGTTTTCTTAGTGTGACTATTCATCAAATATTTCTGGCCCTTGGCCCTCTGGGCATGTGGCTCGACTGCATTTCCCTATACACTCTGAAATTTGGTATGGTCATGTGACTTGCTTGGGCTGACAAAATGTAAGCAGAAGTGATGTGTATCATTTCTGAGCAGAAGCACTGAAGCAAGTGCATGATCCGCCATACACCCTTCCCCCTGCTATGGTGATCATGGAAACATTTTCCAACCTGGGTCCTTGAGTGGCTATGATGAACAGAGTCCTCCGGCTGATCTGCACTGGACATGTAGTATGGTCAGAAAATGCACTTATGTTGTGTTTGAGATTTTGAATTGTTGGACGGCATCACCTCGCCTACCTGCTTGTGGCAGTTAATAAGCTATTGTTTCTCAGTGCCTAACCCACCCTTCCCTAATCCCGTGTGTCTGGAGCTGGGATTTTGCTCCTCACGTGCCTCCTTAGCCAGCTGCTCCTGTTATGTTTCGCCAGTAGGGGGCAGCACACACAGAGAGACCAGAAGGCAGGAATAGGGCAAAGGGAGGGGCTCTTGGCTTTTCCCTGTTCTGCTTGCTGTTCCTGTCAGCATTGCTTCATCCATGGCTTCTCACCCTGACAGTGTCAGTTGGTTCCAGTTTCCAGCTTCTTCTGGCACGTTCAGGACTAGTTTTATTGTTCCCTGCCAGAGGCACCAGCGCAAGATGGGCAGGCTGCCCCTCTCAGACTCCATGAGGTGCCTTGTCTGAGTTTCCAGTTTCTGATAATCCTGGCCTTTTTCATTTTTCTAGCCCTAAGAGTGGTAGCTGATTCTTGTTACCATATATATGCTACCTTCATGTTCCTTTTTTTGCTTTTGAATTCCTCAAAGACTTATTTAACCCATTCCGTATGTTATCTCTGTTAAAATAATTAGTATGGTTTCTGTATTCTTGCATAGATCCTAGCTGATACACAGATTGATATAATTATCTTTTATTTTTTAAACATTTTTAAAAAATTTTATTATTGATTTATTTTTATGCAATAGAGATAGAATCTCACTGTGTTGCCCAAGCTGGTCTCGAACTCCTGGGCTCAAGTGATCCTCCTCCCTTGGCCTCCCAATGTGCTGGGATTATGGCCATAAGCCACTGCACCTGGTCTGTATAATTATTTTTAATAATGTAAGAAGCACTCATGAATTTGCTAACCTAAAACCAGGTCTAAAGGCAGTTCCTTGTAAATGACCTTTATTTAACCGTATAGCCTTTACTCCCTATTCCATTTTCCAGCCTCTTCCCACAAATGCTAATTGGTGGCCTTGATCCTATGTTTATCACTCCCTATTTGTCCCTTTTATGTAGTTTTTATTATATTTATAGGCATGCCTAACCCTAAAAATTATATATTTTAATTATAGTTGTTTTAGTTTTATGAAAAGGATATATATGGTATGTAATATTTTTACTTTTTAACTTAATTGCTAGAATTTGTCTATTATATATTGTTGTTTATTGCTTTATTTGTTTTTGAATTGCTGTGTAATGTTCAATTGGGTTAATAGCCTAAAGTATATAATTTGAAGTAAATTAGGAAAAGCAAACTCTAGGCTTCATATGATTTCAGTAGCAAGTCATGGAAACCAAGTAAATTAGGGAAAGCAAATGCTGGGTTTTATGTGATTTGAATACCAAAAGTTGATACTGAAAAGCAGCCCTACTGGTCTTTCTGATGTAGTTGATGACCGTATACTCTGGACTCATAGATCAAGCAGCGAGTGAAGAAAGAGTACACATCTCACTAAACATTTACATTTGCTAATGGGGTTTTTGTCTTTATACAATTTAACTTTTTATTTAATTAAAAACTAATCCAAGTGTGGAAAGAGAGTCAACACAGAAGGAAGATTAGATGGACCAGATAATCAGATGCCTCACTTTTTAAAGTTGTCTCTATGAATCAATGTCATCCTTAAAAGAAAAGTCATTTTCACTGAAGCTTGACGGCACATCATTTTCTGTGGGTTAGATGGGTACAAGGAGTTCATAAACTATAAAGCACTGGAAGTTACTAATAATTACAATTAATGGTAGTTACTATTCATTACAATTAATAGTAATTACAAAAACAGTTAACAAAAGAACTGAAAGACAGTCTTTCTCAGAGCAATTCTAAAGCCTTGCCAGTTTGTCTGAAGGCACTTACGTGGCAGAGCTTCCTTGCCCAGTACCAGCCAGTGAATTCCAGTGTTCTGAGAGAGAACTTGCGAAGAGATACTGAGCAAATAGTGAATAATAAAAATAACAGAAGCTAACATTTATTGAGTACCTATTGGGAACCTGGACCTGCTAAATGATTTATATGCATCATTTCGTTTTATCCACATAACAGGGTAGGTACTATCATTGTCTCCATTTTTATAGATGAGGAAATCAAAATCAAGAGAGTGTAAGCCACTTGTTCAAAGTCATGCAGCTATTAAATGGTGAAGCTGGAGTGTAAACCTAGGTCTATTGATCTCTGGAGCCTGAGTTCCTAATCTCATAATTCTTAACAAACTTCGGCCAAACACAAGCTCTATATTTTTGTTGTATTTGATACATTTTTTTTTTATAGTCATGTCAACTTCAAATTGTCTTTCTCAAATACTAGAGAGGCAGGGAGTAGAGCTTATATAGGCTGGACCACAAAATGCAAAGCTGTCTGAATTTTAACCTTATTTCTATATTCAATCACTTATTCATTCACACAATTATTCGTTCAACATTTAATGATGTGCCAGAAACTGTGCAGCTCCAAAAGAAAAATGATTTGTTCCTTCCAGGTGCCCTTAAGGATCAAAGTTAAGCCATACCTTTTCTTACTCTTAGGATACCTTTCCACGTTTGACTATGTCTTTACTTTTGATTTATTTTGGGTTAGTGGAGAGACACTGAATAGTTTTATGAAGGAAAATAGCACAATCAATGTTATATTTTTACTTTTTTAGAGGTTGCTTCTCTAGCAGCTGTCTAGAGGATGGGTAAAAGAATCATGAACTTAAGGCAAGGGACCCTTAAAGAGCCACTGAAATTGAAGGGGTCCAGTAAAAGATGATGAGGGCTCACATTAAGATGGAGCAGTGAGGACAGCTCAGAGATAGTCTTGTGCGTTGGTAGAGAGAAGGGAGTCAAGGATGACTCTCAGGCTCTTGACTTGGATAAGGAAACAATAGTGACAAAGAGTCAATTACTGAGATAGGGAATATACAGCAAAATAGACTATGGGGTAGAAAGAAGTTAATGAGCAGTTTGCAATGTGTTGAGTTTGAGATACCTAAGTCCATCTAGATATATGTGTTCATGAGACAACTGGTTATGTTATCTGATACATTTATATATTATACATAATATATATATGATGTATGATATATATAATTATACATGATATATTATGTATAATATATATTATAGATTACATATAAATTATATATATAATATATAATTATATAATATATAATATTATATAATATATTATATATATTATACAATTATATAATATATATAATATACAATTATATAATATATAATATACAATTATATAATATATAATACAATATAATATATATTTAATATATTATATAATACATATTTAATATATTATATATTATATGTTATATACTAAATATATAATATGTATTTAATATATACTATTATATATGTAATATATTATATAATTTATGTAACATATTATATATTATATATGCAATATATTACATGTTACATATATATTACATATAATATATGTAATATATAATATACACTATATTATTATAGTATATAATATACTATATTATGTAATTATATAATATAGTATATTATACACTATATTATATTATCATATAATTATATATTATATACTATATTACATATATATTATGTAATATAATATGCAATATGTTACATATATAATATATATGTATTATATAGTATATATACTATAGTATATATAAAATATATGCTATAATATATATTTTATATATTATATAATACATATAATGTATCATATATTATATATAATATATTTTATAATATATTACATATGTATCACACATATATCACATACATGTAATATATTACACATTACATATCACATACATGTAACATATTACATATCACACACTACATATATGTAACATATTACATATCGCATATCACACATATGTAACATATTACATATCACATATTACATATATGTAATATATCACATATCACATATTACATATATGTGACATATCACACATCACATATATGCAGCATATCACATGCATGCAACATATCACATATACGTAACATGTCACACATATATATGCAACATGTAACATATATGTTGCATGTCATATATTACCTATATGCAACACACCGCATATTGAATATATGTAACATCACATATTACATATATGTAATATATTACTACATTTATGTAGCATCACATAGTACATATATGTAACATATTACATATATGTAATATGTTACATATTACATATTACATGATATATATAGAACTTTAATGACTTTTGAAGAAGAAGTGATTGATAAGAGCATGTAAAATGAGAAGGCCAGGAGTCCAAGGAGGAAACATTGGGGAGAACCAAGATTTAAGAATGAATTACTGAGCAGTGGTTCAATAACTAATTCTTTAACTGGATTCAGCCTAAAGTTTATCTTGTCATCTGAATTCTTTCCTTGATGTATTATATATACAATTAAATGCTAGAAATTATATATATATAATATATAAATGAATGCTAGATATATAAATGAATGCTAGATATATAATATATATAAACAAATGCTAGAAATATATATGTAATTTCTAGCATTTATAATTGACTTTTTAACATACCAACCTGTTTTGTTTCAAATGTACCTATATTTGTTCCATAATCCCCTGTTTTGATAAATAAGAAATTTTCCTTCTTTTATCAGCTTGAGGATATTAAAGTGCTTATTTTAAAAACCTTTTACATTTCTTTATCGTTTGCATCTCCTTAGAAATCAGCTCTTCTTATTGTTGAGTTTCATTTAATGGATTAGCTGTCTTTGTAAGACTTTAAATTTTGACTTGTAAGCTCATCTTAAGTAAGAGATTTTCGTCTCTCTCCTGATGTAATCCTTAGTGATTTGGCAGTTGCTTTGCTTTGGATTCTGAGAGTTCCCAGTTCAGAATGATGTCTTATATTGGCTTGGGGATATTGCATATCCAATGTTGGAAGCCTTTGTTCTTTCTTGTTATCCAAGCCCAACAGCCTTTTATTTTAGCCTCTGTTCACAGAGAGAGATAGGTTTGTTCCAGCTCATATTTTTCAAAATTGAACCTGAATGTAGGCTCCTATGTACATGGGGTGCTTTTGTCCTTACTCTCTTGCAGCAGCTGACTTTCCAGTGACCAACACTTGTTTTTTGTCTTGGAGCATAGGATGCTTAGAGCTACAACCTACTTTTTATTATTATGTATTTTTTTTAAATTTTATTATTATTATATTTTAAGTTTTAGGGTACATGTGCAGAACGTGCAGGTTTGTAACATATGTACACATGTGCCATGTTGGTGTGCCATATCTGAACCACAAAGATGTTTGTACATTTTTTATTACAGCTGTGTCTTATAAAGACATTTAAAAAATTTAAGCTATTATTGTAAAGTGTTCAGAGTGAAGAAGAGATGGGGATTTCCAAGTGAATCCACTCTATTTACTTGATTGTTTTTCTTTTTTCCTTTTGTTTTTCAGGATAGGATGGGAGATATGAGCATAATCATAGGCACACAGATACTGCGGCCAATGAAAGGTGAGTGTGTAAGAGTATAGACACATTTGTCTCCACGATGTGAAGATAAGGTCATGTTGTAAGAGAAAAGAATATAAACTCTTTGTGCATGTACTTATTCTCTAACCAGTTTTCTAAAAAACTGCTTGATGAATATGGTCTTGGTAAGAAGGGCCATTTTGAGGCCAGGTGTGGTCGCTCAAACCTGTAATCCCAGCACTTTGGGAGGCCGAGGAGGGTGGATCACAAGGTCAGGAGTTCAAGACCAGCCTGGCCAAGATGGTGAAACCCCGTCTCTACTAGAAATACAAAAAGTAGCCAGGCATGGTGGTGGGCGCCTGTAATCCCAACTACTCGGGAGACTGAGGCAGGGAATTGCTTGAACCCGGGATGTGGAGGTTGTAGTGAGCCAAGATCTTGCCACTGCACTCCAGCCTGGATGACAGAGCAAGACAACGTCTCAAAAAAAAGGGGCATTTTGAGAAGTTGTGACCAAACAAATCCTGTGCTTATTTAACACTTTTGTTTTTCAACTTCTCAAAGGTGGTTGTTTTGGGGGAAAAGGAGGCAATATGCTGATGTACTTGTTGGGGATTGATAGGACCAGAGAGAAAACAGAAAAAAAGGAGGATTGTTCATGGTTATAAATCCATGCTTTTCTTATCTGCAGTAAATTTATTTCTTCCATTGACATGATTTTCTCCCAATAGAAAAATTACTTTGATACTTTTATTTCCTTTATCAAAAATTTATTTCCTCTGAACGTTAAAAAAAAAAAAAAAAAACTTTGTCTGCACTCCATTTTGTGCCATGGTGATGTCCTAATCTAAATGCAATCTTTTTGTGTACTGCCATTAATCTTTACAGAGGCACTCTCTTCCCCTTGATTATAACATAATACTTTTTCTGTGTAGCCAAAAATGGTGGTGTTCTTTTTGTGAATATTAAATTGCATTGTAGGCCTGTTTTTCCTGTCCCTCGATAATAGGAGTCTATCTTTCTTTAATGTCAGACTTCAGGGGGACACGTTTATCTTTTTTTTTTTAAACTGTATCTTTGAATGCAACACACATATAGAAAAGTATGTTAAGTCCTAAGCTTGGTAATTTTTCATGCAGTGAATACACTGTGTAACTGTAACCCAGATCAAGAAAAGAAAATTACCAGCTCCTCAGAGAACCTTCTCTTGTTTTCTCCTAGTCACTTATTATCTTTCTCAATGGTAACAATATCATGACTTCTATCACTGTCTGTAAGTTTTATCAATTCTTAACTTATATAAATGGAATTATACAATATGGACACCCTTTTGGCTGGCTTCTTTCACTTAACAGTATGTTCGTAAAACTCTCCCATGTTGTTGTTGTGGCAGTAATTTATTCATTTCCATTGCTGTTTAATATTCTATTGTATGACTATAACATGATTAATCCATCTAATTTATTATGGATATTTGTGTTTCCAATTTTTGGCTATTATGAAAACTGCTGCTATGAACATTCATGGATGTTCACATAAGGCATTCTCGTATGTCTTTTGTTGAATATCTGTGCACATGTAACTAAAGGTGGAATTGCTAGGCCATAAGGAATATGTATGTTCAATTTTTGTAGATTATCACTGAATGGTTTTTCAAAATTGTTTTACCAATTTACTTCCTCATCAGCAGCATATGTGTGTTCTGGTTGCTTCTTATTCTTGCCAACACTTGTCATTTACCATTAGCTCTTCCGGTGTATAATAAAATGACACTGTGGTTTTAACTTACGTTTTCTTGAAGACTACTCTCAGTTACATTTCTTTGGACTAACTTACATTTCGATGAAGGGAAATGATGTTGAGAAAATTTCCATGTGTTTATTAGCCATTTGCAGAACGTTTTTTTGTCAGAGTCAACTGTTCTAATAGGTTGTTGTAGTAGGCTGTTATTGATTTGTAGAAATTCTTTTAAATTCTGGATTTGAGTTGTCTGATAGATAAACAATTGCAAATTTCTCACCACATTTTGTTGCTTGATTTTTTTTTACTCTTGTAATGGTATCTTTGGATGTAGAGAATTTTACTATTTTAGTATAGTCTAATTTATCTTTTAATTTATAATTAGTGCTTTTTATGTCTTATTTAAGAATTCTTTGTTTATCACAGGTTCACAAGGATTTTAAAAAATTTGTTTTCTATAAGTTTTATTCTTTGATGTTTTAAATTTAGATCTACAGTCTATCCAGAATGGATATTTGTGTATGAAGTGAGATGGAATCAAGAATTATTTAATTACTAGATAGGTATCTAATTAACAGAGCACCATTATTTAAGAAAATACTTCTTTCTATACCATAGTGTCTCCTTATAAAAAAAATGCCCCTACTTGAGCACAGTGGCTCCCACATGATATCTCAGCTACTCAAGAGGCCAAGGCAGGAGGATCGCTTGAGGCAAGGTGTTCAAGATCAGCCTGGGCAGCGTAGCGAGATCATGTTTCTACAAAAAGTAAAAAAAATTAGCCAGGTGAGGTGATGTGCATCTGTAGTCCTAGCTACTCAGGAGACTGAGACAGGAGGATCACTTGAGTCTAGGAATTCAGGGCTACAGTGAACTATGACTGCACCACTGCACTCCAGCATGGGAGACAGAGTGAGACCCCATCTCAAACCAAAACCAAACCAAACCAAACCAAAACAAAATAAAATCAGTCCAGAAGTGGCTGTATATGTGTGGGTATTTTTTTGGACTCTATTCTGTTCTCTTGGCCTATCTATGTTCCAAATACTGTATCTTAATTGCTGGAAGTTTCTATCTGTAGTCTTAATAATGATATTGTTAGTTCTCCAGCTCTGCTTTTCTTCAGTATTCTTGAAGAAAACACTTTAGTTGTTTGTTTCCATTTCTATATAAATTTTAAAAATCAGCTTGTTTCTTGCTTCCTCCTTAAAGCATTCTGGAATTTTGACTGACACAGCATTTAGTCTAAGTATCAATTTTGAGAGAAGCAACAATTTAACAGCATTGAGTCTTCAAATCTATGAACATGGTATTTTTCTTTACTTAAATAGATCTTCTTTAATTTATTCTCATAATGTTTTTGTGTTTAGGATTTGCATATATATTGTTGAATTTATTCCTATGTTTTAGGTGCTTTACAAAATGATATTTTAAAAAATTTTTCATAGTTTATTGTTAGCATATAGAGGTATATTTATTTTTACATGTTGATCTTATACAGATTCATTGCTAAATCCCCTTATTAATCTGAACATTCCATTGGATTTTCTATGTATGCAGTTATATCATCTATATCATTTATTCAAATGAAAAATTTATTTTTCTTTTTCAGTATTTGTAACATATTAAAATTATAAATATATGTGTGTATGTGTGCACACATATATGTTCTAATTTTTTTCAATTGCACGATTTATAGTGTTGAATGAAAATGATAATAGCATCTATTCTTGTCTTATTCCTAATATCTGGGGTAGGGGTGGGAAGGAAATCTTTCAAATTTCAACATTAAATATTATGTTCTCAATAGATTCTTATAAATATCTTTTATTTGATTAGATAAGTTTCTGTCTATTCCTAGTTTGCCAAGAGCCTATCAAAAAATCATAAGTGGATGTTGAACTTTATTAAATACCTTTACCTGTATGTATGTATGTGATTTTATGATTTTTCTCCTTTACTTCGTTGAAGTGGTAAATTATACTTATTAATTTGGGATTGTATTCTTTGAATAAATCTCAATTGGTCATGATATGTTTTCTTTTATATACTACTGGATCTTATTTCCTAATATTTTGTTTAGAATTATTTTTGCCTATTTTCATGAGGGAAATTGGCCTATACATTTTCTTCCTGAATTGCATTTGTCAGGTTTCAGTAATGCTGGCTTTATAAAATGAATTGGGAAGTGTTCTTTTTTTCCTGTTATCTAGAAGAATTTATGTGGAATTCATATTATATCTTTTAAAGTGTTTGGAGGAATTCACCAGTAAAGCCATCTAGGTCTGGAGATTTTTTTTGTGGTAAACTTTTGATTACAGATTCCATTTCTTTTCTAGTATAGCAATCTTCTAATTTTCTATTTCTTTTGTGTTACTTTTGTAAGTTGTAGCTATCTAGAAATTTATTAATTTTATATGCATTTTCAAATTTACTGGCAAACATTTATAGTATTTTCTAATTTTTCTTTTTAATGTCCATAATGTCTATAGTGATATCCTCCTTTGTTTGCCTGACATTGGTCATTTGTGCCTTTTTTTTTTTTTTTGGCTTTTCTTGTTAGGGGTTATAATTTTATTAGTTTTCTTAAAAATTCAATTTTGGATTTGTTAATTTTCTCTGTGGTGCATATTTTTTACTTCATCTGTTTCTGCTCTTATCTTTGTAACTTTTCCCATCTACTTTTCTTTGAATTTAATTTGCTGTTGTTTTCTAACTCCTTGAGATGGACATTCAGATAATTGCTTTTCAGTCTGTATTTTTGTTTAAAATATTTATTTTAGGCTAAAATGCCTCCTGTAATTATAGTTTTAGCTGAACTCCACAAGATTCATTATATTATATTTTAGTTATAATTAAATTTAAAATATTTTCTAATTTTCATTGTAGTTATTTCTTTGACTCCTAAGTTGTTTAGTTTCCAAGTACTTGGGGATTTTAAAATTATCTTTTTTGTTACCAATCTCTAGGTTAATTTATCTCAATGATTCCAATTTTTTGACGTTGAGATTTACTTTATGGCCCATCATATAGTAAACTTTGGTAAGTGTTTCTGTGCATACGAAAAATGTTTATCCTGTGCATACGAAAAATGTTTATTCTGTTGTTTTGGCTCAAATATTCATGAAAATAAGGTAAATCAGTTATTTGTATCATTAAGATTTTTATTGCATATTCTATCTACTCCTGAGAGAGCTGTCTTAAATTTTCTCACTATGATTATGGATGCATCCATTTCTCTCTTTAGTTCTGTTAAATATTACTTTATATATTTCAAAGCTGTACTATTAGGAAGATACAAGTGTAAAATTGTTGTATCTCTGTTTTCACCATTATGAAAATCATTCTTTACCTCTTATTATGTATTCTCTTTTACCATTATGGGAATCCTTCTTTACTTGTTGGCATCTTGTATCTTGCCTTAAAGTATATTTTTATGATAGTATGACTGTAACAGGTTTTTTAAAGATTAGTTTTTGCATATTATATAATTTTTCCATCATTTTATTTATGTGTTTTTATTTTAAGTTGTGGTTCTTATGAGCAGAATATACATTTTAATTTTTTATTTCTAATTTTTGTGGGTACATAGTGGTGTATATACTTACGGGGTACATGGAATGTTTTGATACAGTCATGTAATGTGAAAGAAGCACGTCATGGAGAATGGGGTATCCATCCTCTCAAGCATTTAATTCTTTGAGTTATAAACAATCCAATTACACTCTTTAAGTTATGTTAAATGTACAATTATTACCGACTGTAGTTACTCTGTTGTGCTATCAAATTGTAGGTCTTATTCATCCTTTCTATTTTTTGGTACCCATTAATCATCTCCACTGCCCCCCTACCCCCAACCCTCCCACTACCCTTCCAAGCCTCAGGTAAATATGTCCATGAGTTCAATTGTTTTGAATTTTAGATCCCATAAACAAGTGAGAATATGTAATCTTTGTCTGTCTGTGCCTGGCTTGTTTCACTTAACCTAATGATCTCCAGTTCTATCCATGTTGTTGCAAATGACTGGGTCTCATTTTTTTTATGGCTGAATAGTACTCCATTGTGTATATGTACCACATTTTCTTTATCAGCTCATCTGTTGATGCACACTTACGTTGCTTCCAAATCTTAGCTATTGTAAAAAGTGCTGCAACAAACATAGGAGTGTGGATATCTCTTTGATAAACTGATTTCCTTTCTTTTGGGCATATACCTAGATGTAGGATTACTGGATCATATGACAGCTCAATTTTTAGCTTTTTGAGAAACCTCCAAAGTGTTTTCCATAGTGGTTGTATTGATTTAAATTCCCACCAACAGGGTACAAGGGTTTTCTTTTCTCCATATCCTCGCTAGCATTTGCTATTGCCTGTCTTTTGGATATAAGCCCCATTTCAACTGTGGTGAGATGATATTTCATTGTAGTTTTGAATTACATTTCGCTGATAACCATTGATGTTCAGCACCTTTTCATATGCCTGTTTTCCATTTGCAGATCTTCTTTTGAGAAATGTCCATTCATATCTTTTGCCCAGTTTTGATTGGATTATTAGATTTTTTTTCCTATAGAGTTGAAGACATTGTTGCCCAGATCTATGTCTTGGAGATTTTCCATAATGCTTTATTGTAGTAGTTTCATACTTTGAGGTCTTAGATTTAGATCTAATCCATTTTGATTTGATTTTTTGTATATAGGTCTAGTTTTATTCTTCTGCATATGAATATTCAGTTTTCCCAGCACCATTTATATAAAAGATCATCTTTTCCCCAGTATATGTTCTTGGCACCTTTGTAAAAAATGAGTTCACTGTAGGTGTGTGGATTTGTTTCTGGGTTCTCTATTTCATTACATTTGTCTATGTGTTTTTATGCCAGTGCCATGCTGTTTTGGTGACTATAGCTCTGCAGTATAATTTGGAGTTTGGTCATGTAATTCCTCCAGTTTTTTTCTTTTTGACTAGGATAGCTTTGGCTATTCTGTTTTTTTTTTTTTGTGGTTATACATTTTAGGATTTTTTTTCTATCTCTGTGAAGAATGTCATTGGTATTTTGATGAGGATTGCATTGAATCTGTAGATTGCTTTGAGTAGTATGAACATTTTAACAATATTGATTCTTGTAATCCACAAACATGGAATATTTTTCCATTTTTTTGGTGTCTTCTTTAATTTCTTTCATCAGTGTTTTATAGTTTTCATGGTAGAGATCTTTTACTTCTTTGGTTAATTACTTAGGTATATAATTTTTTTGTGTGGCTATTGTAAATGGGATTACTTTTTGTTTTTCCTGTTGTGTTCACTGTTGGCATATAGGAATGCTACTGATTTTTGTATGTTAATTTTGTATTCTGCAACTTTACTGAATTTGTTTATCAGTTCTATTAGTTTTCTTGTGTATTCTTTAGGTTTTTCCAAATATAAGATCATATCATCAGCAAACAAGGATAATTTGACTTCTTCCTTTCAATTTGGATGCCCTCTATTTCTTTCTCTTGTCTGATTGCTCTAGCTAAGATTTCCAGTGTTATGTTGAATAACCGTCATGACAGTGGGCATCGGATATGGTTTGGCTGTGTCCCCACCTAAATCTCATCTTGAATTGTAGCTTCCATAATCCCCACATGTCATGGGAGGGACCTGGTGGGAGGTAATTGAATCATGGGAGTGGCTTTTTCCCGTGCTGTTCTCGTGATAGTGAATAAGTCTCACAAGATATGATGGTTTTATAAAGGGCAGTTTCCCTGCACTCGTGCCCTTGACTGCCATCATGTAAGACATGCCTTTGGCCCTCCTTCACCCTCTCCCATGACTGTGAAGTCTCCCCAGCCATGTGAACTGTTGAGTCCATCAAGCTACTTTTTTTAAAAAAAATTATCCAGTCTCGGGTATTTCTTCATAGCAGTATGAAAATGGACTAATACAGCATCCTTGTTGTGTTCCAGATCTTAGAGGAAATGCTTTCAGTTTTTCCCCATTCAGTATGATACTAGCTGTGGATCTGTCATATATAGCTTTTATTATGTTCCTTCTATCTTTGACTTTTAATTTGATATGAAAAGTACATGGTATTTAATCCTTACATACTCACTGTAATAACATAGTAATACGTTTAAACCTACCATTTTACTATTTGGTTTTCATTTGTTTTACCTGTTCTATGCTCCCTTTTCTCTCTGTTTTTTCTTTTTCTTTCTTTCTTTTTTTTTTTTTTTGAGATGGGGTCTCACTCTATCAACCAGGTTGGAGTGCAGTGGTGTGATCTTGGCTCACTGCAACCTGTTGGATCCCTTCCTTACACCATACACAAAAATCAACTCAAGATGGATTAAAGACTTAAATGTAAAACCCAAAACTATACAAACCCCTGAAAGACAACCTAGGCAATACCATCCGGATATAGGAACGGGAAAAGATTTTATGACAAAGGCATTAAAAGCAATCTCAACAAAAGCCAAAATTGACAAGTGGAATCTAATTAAACTTTAGAGGTTCTGCACAGCAGAAGAAACTATCAACAGTGTAAACAGAGAGCCTACAGAATGGGAGAAAATATTTGCAACCTATGCATTTGACAAAGGTCTAATATCCAGCATCTACAAGGAACATAAATTTACAAGAAAAAAACAACCCCGTTAAAAAGTGGGCAAAGGACATGAACACATTTTTTTTTTTTTTTTTTTTTTTTGCGAGAAGACATACATGCAGCCAACAAGCATATGAAAATATGCTGAATATAATGAATCATTAGAGAAATGCAAATCAAAACCACAATGAGATGCCATCTCATGCCAGTCAGAATGGCTATTACTAAAAAGTCAAAAAACAATAGATGCTGGTGAGATTGCGGAGAAAAGGGAATGCTTGTACACTGTTGGTGGAGTGTAAATTAGCTCAACCATTGTGGAAAGCAGTATTACAATTCCTCAAATAGCTAAAAGTGGAACTACCATTAGACCTAGTGATCCCACTACCGAGTATATATGCAGAGGAATATAAAGCATTCTACCATAAAGATACTTGCACATGAATGTTCACTGCAGCATTACTCACAATAGCAGAGATACGGAATCAACCCAAATGCCCATCAAAGACAGAATGGATAATGAAAATGTGGTTCATATACACTATGGAATATTATGCAGCCATAAAAAAGAATGAGTTCATGTTTTTTGCAGGAACATAGATAGAGTTGGAGGCTGTCATCCCTAGCAGACTAATGCAGGAAGAGAAAACCAAATACCACACATTTTCACTTATAAGTTGGGAGCCAAATGATGAGTACTTCTGAACACAAAGAAGGAAACAACAGACACTGTGGTCTACTTGAGGAGGGAGAGTGGAAGGAGGGAGAGGAACAGAAAAGACAACAGTTGGATACCGGGTCTAATACCTGGGTGATGAAATAATAGATACAACAAACCCCCATGACATGTGTTTACCTATGTAACAAGCCTTCACAGGTACCCCCAAACCTAAAATAAAAGTTAAAAGAAAACCCAAAAACCCTTTTGGTTTTGAAATAATTTCAGACTAACAGAAAAGTTGCAATAATAATATAAGAAGTTTCTGTATATCCTTTAGTAAGATTTTCTAAATATTAACATTTCACCAATTTTTACTTATATTCATCCTCTCTGATGCATAGATAAATGCATTTGTTTTTCTTTTAAACTGTTTTAGAGTAAATTGTAATTAAAATTCTCTTAAACTTTTACTTCATTGCCATTTGCTAAAATTTAGGTATTGTATCTTTGTCTTGGAATGTTATTTTCTCTGGATGTATAATTCTAGGGTGGATTAAAAAGAAATCTTTCAGCAGTTATTCTATTGTTTTCTAGCTTGTATCACTTCTGTGAAGAACTTAGTGTTTGACAGCTCCTTTGAAGCTAATATAATCATCTCCTTTAGATGACTTTTAATATTTTTTCCTTTATCATTATCCTTTTTCATGAGTTTTGGCCATAATATGCTCAGATGTGCTTTTTTTTTGTTTAATCTCTTTTGGCTTCTTAGAACTTTATAGATTAATTTTTTATACAAGTCTTAAAACATTTTCAACCATACTTCTTCAAATGTTGCTTTGGCCAGATTCTCTTGTCTCTTTTGTCCCGGATGGCCACTTTTATGAATGTATGACTTTTTCCTTATGTCCGTGTCTCTTAAACTCTTTTTGTATTTCCTTCCTTCCCTCCTTCCTTTCTTCCTTTCCTCCCTCCCTCCCTCCCTTCCTTCCTTCCTTCCTTCTTTCCTTCCTTCCTTCCTTCCTTTGTCTCGCTCCGTCACCCAGGCTGGAGTGCAGTGGCGCTTTCTCGGCTCACTGCAAGCTCCACCTCCCGGGTTCAAGCAATTCTCCTTCCTCAGCCTCCCGAGTAGCTGGGACTACAGGTGCCCGTGACCATGCCCGGCTAATTTTTGGTATTTTTAGTGGACATGGGGTTTCACCGTGTTAGCCAGGATGGTCTTGATCACCTGACCTCGTGATCCGCCTGCCTTGGCCTCCCTAAGTGCTGGGATTACAGGCGTGAGCCACCGTGCCCGGCCCTCTTTTTGTATTTTCTGTCATTTGTTTTTCCTGTGCTTGGGTTTGAGTATTTTATAATAACTTATTTTCTTGTTCACTATTCCTCTACCTGCATTCATTTTGTATTGAAATAATAATTGCCTTCTTAATGTCGATTTTTATATTTTTCAGCTCTACAGTTGAAATTTGATTGTTTTTATAGACTTTAATTCTCAGGCAAAATTCTCCAACTTGTCATGTATTATCTTAAACATAATTTATACAGATGATAACTGGGTCATCTATGAATGTATTTTTCTTTCTGCCTTTCTCCTGGTTCTTTTTCTTTGTATGCCTAGAAATTCTTTTTAATTGAATGCTGACATCGTATATGAAAAATTGTAGAGGCTCTGTAGGATGTTATCTTCCTCCAGAGACGATTCACCTTATCCTCTGTCAGGCACTTAGGGGAGGGGCAGGCTCCTTAATCTAGGTAGGATCAAGGTGACTCTAGGCTATGTTTGTGACTTTTGAAGTCTAGATCTCAGGTTTTTTTCCCATCTCAGAAGACAGCACTCAAAAGAACCCTCAGGAGAACCTAGGATAGTTACCAGGGCCTTCAGGACTTGGCAGGTCCCGAACTCTAATTTTAGCATTCCAATCATTAGCCTGAACTCTAATCATCAGCACTATGAGACAGTGGAAGACCTCTATTGAGATTTCCTGCAGCTTTTTGCTCAGCTTCTTATCCTTGTGTAATTTAAGAATTGGTCAGTGCCACGAGAGGAAAACCCACGAGTTTGGGCTTACTTCTCTGTGCTTTTTCTCTGTCCGTGGTCTTGGCAAACCTAGATCTTCTGGCTGCCTTAGTGGGCCCAAAGTACAATATTTTTCTTCTTATTTCAATGAGAAAGCTCAGTTGGCTCCTTTGATTCTTAGAATTTGCATTCTGCAAAACTTTTTAGCCTCTGCCTTCAACCTCTCCCTTCTTACTTAAGACTCAGCAAATGCCCCAAGGGGAAAAACTGTCTGCAGAATATTGGGCTCACCTCAGAGAATTTCTCTCCTCTCAGAGATCTTGGCCCCTCCATTCCCGAAAGTCCCCAGAACTCTTCAGGCAACCCTTAAAGACTATTTTATACAGCTTTTGTAGTTACTTTTGGGGAGAGTGTTGGTCTGTTAAAACTATTCTATTGCTATAAGCAGGATTTCCATATTCATTTTTGATATATGAATTCTTTTGAAAACAAAATTTTAAAACTACTAAGTGTATGGAAGTCTTAATAATTCACGCGATTGGAGGCTATTTGCAAAAATATATACTGATTCTTTAATCATTTTTTTTCATGATCGACCCCTGCATTTCTTACAATGTATGCACTCTAATAAACACTTGGCATCTCCATCAGCTAAAATAGACAAAAGTTGTTTGTAGAAGGAGACTTTCTCTAGACATTTGCTTGATTGAAGTTTTCATGTTGAATATTGTTCTCTACCTATAAATGGGACACTCAAGAATAACACCTTCTCCCTGAGCAAGTGCCGCGGATGAAGCAGACTGTCAGGAACATTAATGATAACTGACAGCTCTAGAGAAAGGAAGCAGGTCTATAAATGCACTGGTGCCCTTGTAGAGTAAATTCAGTCAGCAGGCACTTAGAGAAGATGTTATCTCAGCCTTAAAGTGAAAGATAGGCTTGGCAACCAAGTAAAGGGTTTTATATTTTGAAAATTGCCATAATTTTTCTTCTCTTTGTCATCTCAAGTAAGTAACATGTAAGTAGCTTAGAAATGATCCTGCCCGTCTGAAGCCAGTGTAATAGATAGGTTGTCCTTTCAAGGTCTCTTTCAATTCAGTTTCCATGTTATTATTAAAACAAAAGTTAATATGGTCTCATGCAGAATTAGGCAATAGTGTATACTTTTCAGATACATTAAATGCTGTTCTTGAAAATTTTCATTTCCATTTCCCTGGTCATGTTTTTACCGAGAATGGACTCTGTTCTCCTCTTTGCAGTTTACTTTGAGAGGTACCTTGAATTCATCATCTTGAGGAAGCCATCCCTGGTTTTCACATCCAGTCCACTCATATTTATTAATATTTGTCATGTGCCAAGTATTGGAGACAAATGGCCAAACTGAATGATCACATTTAATAATAAAAATACACAATGAAAGAGGTTACCATTTTTAAAGTGCAGATTATAGGTTCAGAGAAGCTAAGAAATTTACTCAGTCACACAGTTAGTGAATAACATTGCTTTTTTGGAAAACTCTGTTACATTTCCAATTGGTAATATATAGATATTAAATTCTGTTTGTTTTTGCTCACCTGTGTCTTTTAAATACAGCCTTATACAACCCATTGTTCTTCCTTCCTGTGCTTATAGAAGACTATGGAAATAAGGGCTTATGGACGTCTCTTGAATTAACTATTTGAAATATAAAAGAATCATCATTGTGCTAGAAGGATCATCAAGAGCTCTGCTTTGTTTCACATCCTGATAAGCAGAGAGACCAAGATCTGTTGCCACATAGATAACACTCGAGATACAGTATTTTCAAACATGATCCAAACCTGAACACTGCAGGGTGGAGGG